>NC_000006.12:37938787-38241818 GCF_000001405.40 Homo sapiens
TTATGTCAAAAATAATTGTTGCATTTCTAACGGGAAACAGTGCTCAGTGCTGTGAAATAGCTGAGAGGTGGCTTCTTTCAGGCCTCAAGTGGGAAAATTGTGACCATGTGTTAGAGTATGATAGGGAAAATGGAAGAAATTTAGTAGTTACTAGGTCTTTTAAGATAGTTTAGTCTGTCACTTGGCTTTATTTCTTCCCTCTTGTTGGTCTAAAGCTGTAGTCTCTTTGTGGTAGACAGGATTATCCATTGTGGCATAGAGAGAAAATGTTAGAATTCCTACTTGTGTTTATTTTTGTCCTGTATACATAATCTCATTGGTATCTGTATTAGTTTCCTAGGGTTGCCACAACAAATTGCCATACACTTGGTGGTTTAAAACAACAGAAGTTTATTCTCTCACAGTTCTGGAGGCCAGAAGTCTAAAACCAAGGTAATGGCAGGGTTGGTTTCCTCTAGAACCTTTGAGGGAGAATTCATTCCATGCTGCTGCTTGTTTCTGGCTTGTCAATAGTTCTTGGCATTCCTTTGCTCATAGACATATCATTCTAGTCTCTGCTTCATCCACATGGCCTTCTCCCCTGTGAGTCTCTATCTTTCCCTCTTCTGTCTCCTCTAAGGACAGTTGTCATTGGCTCAGTCTTATCCCGGATTATCTCATCTGGAAATCCTTAACTTAATTACATCTGCAGAAGCTTTTTTTCCCAAAATTATCACATTCACAGATTCTGGGTGGACATATTTTGGGAGGTGGGGACAGGGACAGGGTGCATCATTCAGTCCACTACGGGAATATGTAACTACTTTTAAAACAGAAATGGAAGAGATGTGCACTCAAATTTTATGCTGATGGTACACCTTTATCAAAGCTTGGAGACTTCTAGTTTAGAGAACTGTTTGGGTTGGATACAGTTGGCCTCTTTTCATGTAATTAGACGACCCTCTGTGACATGAAAAGTAGTATAAGAGTTAAGGCCAGGAACGGTGGCTCACACCTGTAATCCCAACACTTCGGGAGGCTTAGGCGGGCGGATCACGAGGTCAGGAGTTTGAGACCAGCCTGGCCAACATGGTGAAACCCCATCTCTACTAAAAATATAAAAATTAGCTGGGAGTGGTGGTGCACGCCTGTAATCCCAGCTACTCCGGAAACTGAGGCAGGAGAATCACTTAAACCTGTGAGGTGGAGGTTGCAGTGAGCTGAGATTGTGCCACTGCACTCCAGCCTGGGCGACAGAGCAAGGCTCTGTCTCGGGGTGGGGAGGCGGGCAGTGTGGGGAGTTAATTGGTAATATTCCCTATGTTTCATATCCTCAGTAGACTAATACAGGCTACTGTATCAGAATGACCAGGCTTAGGTTTATGGGCTCCCTTTTAGACTTGTCAGGAATATGGATAACTTTCAGATAGACTCAGAAAAGCACGGGACTGTTTTGTGCTTCAGAGGCTTTGGCTCCACCAAGTTTCAGATACTTAGCGTAATTCTTGTTCTGGCTGTTGCCTTTGTGTGTGAATTAGAAGATTATGATGAGGTTGCTTTTTGACATTTTTCCTGGATATAATACCCACTTGTACTTAATTCTTAGTCCACAGTAGGGATGATGAGTAAAAAGATGGGACATTATTTTTGGGCCATTAATGTATGACTAAAATATCATCTTTCATGCTATAAAATTTTATACCCTTTAAAAGCTTCAGTGCTTAGCTGGTTCTTGCAGTGTAAAGTAGATCTAACTGTATGTTAACAGTCTTAACTATTTTTTTTTTAATTTATAAAGAAAAGAGGTTTGATTGGCTCACAGTTCTGCAGGCTGTACAGGAAGCATAGTACTGGCATCTGCTTCTGGGGAGGTCTCTGGAAGTTCCCAGTGATGGCAGAAGGCCAAGCAAGAACTTGCATATCACATGGCAAAAGCAGGAGCAAGAAAGAGAGAGTGACAATTTTAACTATTATCAAAGGTTGTTTTACATTTCTTAATTTACTTTTAAACTAAATATTGGGGAGAGAGAAGAAAAAATACCTTAAGACTTCCGGCTTGAAGAAAAAGAAAAATGACACATAATCTTAAATGGAGAATGCTGAAAGACAGATATTTTAGTAGTGGAACAAGAATTAGTTTTTGTGAAAAAAGAGAGGAAAGGCATAGACAATTACATGGGTTTTTGTTTGTTTTTGTTTTTAAAGGCAGTAAAATCCTGAAATGAAATAATTGCAATTGTAACTAAGATTGCTGCAGCCCTTTTATATTATGAAGTCCTTTAATACAATATTATCACATTTGATTCTTACAATGTTGGTGATTTTATAGCTCCATTTTACAGATAAGGAAACTGACTCAAATGGGTTAACTCATGTTCCCAAGATTAAATAAATTTTAAAGAACTGAGATTTGATCAATGGAAGTTTAGACTTGGATCTAATCTCCACTGTTTGATGTTATTAGGATGAAAGTAGTAGACTTAGATGGAATTGTACTGTGAAAACCAAAGCTAAATAGATTAGTCGGGATTGTACTGTGAGGATGTAACAGTAACATTGTTTTGCATTTGTGTGTAGGAGTATTCTCTTTTCTTCTGCTCTTTTCTTTTAGTTCAGTTGTAGTTTGCCTCTAGATCCCCTCATAATCAGAGAAACAGTGCTGAAAGCTTCACAAGAGTAGCTAATTTAGGAAAAGGTGTGCATATGTGGTGGGGGGAGTGTTTTTGTCTAACACATTTTCTGTTTTGGTGGTGAGATCTTCATTTCTTAACATCTTTCTTGTTCTTGTTCATATGACTTTTAGCTCATTAACCTTGCTCTCTGTGCTGCGTAGTGAAGCACCATTTCTATTTAGTCTCCTGTGTTTAGCTTCTCAGAAGAATTTTTTTGAAAATGTTTGGAAGTGTGATTTAATTGCAAGGCTGTTTGCACATTGTCAGTGTGAAAGCAAAGATGAATTTCGTATTTAGACTGTGCAACCTGCAGATTTCATTTGTTAAACCTTCCAGTTGGTACTCCCGTTCTCTCATACATGTGTGCATAATAATAGTATGGAAAAAAACTCCTGTTTTGTTGTATCCATATTTATCAGTTTGGTTGAGTTATGGAAAAGCCTGTCCTTTGCTTTGTGTATTTGCTCATTTGGAAACCTTGTATAGTTTATAGAGACACTAGTGATTTGTTCCCCAGCTTCCCTGTGGGTTTTGTTCCATATTACAATCTAATTCCACCTCTCTGTCCCATACTCCTGAGCTGTTAATTTGTACATTTCGATGCCGTTTGTTTCATCCTGTGTTTTTTAATCCAAACTGAATGTAATGGGCTGTGTGCTTTAGGGACCTGGCTTTGCCTTGCCAATTAGAACAAAGTGGTTACTGAGTAAGAGTATGTTTTAAATAAAACATGGCACCTCTGAATGGTGCTGATACTCATTTGGGAATAAAAGAGATGGTTTTAACCCTTTGACTCACAAAGAAGAGCCATTATAAAAGATCATATATATATATTTTTTTTTCTTTGAAAAGAAGGGTAAAGTTTACCTCCATAAAATGTGGTTTTACAAGTTTCTTAAGGTAACTAAATAAATTTAAAAGTTTGTCATTAAAAATGTACTTTTTTCCTTCATGATCATTTGAGACATGTTAGCAAAATTCTGTAAATTTATGAATATTGAACCAATGGCTGCTGCTGAATTTTGAATTTGTTCATGTTTAGGAAGGTGAGGGTATATGAAACCAATAGATATGTCAGCCTCT
Organism: Homo sapiens; assembly: GCF_000001405.40. Taxonomy (NCBI): domain Eukaryota; kingdom Metazoa; phylum Chordata; class Mammalia; order Primates; family Hominidae; genus Homo; species Homo sapiens. The sequence continues at coordinate 37,942,522 of NC_000006.12, forward strand.
TTTTATTTTTATAATATATCAAGCCAAGTTTTCAATTTAGTGGTGACACTCCTTCCCCCAGAGATACTTAAAAATTATGAAGGTGAATGTAAGCTTCTACAATCTTGTGGGAATATTATTTTCAGATAATTGAATTTTGAGCCATCAATGACTTAAGGCTATTTGGAAGTTTAGCTGCACTTTCACCAAATATTTATAGCACAGATGTTTCTGAATAGACCATAGGCTAATAGTTTACTAATTCACGTCATAGAGAGACACTTCATCAGTTACTTCTGTTATTGTATTTGCATCTACCCTAAAAATAGAGTTCTCTTTTTAGCTGATATAGCAGATAAACTGTAATTCATCATTGGAATAAGGAAAACATAAAACTTACTTTGAAGAAAAAGTGGGACTGTATCAAAAACTTTGAAATAAAGACATCCAAGGGAAAGCTAGACGTAGAAAGACTTGGTGACAGGTTTAGACAACATTATAGCATGTATTAACCTATGCAAACAAGAGAGAACAAAAGGAATGCATTTCTGTAGAACAGTTCAATTAAAAAGTATGTAGGAGTATCATGTTGAAAAAAAAGGTTTCTAGAAAAATGATGTCTGTAGTAGAGGAGGCCAGTTAATTGGACTAAGTGAAACTAAACATAGGCATTTCTAACATTGTACTGGGAAAGTCTTGCAAGCCCTACTGCTGGTTTGAAGAGACGATCATTGTAACAGTATTACTAAATGCCCTGTACTTCAGATTTGAAGATTAACCTCCATATTGCTAGTACTTTAAATTGTTCAGTTTTCTGAGTAAAGATATTAAAGTTTAAATGTGCTTCCATCTTCTCCTCAACACTGTTTTAACCTGTAGCTAAACTGACAGTCCAGGAGATTGAATTTTGTTTAAAAATGTTTGATATCTGTAGAGAACACTGTATTTTCCAGCTTTGCATAAAGTGACAGTGTTTTCCTTAACTCATATGTTTTAGGATCCAGTAGCTGTTAATTTCCATGCCTGAAGCACAAATTAATGTCAGGAAATCTTTCTCAAAAATTATTTTCATGCAGGTCCCAGGCTTCCAATGGCAACTGAAAGCTGGGTTATTCATTTCTCCTATACCTGTTACTCAGTGTGCATCATAAGTATTTGTAAACACTGGTTTTGCTTTTAGGAACTCTAGAAGTGCGAATCCCATTAATCATGTGATATTAGTAAATGATGATCATAGAATATTTGAGTGGAAAGAATTTTAGAGCCCTTTTCTTACCAAAACACTGGTACTCAGTCCAAATGTCTACTGAATTAATGAGTTTCAAAGTAAACTGAAGTGGTGAGGGTAAAGTGGCTTATTATTTCATCTTTTATTTGCATACTTCAACCTCAGTTTCCTTTCTCCTTCCAGTGTTACATGCTATATTAGTAATCTTGAAGATGAGACTAGAAATAAATCTATAACAAAGTTGCAACAACCCTTTAATTTGTAGATACTGCTTTAGGATTGTATGCCTTTTTCTGTTTACTATCTCTTAATTCAGGTGCTGTTAGTCTTGCAGGTAAACATTCATTGTTCTGTAGAGTTGATACAGTTGTCAAATTTTTGTGTATTTGTGTGTATGTGGGTTTATGCACATGCATACAGTTATTTAGATGTGTTGATTATAATTTTTAATTAAAATTTTTATTTAAATATGACAGTTGGATTTTATATGAGATTTTATACCATATAGCAATTACAAGAAGAACTAAAACGTCCAAAAACACTATCTGCATCATTAGTACCTTAAAGAAATTTCCCCAAACTTGATGAAAATCTTTATTATAGATTTTTAAAAAACCCATGATAAAGTGTTTCATGTTCTAAGATACATACTCTGTGGAAATGGATCTTTTTTATAGTGTCCCTCTATCAAGTAGCCTGGGTTTATAAAATATCACAGAGACAAAATTCTTTTCTCAAAATCCCTACATGGCCCTACAAGAGGAGGAGCCTAAAAAAAGAAAAGAGAAAAAACTGTGTGTATGCTTCCCTTAGGCCAAAATTTGTCTTCATTGAATGGGAAAGGCAAAACTACTAAATCGGTTTTTCTTTTGTGATGACTGAGGTCTTGTGTTTTGACCTACAGCGTATATCACGTGGAGAAAGGTGCTTCATATAACTTGGGTAGCAATTTGAGAACTTAAGTAATGACAATACTAAGTATTTAATATTTTTTCTTTTGGGCTGATACCAGTGGGCTGGGGGAGGTCCCTAAATGCCAGTGGGACATCAACTCTGATCAATGGTCAGGCTCTTGACAGTGTCTTCAGTAGGAATTCAAGGATGAGTTGGAAAATAGTGAAATGTACTAAGATTTATTGCAAAATGAAAAGTACATGCTCAAGAAAGGGGAGTGCGAGCATACTCCAGACAGGGTTTGGCTTCTATCTGTATGGGTTTCTTTAATCAAGGGGTGGAGTATTCATGAAGATTTCTGGAAAAAGGTGAAAATTTCTCAACTTTAGTGCCACCCATTTTTACACCAGTATGGGTGCTCCCGGAACTGTCTTGGCATTGGTGGGTGTGATTTAGTATGTTAATGAGCATATAATGAGGTCCTAGGTGAAACCTAGGTCAAATCCAGTGCCATGTTGGGTCCACTTCGTCTTAGCTAGCTTAACCCACACTCTGCTTTTCAGGGTCTTCTTGGCTCCTAGCTTATGTATGTATTTCAACAGTTTCCTTTTTGCTAGTCATGTGAAACTGCTGCCTGGAATTTTCTTTTCCCCTTCAACCACCCTGTATTATTCCTGTCTCAGGGCTTGGGGGAAACTATATGGTATTCTGGAAAAATACCACGTGGAGGCAGATAATTTTGGACAATGGGAAATTTTGCATTGGAAGATCATTGACATAGTCTTTTTTTCAAGACAGAGTCTCGCTCTGTCTCCCAGGGTGGATTGCAGTGGTGCAGTCTTGGCTCACTGCAACCTCTGCCTCTCCGGTTCAAACAGTTCTCCTGCTTCAGCCTCCCTGCACCACCATGCCCAGCTAATTTTTGTATTTTTAGTAGAGATGAGGTTTTGCCATGTTGGCTAGTCTAGTCTCGAACTCCTGAACTCCAGTGATCCACCTGCCTTGGCCTCCCAAAGTGTTAGGATTATAGGTGTGAGCCATGGCACCCGGCCGACATAGTCTTATTTTAGTTATCAGTGGTAATTTATTTTTGGACACACCATATGGTTTAATCTTTATAAAGCAAAAATGAATGTCTTGTCTAAAACACTGTTTTATATAGTTGTCATATAAAATACCTGACTTTGTTTTAGCAGACTTTTTCCTTTTTTGGTGTCAATACTCTGAGTTTATGAAAAGCACAGCTCTTGCTTGAGTGCTTATCAGACACCTGGATACCTGAGGCACTGCTGGTCACCACTTCTTGTTAAAATTTGGTCAGTGATTCTAGTTGCATTATAAATTAAAATTCAGAGAAACAACCCCACCCTAACATCAGAGTGGTGTTTTTGGTGTCTTAAAGGGTTGGTGTGGTTTGTTTAGTGGCTCCATTGAAAGGCTGCCTAGGACTTCTGTCTGAATTTTAGATGGACATAAATACAGGGTATTCATTGTGGAGGTTCAGAGTGAGAGAATAATGGGGAATGTAAAAGCATACAAGTCTGTTTTTTAAAAACTGCAACCAAGGGAACCTTTTCAAAGTACACTGTAAAGGTCAAGTGTCTTGTATTTCCTACCTGATCTCTATGTGACTGAATGGAGGCTATTTCACTTCTGATTTATAAGATACTTACCATGACTCAAGGTTTTGTGAACATCTGACATTATTAGCGCTTTTGTCTTTTGCATGGCTCCACCCTTAAGAAGGAAAACACAGACCTAGTTTACATTTAGAGAAGCCCTTCCCTATAGGCCTTTGTCGCACAGCTCAAAAGAGCAACAACCTTAGAAAAGTAATTGGGTTTTTCAAAACACAAAATTACAATTTTTCCCCCCATTCCTTCATGCACACTGTAAAGTTACCAGGATACCCTTTCTCAATAGTTTAAAATTGTGACCTATTTTTTTCCCCCTTTTTGGTGTCCTGATCAGGGTTGGGGGAGAGGGAAGCATTAATTTTTTTACTAATTTCCCTTGAATTCACCAGTGCCTTAATTTCTCACAGCATTATCAAATAATTGATGTTTATGCTGTTTTGGAAACTGGCTTTTAACAAGTGTTTTTGCTATAGCGTGAATGAACCTTGACAACATTATGCTAAGTGAAATAAGCCAGTCACAAAAAGAACAAATACTATTTATTCTGCTTACGTGACGTACCTACAGTAGTCATATTCATAGAGACAAATAGAATGGTGGTTTCCAGGGGCTAGAGGGTGGGGGAACTGGAGAGTTGTTTAATGGATAAAGAAAGTCAATTTGGGAAGATGAAAAAAAGCTCTGGAGATGGATGTTAAAGCTCTGGAGATGGATGTTAGTGGCAGTAGTTGCACAACAACGTGAATGTACTTAATGCCACTGGAACTGTACGATTAAAAACGGTTAAGATGGTAAATTTTATGTTATGTGCACCTAACCCCAGTTAAAGATAATGATTAAAATAGTGTTTACTTTTGAGTACAGTTTTGTTCTTTACACTTGCCAAAATCTTTCTTTGTTCAAATTTCTTTTAAAAATCTGTTAACAGGAGGTTAAGTGTGAATATTTCATCTTGTTCTGTGACAGTAAACTAGTCATCTATAGTAGAGAGCAGAAAATAAAAATATTTCCAGAAATAAAACTGAGATTTAAAAACAATTTAATTTTTTTCCTTTTCATATTTATCTGTGTAGATGATGCCATAACAGGCATAATTTATATTATTTATATGATTAAATTAAAAAGTTGTGGTGGCTTAGATTTTGGACAAGCTACTTTACCTGAAATATTAGTTTCCTCATTTGTCAAATTGGGGGTTACTATACCTCCTTCCCTGGGAATAAAATTAGATGATATAGATGAAATCTCTTTAAAGGTATTTTATTAAAGTACTACATGTATGTAGTTTGAAAAGTCAAAATATTACATGTAACAAAATGCCCTGCCCTTTCTACTCCAAGTTTCCCCACATGCAGTGATTAAGAGGAAACAATGACTCTGAATTCTGTCTGCTGTTTCATCTAAATTTATACTTCTCCATATTTATGATTAATATACATATATTGCTGACTTTTTGATTTATCAGTTGTACACATTTTTTTTTTACCTTGTTGTGATATATAAAGCCTTTGCTTTCTTATACCACCCTCTCCTATTCCCCCCAACATATTTGTAGTGAAGTTTTGGTTAAATCTTCAGTATTTACTTTTTTATGGGTATATAAATATTATGACATTGGAGCATTTAGCTTAGTATTTCCTTTCTTTTTTTCCCTTCCTGGAGGATTTTCCAGAGATCTTTCTGTTACTTCTATTTTTATTCCATTGTGCTCAAGAAACATTTTGTATGACCCTCATTTATTTATTGAGACTTGTTTTATGACAAAATACGTCTTGGAAAATGTTTTGTTTATATTTGAAAAGAAAGTGCATTCTGCTGTTGTTGAGTAGTGTGTTCTTCAAGTGTCAGTTAGGTCAGGTTGGTTGACAGTGTTCAAGTTTCCATGTCTGTTGATTTTTTGCTTACTTGTTCTGTCAGTAACAGAGAGGGATAGTGAAATATCTGAATACAATCATGGATTAAAGCAGTTTTTTCTTATATTTGTATCATATTTAGCTTCATGTGTTTTGAAGCTGTCTTACTAGGTACATAAATATTTAGCATTTTTACATCTTTATAAATTGACCCCTTCATCATTATGAAATGATCTTTTTAATTGCAGATAATGTTATTTGTTGTGAAATTTACCTTGAGATTAATTTAGCCATGCTAGTTTTCTTTTGGTTAATGTTCACCTGGCATAGTTTTTTTCTTTTTGTTTTCTTTCCAACTTTTGTTTTTAGACTTAGGGGGCACATGGGCACATTTGTTACATGGGTAAATTATGTGTCATGGGGGTTTGGCGTACAGATTAGTCACCCAGGTGATAAGCATAGTACCCAATAAATAGTTTTTTGATCCTCACCCTCCTTCCATCCTCCACCCCTAAGTAGGCCTGCGTATCTATATTTGCCTTGTATCCATGTGTACTTAATGTTTAGCTTCCACTTATAAGTGAGAACATGTGGTATTTCGTTTTCTGTTCCTGTATGTGTTTGCTAAGGATGACTTCCAGCTCCATCCATGTTCCTGCAGAGGACATGATCTTGTTCTTTTTTATGGCTGCATAGTATTCTGTGGTGTTGTCTGTACCACATTTTCTTTATCCAGCCTATCATTCTTGGGCATTTAGGTTGATTCCATGTCTTTGCTATTATGAATAGTGCTGCAATGAACATATATGTGCATGTGTCTTTATAATAGAATGATTTACACTCCTTTGGGTATTTATATTCCTTTAGGTATACAAACTCAGTAATAGATTGCTGGGTCAAATTGTAGTTCTTTGAGAAATCTCCAAACTGCTTTCTTCAGTGGCGGTACTAATTTACTTTCCCACCAGCAGTGTATAAGCATTCTCTTTTCTCTGCACCCTCACCAGCATCTGCTGTTTTTTGACTTTTTAATAATGTTCTGACTGGTGTGAGATGATATCTCATTGTTGCTTTGATTTGCATTTCTCTAATGATTATTGACTTTGAGCATTTTTTCATGTTTGTTGGCCACATATTTGTCTTTTGAGAAGTGTCTGTTCATGTCCTTTGCCCATTTTTTAATGGGGTTATGTGGTTGTTGTTAATTTCAGTTCTTATTGTGTGGGGAAAACTCTGTGTTTTTCCTCTACTCTCACACCACAGCAGTCATTTATGCAAAGAAAACTCCTGTGACCAAATGTGTGTGGGGGGGTCTCTCCCCACCACCAAGCAGTGGACACCAGCCAGGTATCCTCCAGTTCAATTCTGACACTATCTACCTGGAGGTGTAGTGCCAGATCCCACAGGTTGAGGGCTCCTTCCCCAAGACTGCTCCCTCCTTTCCCCACCAGTTGCAAGCCCAGGTTTCCGGAACTTCTGACACACACATCAAGTTGAGATTCCCACAACCCCCTCTTTGGGTTCGATTAATTTGTTGGGGCTGTTCACAGAACTCAGAGAAACACGTTTACTAAGAAGGATATTTTAAAGGATACAGATAAATAGCCAGATAAAGAGGTACATAGGGTGAGGTCTGGAAAGGTCCCAAGCACTGGAGCTTCTGACCCTGTGGAGATGGGGTGCACGACCCTCCCTGTACATGGAAGAGTTCTTCTTCACCTTCCTCTTGCCCTATACATGTTCAGCTATCTGGAAGCTTACTGAACCCTCTCTTCTTGGGTTTTTATGGAAGCTTCATGACATTATCATTTCTTCCCACAGGGTATAGGGTGGGACCCTCTCATGGGAGGGTATTAAGACCCACAATCAGAAAAGGTAGGGGAACATGAGACAGGAACTGTGGATTGTGGATGTTGGACCTTTGTTGGGTGCATAGTTGGCAAATATTTTCTCCCATTCTGTAGGTTGTCTGTTGATAATTTCTTTTGATGTGCAGTCTGTTGATAATTTCTTTTGACGTGCAGAAGCTCTATACTTAGGTTCCACTTGTTAGTTTTTGTTGCAATTGCTTTTACAGTCTGCATGAAATCTAGGTTTTCTTCTGGGTTTTCATAGTTTTAGGTTTTACATTTAAGTCTTTAATCCATCTTGAGTTGATTTTCGTATGTGGTAAAAGGAAGGAGTCCAGTTTCAATCTTCTAGCCAATTATTCCAGTACTGTTTGTTAAATTGGGAGTCCTTTTTCCATTAATGTTTTTGTTGACTTGTTTTTTTTTTTTTTCTGAGTCAGAGTCTCGCTCTGTCGCCCAGCCTGGAGTGCAGCAGCGCAAACTTGGCTCACTGCAACCTCTGCCCCCTAGGTTCAAGAGATTCTCCTGCCTCAGCCTCCCACGTAGCTGGGATTACAGGCGCCTGCCACCGTGCCTGGCTAATTTTTTTGTATTTTTGTGGAGATGGGGTTTCACCATCCTGGCCAGGCTGGTCTCAAACTCCTGACCTCAGGTGATCCACCCACCTCGGCCTCCCAAAGTGCTAGGATTACAAGGGTGAGCCACCGTGCCCTACCTGTTGACTTTGTTGATGGTTATAGTTGTATGGCTTTATTTTGGGTTCTCTAACCTGTTCCGTTGGTCTGTTTTTTACCAGTACTATGCTGTTCTGGTTACTATAGTCTCAAGGTGGGTAATGTGATGCCTCCAACTTTGTTCTTTTTGCTTAGGATTGCTTTGGTTATTCTGGCTCTTTTTTGGTTCCATATGAATTTTAGTATTGTTTTCTTCTAATTCTATGAAAAATGTCTTTGTAGTTTGATGGGAATAGCATGAAATGTGTAAATTGCCTCGGGCCGTATGGCCATTTTAACAATATTGATTCTTCCTATCCGTGAGCATGGAATGTTTTCCACTTGTTCGTGTCATCTCTGATTTTTTTCAGCAGTGTTTTATAATTCTTGTTGTAGAGATCTTTCACCTCCCTGGTTAGCTGTATTCCTAGGTGTTTTATTTTTATTTTTTTGTGACTACTATAGAAATGGGATTGCAGTCTTGATTTGGCTCTCAGCTTGGACATTGTTGATGTATAGAAATGCTGCTGATATTTGTCTGTTGATTTTGTATCCTGGAACGTTGCCGAAGTTGTTTATCAGATCTAGGAGCTTTTGGATAGAGATTGTATTTTCAAGGTATAAAATCATATCATGGCTGGGTGCAGTTGCTCACGCCTGAAATCCCAACACTTTGGGAGGCCGAGACAGGCGAATCACGAGGTCAGGAGATTGAGGCCATCCTGGCTAACATGGTGAAACCCCGTCTCTACTAAAAATACAAAAAAAATTTAGCCAGGCATAGTGGTGGGTGCCTGTAATCCCTGCTACACAGGAGGCTGAGGCAGTGGGATCAGTTGAACCCAGGAGGCTGAGGTTGCAGTGAGCCGAGATTGTGCCACTGCACTCCAGCCTGGGCGACAGGGAGACTCTGTCTAAAAAAAATAAAAATAAAGATTAAAAAAACCATATATCATTTGCAGAAAGCGATAGTTTGACTTCTCTCTTCATATTTGGATGCCTTTTATTTTTTTTCTCTTGCCTGATTGGTCTGGCTAGGATCTCCAGTACTGTGTTGAATAAGAGTGCTGAGAGTGGGCATCCTTGTCTTAATTCTGATTCTCAAGGGAAATACTTCTAGTTTTTGCCTGTTTAGTATGATGTTTGCTGTGGGTTTGTCATAGATGGCTATTATTTTGAGGTATGTTCCTTCAGTGCTTAGTTTGTTGAAGGTTTTTAACACGAAGCGATGTTGACTTTTATCAAAAGCCTTTTGAGACTGTTAAGATGCATTTATTGAGATGTTCACGTGGTTTTTCTTTTTAGTTCTGTTAATGTGATAAATCACACTTACTGATTTTTGTATGTTGAAACAACCTTGCATCCCAGGAATAAAGCCTGCTTGATCATAGTGGATTAGCTTTATGATATGCAGCTGGATTTGGTTTGCTAGTATCTCATTGAGGATTTTTGCATCTGTGTTCATCAGGGATATTGGTGTGAACTTTCATTTTTGTGTGTGTCTCGGCCAGGTTTTGGTATCAGAATGATGCTGACCTCATAGAATCTGTTAGGGAAGAGTCCCTCTTCCTCAGTTTTTTGCAATAGTTTCAGTATGATTGGTACCAGCTATCCCTTATTTGTCTGGTAGAATTCAGCTGTGAGTCTTCTGGTTCAGGGCTTTTGCTGGATTGGTAGGCTTTTTATTACAGATTCAATTTCGGAACTTGATATTGGTCTGCTTAGGATTTCAATTTCTTCCTGGTTCAATCTTGGGAGGTTTTATGTTTATAGTAATTTATCCATTTCTTCTAGATTTTCTAGAAGAAATGTGCATAGAAGTGTTCATAATAGTCTCTGATAATTTTTTTTTAAATTTCTGTGAGGTCAGTCGTAATATCCTCTTGTCATTTATGATTGTGTTTATTTGGATATTCTCTCTTGCTGAGGTCCCATTTCTGCCACTTCTCCATACAGCTCTTCCTGTCAGCTCAAATGTCTGTGGGGGTCCTGGGGTCTCCTGCAGCTAGGATTCTAGGTCCATAGTGAGAGTGGGCTACTTCTCACCAATTTAACTCACCCCTTCCCCAGGAACGACTGTGGGTCAGGAACAAGTCCTGGTGCTCAGCAGCCCCATGCAGGGTTCCCAGCTTCCTTCTCCTCTAGCCCAGAGTCTGTGTCCTCCCTCTTTCCACTCTCGGTGACTTTCTTCTGCAGATCTGCTTGGAGTGTGCTGGTCTTCTTGATGGTCTAGTCTCGGTGGGAAATATTCTTCCTGGCTATGTCTAGTTGCCCATCTTGGCTCTTCTCCCATTTATTTTTTCCGTAGTTTTTTTTCAATTCTTTTAACCTGTGGTGTTTTTATATTTAAAATGCTTTTCTTGTAGGAAGTAGGTAGTTGAGTGTTGCTTTGACGTGTACTACAAGTCTTTACCTTTTAGTTAAGGCATTAAGATGATTTTATTTAAATGTGGTTATTGGTATAATGAAGTTTAAATCTCTCATTTTGGTTTTAGTTTTCTATTTGTCCCATCTCTTCTTTTTTTCTTCTTTCCCTGCTGTCTTTTCAATTAGTTGAACATTTTTAATGATTCTAATGTATCTCCTTTGTTGACTTATATTAATGATTAGGCTAGGGTGTATCATATATATTTAACTTCTCACTATTTGTCAAGTGATATTCTATTACTTTATATGTGGTATAAACTTTATAATAATATACTTTCATTTCTTCCTTCCTGATCTTTATGCTACTGTTGTCATACGTTTTACTTTTGCATAATTATCTTTTTTTTTTTTTTTTTTTGGCCTTTCTTGAGACAAGGTCTTGCTCTCTTGCTGAGGCTGGAGTGCAGTGGTGTGATCATGGCTCACTGCAGCCTTGACCTCCTAGGCTGAAGCAATCATCTCATCTTAGCCTTCGAATAACTGGGACTCAGGCATGTGGCACCACACCTGGCTATTTTTTTTTATTTTTTGTAGAGACAGGGTCTCAGTATATTTCCCAGGCTGGTCTTGAACTGCTGGGCTCAACTTGTCCTCCTTCCTTGACCCCACAATGTCCTGGGATTACAGTCGTGAGTCATCACCCCTGGACTATAGTCAATTATCTTTTAAAGAGATTTAATTAAGAAGATATCATATGTACTTGTCTATTTAATAACCGTTTCTGCTGCTCTTGACAATATAGATCTAGATTTCTCTCTGGTATCATTTCCTTTTTGTCTGAAGAATTTCTTTTAACATTTCTTTTGGTAGGGGACTATTGGTGATAAATTCTTTCTTTTTTTCTAACTTTGAAAAAGGATTTCATCTTTGTTTTGAAGATATTTTCACTGGGTATAGAATTATAAATTGGCTTTTCTTCTTTAGTATTTTAAAGATACTGCTCCACTGTTTTGTCACTTGAATTGTTTGTGATGAGAAATTTGTTGGCTTTATTTTTGTTCCTCCATATTTAACATATCCTTTTTTTCTCTGGGTGCTTTTAAAATTTTCTCTTTATGGCTGGTTTTGAGTAATATGATTATGATGTGCCTGGTGTAATTTTCTCTTTCCTATGCTTGGAGTTCATTGAGATTTTTTGGACCTGTGGGCTTATACATTTCATTAAATAGAAAACCTTTTTTCTATTTTTTAAACACCTCCCTTCCCTCTCCCCATCACTTGAAGGAGATAACTGATAGTTATCCCACAGCTAACTGATGCTCTTATTTTTTTCTTGTTTCTCTGTGTTTCATTTTGGATAGTTGTTATAGCTTCATGTTCACTAATCATCTGCAATTTCTAATCTTCTGCTAATCCCATCCAGTGTATTTTCAATCTCACATGCTACAGTTTCCATCTCTAGAAGGCCAGTTGGGTCTTTTATATTGTCCTTGTCTCCCGTCTAGCTTTTTGCACACAGAATATAGTTATTCCGTATGTTTTAATGTTTGTATCTACCAATTATCTGTGCCAGTTCTGGGTTAGTTTTGATTGATTTTCCCCCTTCATTTTTGGTCATATTTTTATTACTGTATTTTGTCTCGTTGCATTGGATATTTTTGTATTCCTTAAAAACTTCCCATGCTTTATTCTGGGATACAGTTAAGTTACTTGGAAACAGTTTTATCTTTTGTGGTCTTGAATTTATTATTTGTTAGGCAGCCCTACAATTCACAGTCTAGGACTAATTATTCCATGCTTTTGAGGCAAGATGTCTCCTGTACTCAACAGTGTCCCATGAATTGAGAGTTTCAACCTTGCCTTGTGGGAACAGGCACATTCCCTGGCCTTGTGTGAGCACCAGGTATAGTTACCTCTAACCCTTTCAAATGGGTCTTAGCCTCAGGCTCTTTCCTCACACAGATGCCCTTACCCAGTAGTCAGCTAAATACTCCAAGGGAGCCCCTCTGTAGGTCTCCTGTGTTCTGTCTCTTCCAGTACTCTGTCCTGCAAATTCTAGCTGCTTTGTTCTCTGTGGACTCTCAGCTCTGCCTCTTCAACCAATTTTTGTGTGTGTGTGTGTGTGTGTGTCTCTAAGGGAATCACTGTCCTTATCTAGTGTATTGAAAACCGTTTGATACATTTTGGCAGTCTATTGGTTGTTTAAGACAGGAAGATAAACTTAGTCTCTCTCCATCTTAGCTAGAAGTGGAAGTCCTCCAGATCATCTTTATTAAAGTTAGTAGGAAAGCTAAAAGATATGTTGTTTAGTTCTGAAAAATAGAAAATCTCAAGGGAACCAAAGTTTGGTTGCTTTTTAAGGGACTTTCCGCTGTCCTGTCAGTTTACATTGGCCTTTAGTGATATATGTGCCATTCATTTCTGCTGTACAAGTCAGTAGTATTATATTTGAGCTTTTAAAGTGATGGAGCACCCCAGGATAGAAAGGCTCAGTGTTGGATCATAGGAAGAGAACGGTGGGTACAATTTTTTGGCTGCAAGTGCCAAAGTAGTAAGTTCTGCTATGACCCAGTAACTATTATAAACCACTTAGGCTCTGAAATAGGGAATTAAATGATGCCAGTGCTTTGGTGTACTCCAAGGAATCAGTGTAGCTTAATGAGTGAGAGCTTGAGCTCTGGAGGCAAATAGCCTCTTCCTGGCTCTGCCACTTTACCTCAGGGCAAATCACCAGTATAAAGTCCCAGATCAGCGCAGTAGTATGGGAATAGGAGCAAGGGTGAAATCTAAATTACATTGGGATAAAAGAATCCATGGGTTCTTGATGGGAATCATATGTAAGGAAAGAGGAAGAAATAAATGTGACTATAAGGTTTTCAGTCACTGAACAGAATAAGAAAATTGGTTGCCTGTGCTTGTGGGTGTGGGGAGGGTGGTTTAGAGTCGGGGTGGAGGGTTGTTGATGAACTGGGTTTTGGACGCAGCTTGAGATAATTTGGGAAGTGCATATGCTGTGTAGGGTACTCAGAATTTGGAACTCTGTGAAACATCTAAAATCAATTTTGAAAAATTGCCACGTTAAGATGAGGTCCTTGCACATAGCTAGTATTCATTAAATGTTTGAAAAACAAAATAATAGAGTTGAAGCTTACTGTGCTCAGGGCAATATTTCTAAAACTTGAGCATATACCTAGAGGGGCTGTTAAAACTCACATTGCTGGGCCACACTCTACAGAGTTTCTGATTTAGGAGGCATGAGGTGGGGCTGGAACCATTTGTGTGTCTTAAAAGTTCCCAGGTGCTGCAGTGGTCTGTGGATGACACTTTGAGAACCAGTGGCTTATGGAAGTAAATAGAACACAAAGGAATGCTCAGATCCTTGGAGGAGGAAGCAGAAAAGGAGATAAATGAAGTCACAGAGGTCACAACCATCAGTCAGAGTTAGATGACACTAGTGACATAGATTATAGAAAGGGGATATTTTAGGATTTCAACTTTGGGTAACAAATGGCATCAAGTGAGGTAGGGAGATTAAAATGAATGAGAAATGATTATTGGATTTAATGAATACTGTTATTTGTGATCTTGGAGAGCAGTGTTTATCTTTTTGGGGTCACGGAACTTTGAAAACTGATGAAAGCTGTGGATCCCTTCAGAAAAATGTGCAAGTGCTCATAGTTTTGCATATATTTCTAAGGAGGTTCATGAATTTTATTGAGGCACTTGCATCTGAAGTAATTGAGGCACTTACATCTGCTTTAGTATGGATGGTCTCATTAAGAGTGCTAAGTGTGGAAGCCAGATATGAAGAGAGGGAAAGCGTGGGAAGAAGGAAGTAATTGTGGATATGAACAGTCCTTCGGGATTGCAAAGCCTTTTGGGAGTGGACTGATAATTGTCCAGTTTCCTTACTTGGAGGTCTAAGCCTGTGACAGTCTTCACATCTCGCTGAGTTTCTAGGGATATTGTGAAAAAAAATGTACTCATTTATGAAAACTGAAATGACCCATGGCTTTCCTGACTTCCTGGTCACTTGTTTCTTTGCTGCTCTTCAGCTCTGGTGTGGTCAGAGTTACTGTGTTTGAAACGATTCAGTCTTTTAGTCTTTCTGTCCATGTGTTAAGCAAGTTCCCCCCCTTTCTTCCTCTCTTTTCAGGAATAACGCAAATTATCTTTTTCTAGAAGAACTATTCTATAACTTGCCAATTCTAGTTGAAACATTTTACCATTTCTTATATCCTTAGTCTCATGCTCTGGATTTGGCATCAATTTTTTTTTTTTCATTGAATTCCAAGACTCTTTTTGTTGATTGTGTAACCTTGGACAAGTGACATAAATGTCTCGGAGTCTCAGTTTGCACTTGTTCTTGGTGGGGATGGTGATAACCTGCTTTACAGTAGGTTTGTAAGGATCAAAATAAATTAGTGAGGCACTTACTAAACTTTCAACATGTATACATGTAAGTTGTTTCTTATTAGGTACAGTGTAATAAAATATATTGGTAAGCAATGCTAGGGTCATCTAGATTTGTTTTTTACTCAAGCAGAACATTTGGCTGTAGTATCTTGAAACTAGAAGCTGGTATGGAATAATTGTTGCACAGATTTAAAATGATGGATGGAATGAAAATAGAGTTGCCAGCTACTTTTTAGCTAAGAAATATGGTAGAACTCTACCCTTAGTTGTTTTCAAGGACACATGATCTACTCTAGGAAACTTGTCAGTACTTTTGTATGCTAGTTGCATACGGACCTAGGCCGAAATTATGAGGAAAAGCAGCAGGACCCTGGTAAATATTCCTGGTGGGATAATTTATGCATATACCTTTGGAGAAAAACTCCAATATGCTGTGTGTGTGACATATAGGGTGTTATGCTCTATGATTTGTTTGACTATATTTAATCCAAAAATCGTGTACACAAATCAAATAGAGGGACTGGACCAGATCAATGAGATCAATAACAAAGGTAAATTTGGATTTTTTTTTCTTGGAAAGAATTTATAATATGACTATGGACAGACAATTAGTCATAAAATTTTAAAAAATATTTGTCTTTATTCTTTAGTGGTGTCCATTCAGATCTGTAAATTTTCAGTACAAAAATATGATTTTAAAAATTGCTCATTTAGGCTGGGCATGATGGCTCACGCCTGTAATGCCAGCACTTTGGGAGACCAAGGTGGGCAGATCACCTGAGGTCAGGAGTTCGAGACCAGCCAGGCCAACATGGGGAAACCCCATCTCTACTAAAAATACAAAGATTAGCTGGGCGTGGTGGCGGGCGCCTGTAACCCCAGCTCCTCGGGAGGCTGAGGCAGGAGAATCGCTTGAACCTGGGAGGTGGAGGTTACAGTGAGCTGAGATTGTGCCACTGCACTTCAGCCTTAGTGACAGAACAAGACTCGGTCTCAAAAAAAAAAAAAAAAAAAAATTCTCATTTAGGTAGATTCTGAACCATTTTATGTAAATGAGATTTTTAAAAAATAATGCTGTATTTCTGCCGTCACTCTAATTAGCAATCCTGGAAGCAAAATATTTGACTTAAGATAATGAGCACTTGAATTGACTTATACTTAGGGAAAAAATGGAACTACATAGTCATAGCAATTAAGCTTGGGATGAGTATGTATACATCACCTTTTCTTCCACACTTAAGACTTCTAAAAAACCTTGCTTGGCTTTTCAGGACCGCCCCCCCCTTCCCCACCCACCGACGGACAAAATGTACCTTGTGTTTACATTGCTTGTATTTTACAATTGTAAATTTCCATAGGGATAGACGTGAATTCTGGTAAAATTTCTCCCCAAACCTTGCTTCATTTATTTTCCAAACTTTAAGATGACTGGCCCCCATTAATGTGTCTGTAAAGTTTGAACCTTAGTCAAAAGTACAAAAATGGTTAAAGGGCTTTAGGAACCAAATTCCTGCCATAGATTTTATCACCAACATCTTTCCTCTGGGTCATTACCCATTTGTTGGCTTCAGTGGAAGTATTGGTGAAGAATGAAAGAGCTAAGTCCTTGGGGTATAGAAGTGGAATAGTGAGTAAGCTGAGGTGTGGTATTCTCGGCAGCCCCCATTTCACCTTCTGAATTTGCTTAAATGCAAGACTTTGCTTTTGTGCTGGTTTTAACCAATGTGATGCAGCATAGCCTAACACAACACAGTGGTTTGTAAATCAGGCTCCAGTCTAGTTCTGTGACATTAATGTGCAACAGCAGAACGTGTTTCAACATTATCAGTGCAGTTTCTCTCCACGGTAGTGATGGTTTCCTGCAGATGCACTTAGTCTGACTTCATCAAAATGGAAATGTTAACATTGGAATTACATAGATGGCTCCAAATCCAGAAATTCTGTCCACTATTGTTATGTAAATGAACAGTGTCAAGAATGGATTTTCACTTAATTTTTTTTAGAGCCTAAAGTATTAATAGTTAGCCTATTCTCTGTTGGTTGTGGTAGTATTCCATTTTTGTTGCTTTACTGAATGTCAGTTTGAATAATATGGATTCATATTATGTATAGAAATGGTAATGATTTCACATAAATTGTCAAATATGTAAATATTTGAATATACAAGAATTTGATGTAGACATTATTGGAACTTACTATAAAAGACCTTACACTTGTGATCCTTGCTTCATATGGACAAGCATTTTCTGGAGCTGTTTCCTGGTTGTATCTGTATTTTGAAAGTCTTTCCATTAACTTTCATCTTCTAGATCCAGAATTAAATTAAGACTAAATAGAGGCTAGTTCCTCAGGCTTACAATTTAAACTGCTTTCTTCTTGAGAACACTTATCACCTAACCTGGGCCCATGAAACTTGAGAAGGCGAAATCTGTATGGAAATAAGTTGTATTTGTTCAAAAGATTTTCTTGAATATCTGCTTTGTTTACTGCCTTACATTAAGCACTTTAGGGAGAAGTAAATATATACTACTTGCTCTCAAAATCCTTAAAGTCTAATTGGGGAGGGTAGGCATAAGCATTGAAATAGCAACACAGTATTTCAAGCAAGACCACTGAAATGTGTTCTGAAATCTTCAAGATACCGCAGTGTAGCATCTATCTGTCTTAGCTATAAAATGGGGATAATAATAGCCCTACTTATTTTTCTGAGGATTAATTGAGATCCTGTGTTAAATAAAATAGTAAAACCACACTGAGCTGGTCAGCTTTAGGCACACTGACCAGCCAACTCACTCATGCCTGCAAAGCTGTCCTGCAACACAGGTAATTCAGATTCATACTTAGCAAAATCATTTGTTATATGCAGTGAACCTTGAAACCTCAAATGTCAGATCCTTGAATGCCAAATGTTTAGTGTGACAAACATTTCAAGTCTATGTGGGCAGCAAACATTCATATACATATACACCCTTTACTTTGGACAGAAGGCAATGGGGAGTACCATCAGTGATGTTTGCCTGAGCCTGGCAACTTAATTCCTTTGTGGCACTGCTCACTTTCCATGAATTACATCCTCTTAGCACGTACACATTCTGCTGATGTTCAAACAACTACCTTAGAATCCTGTAGCTACCTTCGCATTTGTGTGCCTTCCGTTTATAAATAAAGGGAATAAAGGGAAGTTTAGAAAATGTTGCTGTATTTACATGTTCATTCATTCTAGGTATAGAAACAGAAACTTCTCTCATCACAGTTTTTACTCATCTCCAAGTTAAATGACATTCATCTGTTCTGAGAGTTCTTCCCCACTCCTTTCCCTACCCCTTGGGAAAAAAAATTGACTGGTTTTGGTGGCTCACACCTGTAACCCCAGCACTTTGGGAAGCCGAGGCAAGAGGGTCACTTGAATCCAGGCATTTGAGACCAACCTGGGCAACATAATGAGACCCCACCTTTACCAAAAATTAAAAAAAAAAATCAGCTGGGTGTGGTGGGATGTACCTATAGTCAGGAGGCTGAGGTGAGGGTGTTGCTTGAGCCTGGGATATTGAGGCTGCAGTGTTCTGTGATTGCAGTACTACATTCAGCCTGGGTGATAGAGCGAGACCCTGTTTCAAAAAATAGTAAATAATCAGTGCTCTTAGGATCTCTGATTCCAGGACTTGGCTCTTGGATGGCATTTCTGGACCTGCCCTGGGCCACCAGACAGGAGCCCACTCCCTTGAAAAGTGAGTCACTGCCAGGTGGTAGTTGGGCAGTACTCCCTGTGGGCCTGAGGTATCAGTGGACACGAGGTGAGGCTCCTCTGCCTTTGGAAAGGGGAGGGAAGAGTAGGAAGGACTGTGTCTTGTGGTTTGGTTGCCAGCTCAGCCACAATGCAATAGAACACCAGGTGGACATCTAAGGTTTTTGACTGTAGTCTCTGGCTCCAGGATAGCACCTCTGGCCCCTCCAGGATCCTGGGGGAGCTTGCTGCCCTGAAGGGAAGGACATAGGTCTGCCTGGCTTTGCTACCTGCTGATTGTAGAGCCCTAGGACACTGAGCGAACAGAGGTGACAGCCAGGGTGTGGTTACAGTGGGCCTTGGGTGAAACCCAGTGCTATGCTGGCTTCAGGTTTGACCCAGCGAAGTCCTAGAGCTGGTGGCCATAGGAGTACTTGTGTCAGTCCATCCCCATCTCTAAGTGGCTCAGAGCAGAGAGAGAAAGAGATTCTATTTGTTTGGGAGAAAGTACAGGAAGAAAACAAGAGTCTTTTTCTAGTAATCCAGAGAACTCTTGGATTTTGTCCAAGACCGTCAAGGTGGTACCTCTTAAGAGTCTGCAAGAAACACAGTCCTGCTGGGCTTGAGGTCCCCCCTAAAGCAGATACAGCTTAGATCACAACACCTAAGTCCTTTAGAATATCTGGAAGGCCTTTCCAAGAAGGATGGGTACAAACAAGCCCAGACTGCAAAGACTACAATAAATACCTAACTCTTCAATGCCCAGACACAGAGGGGTGTCTGCAAGTATCAGGATGATTGAGGAAAACATGATCTTACCAAATCAACTAAATAAGGCACCCGGGACAAATCCTGAAGAAATAGAGATATCAGACCTTTCAGACAGAGAATTCAAAACATCTGTTTTGAGGAAACTCAAAGAAATTCAAGATAACACAGAAGGAATTCAGAATTATATCAGATAAATTTGAAAGATTGAAATAACAAGAATTAGGCAGAAATTCTGAAGTTGAAAAATGAAATTGGTGTACTGAAGAATGCATCAGTCTTTTAACGGCAGAATTGACCAAACAGAAGAAAGAATTAGTGAGCTTGAAGACATGCTGTTTGAAAATATGCAGTCAGGCAAAAGAAAAAGTAACAATGAAGCATGCCTACAGGATCTAGAGAATAGCTATAAGAGGACAAATCTAAGAGTTACTGGGCTTAAAGGGGAGGTAGAGATAGAGATAGGCATAGAAAGTTTATTCAAATGGCAGGAAACCTTACAAACCTAGAGAAAACTATCAATATCCAAGTACATGTGAGAGGTGAAGCCGGCTGGGCTTCTGGATCTGGTGGGGACTTGGAGAACTTTTCTGTCTAAAGGATTGTGAACACACCAATCAGCGCTCTGTGTCTAGCTAAAGGTTTGTAAATGCAGCAATCAGCACTCTGTAAAAACGCACCAATCAGCGCTCTGTGTCTAGCTAAAGGTTTGTAAATGCACCAATCAGAACTCTGTAAAATGGACCAATCAGCAGGATGTGGGCGGGGCCAAATAAGGGAATAAAAGCTGGCCACCTGAGCCAGCAAGGGCAACCCTCTCGGGTCCCCTTCCACGCTGTGGAAGCTTTGTTCTTTTGCTCTTCACAATAAATCTTGCAGCTGCTCACTCTTTGGGTCCGCACTGCCTTTAAGAGCTGTAACACTTACTGTGAATGTCTGCGGCTTCACTCCTGAAGTCAGCGAGACCACGAACCCACTGGGAGGAACAAACAACTCCGGACGCACCACCTTTAAGATCTACATGTAACGCTCACTGCAAAGGTCTGCGGCTTCACTCCTGAAGTCATGCGAGACCACAAACCCACCAGAAGGAAGAAACTCCGAGTACATCTGAACACCTGAAGGAACAAACTCTGGACACACCATCTTTATGAACTGTAACACTCGCTGCGAGGGTCCGCAGCTTCATTCTTTAAGTCAGCGAGACCAAGAACCCACTGGAAGGAACCAATTCCGGACACATGTAGCCTATGGAACACCAAGTAGATTTAACCCAAAGAAGACTACTTAAAGGCATTTAATAATGAAGCTCCAAAGGTCAAGAAATGGAAAAATTCCTTGAAACAAATGATAATGGAAACACAACATACCCAAACCTGTGGGATATAGCGAAAGCAGTACTAGGAGGGAAGTTCATAGCTATTAGTGCCTACATAGAAAAGAATAAAAACTTCAGATAAATAACAATGCATCTTAACTAAAAAAGCAAGAGCAAACCAAACCCAAAATTAGTAGAAGAAAAAGTAAAGATACGAGCAGAAATACATGAATTTGAGATGAGAAATAATACAAGAAATCAATGAAACAAACAGTTGGCTGTTTAAAAGTTAAACAAAAGAGACAAACCTTTAGCCAGACTAAGAAAAAAAAAAAGATCCAAATAAATAAAATTCGTTTCTAGTTCTTCAGCTTCCATCCTGCTTCACCAGCAACAGTAATACCTTCTCTTTATGATAGTTTCCAGTCTGCTTCTGAATGTAGAAGCCTTCTTTCCTCCTTTTCTTTCTTTGACTTTCTGCTGTTTTTCCTCTCAATCTAGAATTTAAAGATGTTCTATTGATCTAGGTGTCAAGCCCTCTTAAGATCTCTCTATTGGATATAGTACTCTCTCATACAGCAACAGAGTAAGTAAATAATGCAAGGTACATTATAGATAAATAGCTGTGCGTTTTCCTGTACTATTCCCAACATCTCAATTATGAGTCTGTTATTTTACAAATCCTACTTTTCTGGAAGAATTGTCAACTGTTTTTGGCTTGGGCTAGTGTTCCATATATTATAATCCTTTCCATATTTTGTTCTGTTGTAATTCTATTTCTCCTTCTGTTTCATTCTTTTTTCCCCCCTCAGGTTTTCCTTGTCCTCCCTTCTCCTAACTCCTGCAAAATAAAACAAATCTTTGAGTGCAAATCTTTCCTCAAGACTTCTGGACTATTGCTGTCTTTTCAAAGATCAGGTAATAAAGTAAAAGAGATATGAACTTTGATGTCCTGCTCTGATGCCTAGCTGTTACAGGTGCATTTACCTAGGTTCTGTATCACATGACTACCCTACCATGCTACAGGACCAGAAGGGATGCTTGATTCATAAGGTAGCCAGTCTATAACTTCTGACCTGTGTGGCTCTTGGGGAAAATGTGAACTTCTGAGAGAGGCAGAGGGAGATTAAACTGGTGATGTGCAGGTGTATTGGGCTGGGCCATCTTTGGTTGTGCAGGTTGAAGAAGAAGAAGACCTTGGCAAAGAGAACAAAGCAGAACCACTCATAGTGTCAGTGACTGCACAGCCCCTTAGAGACAGCCAGCCATCTTTGATTTCTGACATTGATTCAATCCCTGCCTTTGGATCCCAATGAGACGTATGTATTCTTGTATGCAGTTTATCTTCACTTGAGCCTAGTTAAGTAGACTACTCTCTTATATACCGCAGAGCAAAGCCAAAATACCCATATTCAAAGAACACCAACTGGTCTATCATGCATTCCGGCATCCCTTCTTCCATCATTTCTCAGTAACTTTAGTTTTCTTTTATTACTTTATGTGGTTTTCAGGACTCTATGGCTTAGTGATTAAGGGCTTAAGTTCATATCATTTACTGTGGAACTTAAGCAAGTTGTACATCCTCTCTGAGCCGTAGTTTTCTCATCTGGGGAATGAGGGTAGTAATAGGACTTAGAGCCCTGTGAGGATTTAGTGAGATACTGGGTGGACAGCATACAGTAGCAGGCATGTAGTAAGTGCCCAGTGAATATTAGCTTATTGTGTGTAAATGTAGGATATGAAAATTAGTGTGTTGCTTTTTAAACTATCTGTGGTAAAAGACCAGTTCTTTTCTTCCCTCAACCTATGACAATTCAGTATTTTTGTAAAGTACAATAAAAATAACTTGATTTTTAAAAGCACCAATTGTAAAGACATAAAATATGTCCTGATTTTTATTATTATATTCAGCAAACTTATTCTGTCAAGTTATTATAAAATTTTCTAAATTCTACCCTTAATTTCTCTACTTACTTTGTTTAGACCAGTAACTACTTATTGACCAGTTACTGGTCTATTTTTTTAGACCAGTAACAATTTCCAGACCGGCACTGATCTGTGGACTGTGAGTAGCACTGTCCTGGTGTATACAGACACAGTCTCATGGATGTCAGAATATATATGCGCACACATGTAATTGGGGAAAATACCCCAACCATTTCTATAAGGTTAATAGCGAGTAGCCGGGAGTTCATATATCCATTTCTTGACCCGGACAGTATACAAGGGACATCTGAGACCTCTGGAATTCCTTCCTTATATGATTGTTATTCCACTGCTTCCCAGGTGAGGGTTGTCATTCTTTTTTTTTTTTCCTTTGAGTTGTGCTGTTCTTCCCTTCTTGTCCTTCACTTCATGAGGAAACTATACTCCCTGAAGGCCAGGTAAATATATGTTGTCTTAGACAAATCAGCTGTGCTAAGTAGTTGAGAATAGGATACTGAATACTGCTGCCTTATGGACTGAAGTGAAGCAATCACTGGCAGTGTGGCCAGAAGAATAACTTTTTAAATTTGAGACAGGATCTCTGTAACACGGGCTGGAGTGCAATGGCATGATCATGGCTCACTTCAGCCTCGGCCTCCCTGGGTTCAGGTAACCTTCCCACCTCAGCCTCCTGAGTAGCTGGGACTATAGGCATGTGCTACCATGCCTGGTTAATGTTTATATTTTTTGTAGAGATGGGGTTTTGCCATGTTACCCAGGCTGGTCTTGAACTCCTGGGCTCAAGGAATCCTCCTGCCTTGACCTCCCTAAGTGCTGGGATTGCAGGTATGAGCCACATTTCCTGGCCCAGAAGAATAACTTTAATGATCCTTTACACAACCGCAAACCAGACTGCATGGTTTGTAGACAAAGGGGGAATGAATCATAGAAGAGGTTGGCATTTGCATTTTCCTTCTATGCAAAGACAGTGACAGACCATGATACAGAATTGCAAACAGCAGGTTCTAGAAATAGTAACTGTGATTGATGACTAAAAGTCTATACAAATGCTAGAATGTGACCAGGGTTGGGTATTCTCTTCCAAGTATTTTAGGGAAAACTAAGCATTACAGTACCAGATTTTATTTTCAGAGAAATTAGAATTTTCAGTTAAAAAGCACATACAAAGTGCCAGGCATTGTGCTAAGGTGCCTTATATCTCTCACTTAATTCTCACCACAGGTTGATCCTCATTATTCACTGAGCAGACAACGCTTAGAGAGATTAAGCAACTTGTCTGAGGCCTTGCGGTTCATAAGTGACTGAACCTGATTTTGAACCTAGGTTTGCCAGACTTACAGTTGAATTTTCTGGATTTTCTCATAAGTGGATTTTCTGGATTTACCTTAAAAAAAAAAATCACCATAACTTTGCTGGAACCATTTGAGAAGAAGTTGCCAGCTTGATGCTCTATCACTCCCAAATACTTTAGTGTTTATTTTCTACAAGAACACTTTTCTTTGTAACTAAAACAAAATGTCCAAAACCAGGAAATTTGTATTAATAGATTGTTACCATCTAATCCTCAGGTTTAATAATATCTTTTATAGCACACGTCCCCATAATGCCCCTTTATTTCCTTCTGGAACAGTTCCCTAGTCTTTTCATGATTTTCATGAACTTGGCACTTTTGGAGATGACAAACCAGTTATAAGTTGTATTTTCCTTGATTTGATTTTATCTGTTATTTCCTCATGTGATGCAAGCTATGTACCTTTGCAGGAATATCATGTAAATTATGTTGTTCTCATTGTACTCTGTTGTTACAGGGCATACATTTTCAGTTTGACTGATGACTAATGATGACCTCTCTAACTGCTTCATTAGGGTGATATCTGCTGGGCTTTAGTACTGTAAAGTTACTCTTCTTGTTTTTGTAATTAATAAATGTTTTGTGGGAAAGTATTTTAAAACTAGGTAAGTATCCATCTTTGTGACACTGTTTACTCATTTAATTTGTATCTACTTATACTCATGGTTTCCTATTTTATTCAGTGGATTATGATCTTCTGTACTGTTATTGGTTTTGATGCTCAAATTGTCCTAGATTTGGCCTGTAAGAGCCTCTTCAGGCATTCTATGTCTATTTTGAGTAGTTTCAGTAGTTTCTTGCTTTCTGGCACAAAAAAGATATTCTAAGCTCACCTTGTACTTTCTGCATCCCAGCCCTAGATAATCAGTCATTTCTCCAAGGAGCCTTGGTTCTTTTTAAGGGAAAGAAGTATTTAGAAGCCAGGATCTGGGTAACCAGTGTGCTCATTACCATTGGGGTGTTGCTACTTCCAGATCCTCTCAGTGGATACTTTTACATTTACCTATATTTTCTATGTTTATTTCTATGTTTAAATATATTGAAAATTGTGAATTAATACTGATAACTCCAGTTCCAACTCAATACCTCAGGATTCATTCTAGTTTTCTCACTTTCTTTTATAGTGTTCTCTTACAGCAAGAAACTTGGTTTCCATTATCCTTGATACACATGCTAAATGATTGGTCTTCTCTTGTATGTTGCCAACCTCCCATCTTTGACACTATTTTCTCCCCTTCATGGATGTCCTGTTTTTCCTTTTTAAGTGTTGACTCCACATTCCAGACACTTCCCCTTTTTTGATGTAGTCACCCTTTTCTCTCCATGTGGGCTCTCAAGTAAATTTACTTGATGATTTTATTTTACTAACATAATCCTCTTGTTTTGGTGTTTTTGCTGCCATACGTAAATTGTAACATTAAAGGTTCCCTAAAACAATTGCCCTGCTGGTAGGAGAGCACCAACTAGAATATCTAAATGGGAGTAATTGAACATTAGAACTGAAAAATAACATTTCCTGGGATCATCCTGGGTCAATAATTTGTATTCTGCAAGTGATCACAGGACTAGAATTGGTTTTTTGACAAGAAATTGGGATTTAATGGGCTATCTCTAGAAGTCTCATTAGAGATTTAAAAGAAAAACAAGTTTTACTATTCTGTAGAGGATGTAGAATGAGATACGTTCCTGGGGAGGCAAGAGGGCTAAGAATGGATGGGGGAAAAAAAGCGTTTTTATTGAAATTATTAATTGGGTGAGGCCTAACCATTGATAGGATATTATGCATTTAGTAAGCCAAACAAGATAGAGAGGTGGGTTAGCGAATACTAGATGCAGACCCCTCCTTGGAAGGGTGAAAAACCAGACCACCTGACAGAGGATCAGTAGGAAGCCTGAAGCTGGGTGTTAATATGGGGGTGTGGTATTGGTAATATTTGGTGTGTGCTGCTCCATGGGGAAAATAAGCAGTAAGGATGGCTAGCAGTTACTACGAGAGAGGCTTTAAATCTTTTCAGAGTGAGAACTGGGACAGGGAGTGACCAGGGTTGGCACACTCATTCCCAAGACCACATACTTTCTCATGTTTTCTCATCAGGCCAAGCTGATCAAATTTATTCAAACCCTTCCCCCTTCCCCCTTCCGCCTTCCCGCTTCCCTTTCTCTGTGTTGCTGGGGCTGGTGTTAAACTCCTGGTCTCAATTAAGTGATCCTTTCACCTCAGCCTCCCTGGTTGCTGGGATTACTGGCGCAAGCCACCATGCCCAGTTGACCCTGTGTTTTTGAAACACCCGAGTGTGTCCAGTAATCTGCGAACATTATGAAGTCCTACCCCTAAAATTCTTAAAGATATATTTCAGTGCAGTTAAACTGCAGTCATGTGTCACTTAACAATGAGGATATGTTCTGAGTGAACTTCCTAGAGTGAACTTCCACAAACCTAGTTGGTGTAGCCTACTACACACCTAGGCTATATGGTATAGGCTATTGCTCCTAGTCTACAAACCTGTGCAGCATGTGACTGTACTGAATACTACAGGCATTTGAAACACAGTGTTAAGTGTTTGTGTGTCTAAACATAGAAAAGGTATAGTAAAAGTACAGCATTAAAATTTTATGGTATCACTGTCGCATATGTGGTCCATCATTTACAGGAATGTTATGTGGCACATGACTGTTTATGCTATTTGGAGTATTTTTAAGCAAGAGAAAGGTATATAGGGGAATCAAATACAGATGCTTCTTGATTTAAAATTAGGTTACATCCTGGTAAATCCATTGTAAGTTGAAAATGCCGTAAGTCAAAAAGGTGGTTAATACCCTTAAGCTGCCAAACATTATAGCTTAGGCTACAACCTACCTTATACATGCTTAGAGCACTGACAGCCTATAGTCGGGCAAAAATCATGTAACAGAAAGCCTATTTTATAATAATGTGCTGAATATCTCATATTTTATTAAATAGTGTACCAAAGTGAAAAACAAAATGGCTGGATGAGTACTCAAAGTATGGTTTCTACTGAATGTGTATTGCTTTTGTACCATGGTAAAGTTGAAAAAGTATGTAACTCAAACCATTGAACATCAGGGAA
The DNA here is from genome assembly GCF_000001405.40 of Homo sapiens. Taxonomy (NCBI): domain Eukaryota; kingdom Metazoa; phylum Chordata; class Mammalia; order Primates; family Hominidae; genus Homo; species Homo sapiens. Next base: position 37,969,656 of record NC_000006.12, read on the forward strand.
TGTCTGTATACAATAGTGGTCAGAGTAGTGAGTTACTCAGAAGAACTAAAATATTGTGTGTGAGGGGAGGGGACTTGCTTCAGTAGTTATTGAAATTTGCTTTAATTTTTTTTTCTCTGTTCCCCTGTACTAGATTTGAGTATTTGGGAGATACTTACTCCCTAAAAATCTGAGGGAAACTGCTTCTTTGATGGGAACCTTGCTTAGTAGATTCTTGCTCAATGTTTATTTTTAGGAAACAATCAAATCCCCTTGTGGTTATTAAATTAATTTAGTATCAGGCCGGGCGCCAGTGACCTCAGGAGTTTGAGACCAGCCTGGCCAACATGGTGAAAACCCTGTCTCTACAAAAATCCCAGCTACTTGGGAGGCTGAGACACAAGAATCGCTTGAACCCAGAAGGCAGAGGTTGTAGTGAGCTGAAATGGCACCATTGCACTCCAGTTTGGGTGACAGAGCAAAATAAATAAATAAATAAATGAATAAATGAATAAATATAAAAATAATTTAGTATCATTAAAATCAGAGAATTTAGAAGGCTTGTTAGGATGTAAAGTCATACCCAGAAGAAAAACATGTATAGGTCAGGGATCAAAAATGTGTCAGATTTTTCATAACAAGAAAATGTGAATAGTTGGTAAGTCCGTAAATGGTATATGGCAGATCCTTGAATTATGCTTGCAGTTTTTGAAAGTTTGAAATTAAGTAAAAATTAAAAGTCACAAAAGATTTTGCATGTCAAGATTCTAGCCTTTTTCTTCTGGTGTACTGAGAGGCCAGAGGAGCCCATTCTAGGGACTAAGTATTGACAGAATTTGGTTCTGTGGCAAGAATTACCTGGTGTCCTAGCACTAAGGACCAGTAGGTCAGAGCCCTTGACTTAGATTTCAGGACAAGAAACAGAAAGATTGGAATAGGATTGGAATGGAGTCTCCCCGTGATTTTAAAAAACACTTAGTATGGGGCCAGGCGCGCGGTGGCTCAACGCCTGTAATCCCAGCACTTTGGGAGGCCAAGATGGGTGGATCATGAGGTCAGGAGATCGAGACGGTCCTGGCTAACATGGTGAAACCCCGTCTCTACTAAAAATATAAAAAAAATTAGCCGGCCGTGGTGGCGGGCGCCTGTAGTCCCAGCTACTTGGGAGGCTGAGATAGGAGAATGGCGTGAACCGTGGAATCAGAGCCTGCGGTGAGCTGAGATCGCACCACTGCACTCCAGCCTGGGCTACAGAGCGAGACTCCGTCTCAAAACAAACAAACCAAACAAACAAACAAACAAACAAAACCCACTAAGTATGCATTGGTCTAGGACTACCATTTATGAATATCCTTAGTCTTTCTGTGATGATCCTTGTTGAAAATTTAGATTGATGATGTAGTTTGTGATGTTGATACAAGTGTATTTGTTCACAGAGATTTGAGCATATTCCTTTCAACATCAGGAATAACTTTTAGTTTTTGTTTGATTGTAATTTTTTAGTCTCCATTCTCTGTAATGTGCTTTACGTTGAACAAAGTGCTTTTGTAGTTCTTGTTATTTTGAACCCATAATCTGAGACCTTTTTTTCTAAGCCGTCTCGTGCCCCAGCCCTTACTTACTGAGCCCTCTTATTGTATATACTGAACGCATTTTTAAATTGAAGAGATACTATTCTGTGTATCTTTGCAGGCGAATGAGTCCTAGGTTGGCCAGTGTCTCACTAGTTGAGATTAAATTTTTGCTTATACTTGTTGATTTGACTGCCTTCTGAATAGTATTAGGAACACATTGTAAATTTGTTGTTGATGGCTGGCTGAAGTTTTCCAGCACATTTCTTGAGGTTGCCAAGTTCTTCTACAATGACTGAATCTACTCTTCATTCATTCTAGTCAGCAGTCTCACACTTAATTCCAAGGTTTACTTAAGATTTTTTTCTGAAAAAGCAATGCTTGCTTTCCATATTTGCATATTTTTTCTCTGCCTTAATAGCAGAAACAATGGCTTCATCTTGCATTTGTATCAGATTCTTTCCATTGATATATCTTGTCCTTATTAGCTAGTTGTTTCCCAGCTGGGTGCAGTGGCTTATGCCTGTAATCCCAGCACTTTGGGAGGTCAAAGCGGGAGGATTGCTTGAGCCTAGGAATTCAAGACCAGTCTGGGCAAAATAGTGAGACCCCATCTGTACAAAATGAAAAAAAAAAAAAAAAAAAATTAGCCCAGTATGGTGGTGTGTGCCTGTAGTCCCTCTACTTGAGAGGTTGAAGTGGGAGGATTGCTTGAGCCGTGATCTTGCCACTGCACTCCAGCCTGGGCGATAGAACAAGGCCCTGTCTCAAAAAAAATAAAATAAAATAAAATAAAAATCTTTGCTTTCAAAAAGGTTTTTGGTTGCATAGGAGGGAAAGAAAAAAAATGGAATATCGAAATTAGTTGTGTATGCTGAGTTTTTCTACCACTTCCTTCCTTTGGGTTAAACAGCCTCTCTCCTATTTATTTTAACTTGTTTGCAATTTATTAGGCTTGGTAGGACCCAGCTGTTATACCTCACTCAGCACATTACCCATTTTGCTTTTTTAAAGTGACTGAGGCAGCAGCTGTTCTCCAGCTGCACACAGAAGGCCCACATAAAGCTGGGTTTAGCACATAAGCCCCACTCTAAGAGCATTAATTCACCAACCCAGTCTTTCTATTTTGTCAGCCACTCAAAGTTTATACTTGCCTCTGTGAGGCTTCAGAAATAATGGATAAATCTTCTGTTAATGAAAATACACCTCCAGATATAATATTCACACTAAGTGTGGTGTTAGAATAACAGATATGGCTCCTCAGTAGTTTTTGGACTCTTGTAGGTATATGGAATTGTGAGACTGTTCATTTTGAGGATCTGTAAAGAGTTAGGACTTACCAGGTATGATTTGAAACACTCAAGATTGTCTCTTGGAGTCTCACACAACAGCTATTATTTTATTTGAATGAGATTATTAGCAGATTGATAGTTGGACCAGGTGCTATACTTTATGCCCTCTCTTCCCTTTGTAAGGTTTTCAGGCCTATTAATTTTTTTTTTTTTTTTACACCATTGGGGTAAGATTTTATTTTGGCTGAAGGTACTTAAAATGGGTGGGTGAGTGATAGATAATATTTGTCTTCACTATTGGCTGTAAACTGGGATTAGAGTAGATTTATTTATTTATTAAGCAGTCAACTAGAAACAAGTGCTGTGAAGTCAATAATATATGGCTTTAGTGAAGATTCCACTTAACTGAAAGTAGACCTGAATTATTCATGCAATTTGCCAACATTTATATCCATTAATAAAGTGGTAGTTTATTTTGAAAAAAACTTTGCACTTACTGAGTTTTTGTTGGCATTTCCCTCCCTCGAGTTCATTTGTCAAAGTCATCATGAATATACTGTTAGTATATTCATGGCTTTTGATTGTTTCACTGCTTTTTCTTAGTTTCTGAGTTGCTGATTTGGTAAAACTGTCATGATTTTCTTTGTCAGTTTTCAAATGTTGCAAAGGGGGCAGAACAACTTTGAGTCCCATAGATGATTGATGGTGCTTTGCAAGTAGTTAAATACACCCAAGGTAAAGGAAATTTTATGGGATTAAAAAAATTCTATGCTCCATTCTAGGTTGATAGTATTTGAAGCAAATTTCATTTCATTGGTGGGTGGCCTCAGTACCTAAACTTTAAAAAGCATGGATTCATAAAACTGTTACAACACCACTTATGAAAGTTTCTGAAGAACTAAAGAGTTGTTAAAAAGCTACTGTCTTTCTCTAAACTTGGTTACTGTGGAGTAGCACTGTCTGATGCAACTTTTTGTAATGATAGAAATGTTCTCTATCTGTGCTATCCAACATGGTAGCTACATGTGGTTATTGAACACTTCAGGTGTGGCTAGTGTGACTTAGGAACTGCATTTTCCATTTTATTTAATTGTAGTTAATTTAAATAGCCACATGTGTCTATTGCTTTCTGTATTAGATAGCACAGCTCTGAAGCATTACACTGAGTACTTAAGCTAAGCTAGTGTTTCTGAGAGAAAGTGATCCTTTGTGATTTTCCTGAAGCTGAAGAAGGCCTGTGTATGGCCTGGAGTCAGAAATTGTTGTGACTTTTCTTGATTTTTTCATGAAATAATTTAAGGACTGTCTTTTCTTTCAAATCTGGGAAAATTCTGAAATGTTCTTTCTCATCTACTTAGAAAGCATTTACTATCACCTTTGACGAGCAATACAGTGGCCAGTATATTGTGTTGTAGGTTTGATTAGTTCTCTATCTCAGAGAGACAGCTTTAGTGACCGAGAGTTTATTGCCTATCTGCAGGAAAATAATAAAGTTTTCCTGTACTCAAAATTGCCAGACTTGGAAGTAGAAATAGCAGCTTTTGCCTTTCTACAACAAATAATTATTCTTTTGGCTAATTCCCATACCTGCCACCTTTACCTTCATTATTTTCTCTGAAAAAGAAATCTGGGCTCATTGCAACCTCTGCCTCTCCCCTAGGTTCAAGCGATTCTCATGTCTCAGGCTGCCGAGTAGCTGGGATTGCAGGCGCCTGCCATGACACCTGGCTAATTTTTGTATTTTTTAGTAGAGACGGAGTTTGACCATGTTGGCCCAGCTGGTCTCGAACTTCTGACCTCAAGTGATCTGCCCTCCTCGGCCTCCCCAGACTGCTGGGATTACAGGCGTGAGCTACCGTGCCTGGCCTGAAATCATGCATTATATACTCTCTCTCTCTCTCTCTCTTTTTTTTTTTTTTTTTTTGGAGACAGGGTCTAGCTGTGTTGTTCAGGCTGGAGGGCAGTAGCGTGATCACACCTCACTGCAGCCTCAACTTTCTAGATTCAGGCAATCCTCCCACCTCAGCCTCCTGAGTACCTGGAGCTACAGGCGTGCGCTCCAACACCTGGATAATTTTTGTAGAGATAGGGTCTTGCTGTGCTGCCCAGGCTGGTCTCAAACTCATGGGCTCAAGCGATTGTCCCACCTTGGTCTCCCAAAGTGCTGGAATTATAGGTGTGAGCCACCATGACCAACTATATATACTCTTGTTTGGTCTGGCTACTTTCACTCAGCATATTTTGAGATTCATCTATGTTGTTGTCTATATCAATAGTTCATTCTTTTCTTTTGCTAAGTAGTATTCCATTATGTGGGTAGTACTACAGACTGCCTAATCCATTTATTAGTTGATGGACATTTGGTGGCTTTGAGCTCCTGAACTCATGTAGTCCTCCTACCTCAGCCTCCCAAGTAGGTAGGAATATAGATGTGTGCCACTATGTCTGGCTATCACATAAATGTCTTTATATGGATGTATATTCCTTTGCTTCTGGGTAAATGCCTGCAAATGAAATGGCTGATCATATCATAGGTTGTATGTTTTAACTTTTTAAGAAACTGCCAAACTTTTCCAAAGTGGTTATATTGTTCAACATTCCTACCAGCAGTGTATGGAAGTTTCAGTTCCTCCATATCCTCACCAACACTTAGTATGGTTAGTCTTTTTAATTTTAGACCTTCTAATAGGTGTGTACTGATTCCTCATTATGGTTACAATTTGCATTTCTCTAATGACATTGAGCATCTTTTCATGAGCTTATTGCCATCCATGTATCTTCTTTGTTCAACCGTTGAAATTTTTTTGCCTATTTTTAAATTGGGTTTTTTTCTTTTGTTACTGATACTATTAATATCCTTTATTCTGGATACAAATCTTTTTCATATTTATGTTTGCAAAGATTTTTTCTTGCTCTTTGACTTGTCTTTTTTATAACAGTGAGTTTTGAAGAGAAGTTTTTCATTTCAATGAAGTTCAGTTTATCCATTTGTTCTTTATGCTTTTAAATATTTTTTCTGCATTTTCTTCAGGAAGTTTCATAGTTTCAGGGTTTATATTTATACTGATGATTTATGTAAATTTTTATATATGATATGGAGGTATACATCTGAGTTTATTATTTTCAAGCACCAGTAGTTGAAAAGGCTATCTTTCTTCACACTGCAGTGCCTTTGGGACTTTGTCAAAAGTCAGTTGTCCATATATGTGGGGGTTTTTTTTCTGGAGTTTATATTCTGTTGCATTGATCTGTTTGTCTGCTTTATGCCAATACCTCTTTTGATTACATAAACTTTATAATAATTCTTGAAATCAGGTAGTGTTAATCCTTCAACTTTATTTTCAGAGTTGTTTTGGCTATTCTAGGCCCTTTTTATTTCAATATGAGTTTTAGCATCAGTTTGTCAGTTTCTCCCAAAAATCCTGCTGGATTTGTGGTTGGGATTGCTGTGAATGTGTAGATTAACGGGAAAATTTACATCTTAACAATGTTGAGTCTTTCAATCTATGATAGAAGTGATCTCTCTTTAGGCCTTCTTTAATTTCTCTCAGCAAAATTTCATATTTTTTGTTGTATAGGTCTTTCACATGTTTTGTCAGATTTATCTCTAAGAAGTTAATATTGTTGATGCTACTTTAAAGGGTATTTAACCTTTGAAAATAGTATGTGATGGTTCATATATTGATTTTGTATCTGTAAACTTGGTAAACTTATTAGTTATAGTAACTTTATTATTTATTCATTGGGTTTTCTATAAAGATGTATTAGTCCATTTTCACACTGCTGTAAAGATACTACCAGAGGCCAGGCGTGGTGGCTCATGCCTGTATTCCCAGCACTTTGGGAGGCCAAGGTAGGTGGGTCAGTTGAGGTCAGGAGTTTGAGACCAGACTGACCAACATGGTGAAACCCTGTCTCTACCAAAAAAAGACAAAAATTATCTGGGAATGGTGGCACACACCTATAGTCCCAGCTACTTGGGAGGCTGAGGTGGAAGAATCACTTGAGCCCCGGAAGTAGAGGTTGCAGTGAGCCGAGATTGCGCCACTGCACTCCAGCCTGTGTAACAGAGTGAGACACTGTCTCCAAAAAAAAAAAAAAAAAAAAAAGATACTACCCGAGACTGGGTAATTTATAAACAAAAGAGGTTTAATTGACTCACAGTTCTGCATGAACAGGGAGGCCTCAGGAAACTTACAATAATGGTGGAAGGCAAAGGAGAAGTGAGGCATGTCTTACATGGTGGCAGGTGAGAAAGAGGAAGGGCCACACTTTAACACCATGAGCTCTTGTGAGAGCTCCCTCACTATCATGAGAACAGCATGGGGGAAACCACCCCCATGATCCAGTCACCTTCCACCAGGTCCCTTCCTGGTGGGGACACGTGGGGATTACAATTTTAGATGATATTTGGGTGGGGACACAGAGCCAAACCATATCACCAGACAATCATGATGTTTGTGAATGAAGACAGTTTTACTTCTTTCTCTCCACTTTAGATACCTTTTATGGTCATGTGTCTCTTAATTGTGAGGATGCATTCAGAGAAATGCATTGTTAGGCAATGTCATCATTGTGCTAACATCATAGAGTATACTGCACCAAATACTGTAGGCAATTGTAACACAATGGTAAATATTTTAGTATCTAAACATAAGTAGAAAAGGTATAGTAGAAATATAATCTTATGGGACCCTCATTGTATATGTGGTCTGTCATCGACTGAAATGTTGTGTTACGTCGTATAACTGTATTTCTTTTCTCACATGATTGTACTGGTTAGACTCTTCAGTACTATTTATTTATGTATTTATTTATTTTTGAGACTGAGTCTCGCTCTGTCGCCCAGGCTGGAGTGCAGTAGCACGATCTCAGCTGACTGCAACCTCTGCCTCCCGGGTTCAAGTGATTCTCGTGCGTTAGCCTCCCGAGTAGCTAGGATTACAGGTGCCCACCACTACGCCTGGGTAATTTTTGTATTTTTAGTAGAGACGGGGGTTTCACCATGTTGACCAGGCTGGTCTTGAACTCCTGACCTCAAGTGATCCGCATGCCTCAGCCTCCCAAAGTGCTGGGATTGCTTACGGACATGAGCCACTGCACCCAGCCTACAATGTTGAATAGAGGTGGTGGGAGCAAACGTCCCTTTCTGTTGCTGATCTAAGAGGGCAAGCTTTCAGTCTTTCACCAGTAAGTATGAGATTAGCTATAGGTTTTTCACAGATGCTCTTGATTAGGTTAAGGAAGCCCCCTTTTATTTCTGGTTTGCTGAGTTTTTTGTTTTTTTTTTTTTTCAAATGAAGAATGAATGTTGAATTTTGTAAAATGCTTTTCCTTCCTTCCTTCCTTCCTTCCTTCCTTCCTTCCTTCCTTTCCTTCTTCCTTCCTTTCTCTCCTCTCCTCTCCTCTTCCTTTCTTCCTTTCTTCCGTTCTTCCTTTCTTCCTTTCTTCCTTTCTTCCTTCTCACTCTGTCTCCCAGGCTAGAGTGCAGTGGCTTGATCTCAAGCTCACTGCAACTTCCGCCTCCTGAGTTCAAGTGATTCTCCTGCCTCAGCCTCCTCAGTAGCTGGGATTACAGGTGCCCACCTCTATGGCTGGCTAATTTTCGTATTTTTAGTGGAGACACAGGGTTTCACCATGTTGGTCAGGCCAGTCTCGAACTGAGACTGTGCCTGGCTGTAAAATGTTTTTTCTATGTCTGTTGAGATCATGTTGTTTTTCTCCTTTAATTCATTAATATAGTGAATTAATTACACTGGTTGGGTTTCAAATGTTAAAGCAGTCATACAATTTTGGGATAAATTCCGTTTGGTTGTGATACATTCTATTTTTGGATAAAATTTTGCTTAGAATTTTTGCATCTACATTTCATCATGGATGTTGGTCTGTAGTTTTATCTTGTAATGTCTTTGTCTGGTTTTGTTATTAGAGTACTTCTGAACTCATAGAATGAGTTGGAAAGTATTCCCTTCCTCTTTAATTTTCTGTTAGGGGTTTGTTTAGAGTTGCTGTTGTTTCTTCTTTAAATGTTTGATGAGATTCATGAATGAAGCCATCTACACAGGGAGTTTTCTTTGTCAGAGAGTTTTAACTGCAAATGCAATTTCTTTGATAATGATACACGGTTATTCAGAATATCTATTTCTTCTTGAGTGAGCTTGTCTTTTAGTGCGTTTGTCCATTTCCTCTAACTTGTATTTATGGCATAAAGTTGTTTATAACATTTCATCCGTCTCAGCTCACTGCAACCTCTGCCTCCTGGGTTCAAGTGATTCTCATGCCTCAGCCTCCTGAGTAGCAGGGATTACAGGCGCCGGCCACCACACTGGGCTAATTTTTGTATTTTTAGTAGAGATGGGGTTTTACCATGTTGGCCAGGCTGGCCAGCATTTTATGCTTTTAATATGCATAAAACTGTAGTGAAGACACCTCTCATTTCTGATACTGATAATTTGTGTCTTTTTTTTTTTTCTCTAGTCAGTCTGGCTAGACATTTATCAACTTATTGATAATCTCAAAGACCCCTCTTTTGGGTTTCATGGCTTTTTTCTGTTTCATGAATTCTCACTTTAATCTTTATTTCCTTCCTTCTACTTTGAGTTTAATTTGTTCTTATTTTCTTTCTTAAGGTGGGAACTGAGTTTATTGATTTGAAATCTTTTCTAATAAAGATTTAATGCTAAAATTTTTCACCTCGTTACTGCTTCAGTGGCAGCCTGCAAATTCTGCTGTGGTGGTGTTTTAATATCCATCTCTGCTAATTTCAACACCTCTGTCAGTTCTGAGTTGGTTGTGATTATTCTTTTCATGGTGGGTCAAGTTTTCTTACAACTTTGTGTATTTGATTATCTGTGTTTGGGTGGCAGATACTGTGAGATTTACTTTGTTGGGTGCCATGTATTTCTGTAAATGTACAAATCTTGAGCTTTGTTCGAAGATGCAGTTAAGTTACTTGGAAGCAATTTTGTCTTTTGGAATTGTGCTTTTATGGTGTGTGTGTGTTTAAAAGTGGGTTTGGAGAGGTGCTCAATGTAGAGTTAATTGTTCTCTACTTCCAAGATAAAACCTTCTTGAGTACTCTATGCAATGCTCCTGAATTATGAGTTTTTCCAGTCTGACATTGGGCACAGGCACTATTCCTTGCCCTGTCTATGTGCGTCTCAAGCCCTGTCAAAACAATCCATTACGATGGTTCTTTGCCTGGCATCAGATAGTTTTTTCGTATGCATGTGCTGACCTGTACTTGGCTGAATAATCAGGATCCTCTCCTGATATATAACTCTTCCTTGTGTGTTTTTCTGTTCTGTGAACTCTAGCTGCTTTGTTCTCATCAGGCCTCTTAGCTTATTTCCTCAACTTACCACATCTGCTGAGTAGGACCAGCTATATAATTAGCAGGGCCCAGTGTAAAATGAAAATGTGAGCCTTTGTTAAAAAATTATTTAGTTTCTTAAAATTCTAATTTTAATCAGATCATTAAACCAAGCACTGCACCCTTCGGAGCTGCAGCTGCACAGGTTACATGCCTACCAAGCCAGGGCTACTGCTGTACTCCACTTCATGTTCCCTTCTCTGTTCCATGGCCCAGTAATTCTCTTCAAGGCAATAAGCCAAGACAATTGTAGGGCTGGTCTCCTTTGTTTCCCATCTCTCAGAGGTCACTGTCTTTTTTTTTTTTTTTGCTAGATATCCAGAGTCATGAAAATTGTAATTTTTGTCTGTTTTTATTTGTTTTTGTTTCAGGCAGGAAGAGAAATCCAGTCCCTGTTAACCTGCCTCGCTTGGATGTAGTTGTTTTTAATGTACATTTTGTTTAAGGACCTTGTAGTAGCTGCTTTTGTGTCAGACTAGGCAAAGATTTCCCTATTTGGCCTCTTGGCTTGGTGCCTTGTTTAGAGCTGTTTGGGTAAAATCTCTCTTGTATCATTTGCTGATCTGTTTTCCAATTTGTTTTCCTGGTAACCATCAACTCATTTTCTGAATTGTATCACTTGATTTGAAGCAAGTATTAGCTTCCTGCTTGAAACCACTCTACCCTTATTCTTCTTTCTGCTGCATTTAACTGCAAACTGCAATGGGTGAGGACAATTCTCTTCTTCCACCTCCTGCACAATACATCCCCTTGCAGTACAATTTGATCGGCATTTGTGCAGTAAGGTATTAACAGCTTTTCAGATATGCCCTGCCCTATTAGCAAGAATATACAGTGATACAAAAATGAATTTGTCAAGAGTTTTATGACTTCATGATCTATCGTACAATATTAATCCTGCTGCAGTGTTATTAAGTCATTTTTCATCTCCCCTCAAATTAATGTTGACGTTCTATTACTGGATTTGTTCTTGTCCCCAGATTAAAACATAAAGGAAAAAAGCCTTCCCTGCTGCAATATTAAAATTAATTGTAGGGTAAGCAGTACCTAGCTTGGTGAAGTAGATTCCTGCTGGAAAATTTATAATGGGAATTTATTTCTCTGCTTTCTATTTGTTCTTGTGCACAAAAAAGCACAATTGGAATATACTTCTGAGGGCACCAGGAGAACATAGCAAGGAGCAGGGGGTACATTTAAAGTACTGAGTTTCCTAAAAGGGAAATGAGGAATCAGTGGTCTGAGCCTAAGGCAACCATACCTAGCTGGTAGTTCCAGCCTAGAGGCTGATAGGGATGCTTGTGGTGATAGATGTATAGGTAGAACAATTTTGGCTGACTTAGGATGGTATTTTCTTCATAGGAATAGCGTGTTTCTTGTATTTCAAGACATTTGGGGCACTTAAACAAAAACTACAACATGGTGAGGTCAACAGTTATAAATCACAGTACGACCTTGTTCAGGACTCTGGAATGAGAAGACAGCTGTTATCTTTGTTTCAGATTTGGACTAAGTGATGCTGTTCTGTGAATATTCTCTTTTAAAAATAACTGTTTTCACCCATATTGAAGCCAGGATCATCAGCTTCATGTCTGTGACCACTGTAGTGAGATCTTAGGGTATTGTGATTTTTGGTCATGGTTAGGTAGGTGCTTTAGAATGCTCATTGTTACTGTGGGAGGATCATGGAATTCTCAGTAAGTTTTGTTATAAATTCTAAATTTAAAATTTGTAATATGTAAATATATATGTGTATGTTTTTGATGGGAAACACCAAAATATATAGTGTTTGACTCTGGGTGGTGGCTTGTGGGGAAATAATATTATTTAAAAAATTTTTCCTTGTAGAAGGTCAACATGAGTTGTGTAAACCGAAGAGTGTCTGAGATAAGTCTCAATTTAGGAAGTTTATTTTGCCAGGGTTAAGGATGCACCTGTTACAAAGCCTTGGAAGGTCCTAATGCCATGTGCCCAACGTGGTCAGGGCACACACAGCTTGGTTTTATATATTTTAAGGAGACATGATACATCAGTCAGTACATGTAAGATTTACAGTGGTTCAGTTTGGACAACTCAAAGTGGGGAGAGGGCTTCTGGGTCATAAGCAGGTAAATGACAGTTTCATTCTTTTGAGTTTCTGATTAAGGTTTCACAGAATACGCCATTTACAAGGATAGTCATTTATGCCTTAGTCTGGCTTAGTGAAACAATAGGGCAAAGGAAGCAATCAGATGTGCGTTTGTCTCATGTGAGCAGAGGGACAACTTTGAGTTCTGTCTTCTGTCTGTCCTTTGTCCACAAGGAATTTCCTTGTGGGCAAATGGTGAGGGAGGTATGTAGCTTTTTTTTTTTTTAATCTTTGTATGTATCTTATTTAGGGATAGAATAAGAGTCAGGTTTGCCATATGCAGTTCCCAGCTTGACTTTTTCCTTTGGCTTAGTGATTTTGGGGTCCCGAGATATATTTTCCTTTCACAGTTGTGCAATAAAAATGTAGCCAATTATATATATTTTTATATTTGTAAATGACATAAGCAGTGGAGCAGCCTTCTAGAGGGTGAAAGATGATGCAAATATAGTCATGTGTAACAATGTTTGCATCAAGGGCAGACCACATATGCAACAGTGGTCCCATAAAATTATAGAGGAACTGAAAAAACTCCTATTGCCTAGTGACGTGGTAGCCATCCTAACACAATACATTACACATGTGTTTACGATGATGCTTGTGTAAGTATATCTACTGTGCTGCCAGTTGTATAAAAGTATAGCCAGTACAATTATGTACACCACATAGTGCTTGATAATGACAAGAAATGACTATGTTACTGGTTTATGTATTTATTATGCTATCTATCCTTAGAGTATGGTATTTATTTTTTTAAAAAGTTAACTGTAAAGTAGCCTCAGGCAACTCCTTCGGGAGGTATTCCAGAAGAAGGCAGTGTTGTCACTGGAGATGATAGCTCTATACCTGTTACTACCCCTGAAGACCTTCCAGTAGGAAAAAATCCTTGTGGAGGTGGAAGACAGTGATGCTGATGATCCTTACCCTGTGTTGACTTAGGCTAATGTATGTGTTTGTGTTGCAGTTTTTAACAAAAAGTTTAAAAAGTAAAACAAAAAATAAAAATGTTTTAAAATAGACAAAAGCATATAGAATAAGGATATAAAGAAAATATTTTTGTACAGCTGTACATTGTGTTTGTGTTATAAGCTAAATGTTAATACAAAAGAGTCCAAGGTTTTAAAAATTCAGAAGTTTTATAATATAAAAGTTACAGTGAGCTAAGTTTAGAAGTAGAAGGAAAAAATATTTTAAACAATAAATTTGGTGTACCATGTGTACCGTTTATAAACCCCACAGTAATGTGCTAGGCCTTCACATTTACTGACCATTCACTTACCCAGAGCACCTTCCAGTCCTGTAAGCTGCCTGCATGGTAAGTGTCCTATACAGGTGTACCAGTTTTTATCTTTTTTTTTTTTTTTTTTTTTTTTTTTTTTGAGATGGAGTTTTGCTCTTGTTGCCTAGGCTGGAGTGCAATGGTGTGACCTCAGCTCACTGCAACCACTGCCTCCCGGGTTCAAGCTATTCTCCTCCTGCCTCAGCCTCCCAGGTAGCTGGGATTACAGGCATGAACCACCACACCCGGCTAATTTTGTATTTTTAGTAGAGATGGAGTTCCTCCATGTTGGTCAGGCTGGTCTTGAACTCCCGACCTCAGGTGATCCACCCGCCTTGACCTCCCAAAGTGCTGGGATTACAGGCGTGAGCCACCCCCCACCCCTGGCCCCATTTTTTATCTTTTATATGGTGTTTTTACTCTGCCTTTTCTGTTTTCAGATATGTTTAGATTCACAAATACCTTTGTTTTATAATTGCCCACAGTATTCAGTACAGTAACATGCTTATACAGGTTTGTAGTCCAAGAGCTATAGGCTATACCATATAGCCTAAGTGTGTAGTAGGCTATACCATCTAGGTTTGTGGAAGTTCACTCTATGATGTTCACACAACAATGAAATTGCATTTTTCAAAAGATAACCCCATTGTTCAGCAACACGTGACTTACTTTGGGCAGTGCAATGAAAAAAGCTGAAGGATAATTATTTATTTCATGATTGCATCATCCTTCACTGTAGGTGATTCCATCATTTTTCTTTTTTGGGTTATAGTCTTTTTGAAAGCACAGTTGGATATAATTGATGAGTAGTGGTAAACTATCTGGATGATGAAATGTTAACATGTTTCAAGATATAGGAAAAATAAGATCGCTAAACTTCCATAATGTGTCTTATATTTATAAAGTGAGTCTATTGGACCAATATGGTAATTGCAAGATAGAGCATGAAATTTCTTGCAGTGACTCAAAAGTATAAAGGTCATGAAATGCCAATTCTTACAATTAGTTAGAACTGCTGAGAAAGAAACTAAAACAAAAATTGAGTCAGATGAACTAAGTGTTAAGAGCTTTAAAGGTAAAACTGTCCAGGTTTCCCGTTGTACATATGAGAAGAGGGAGTATATTATCAGTGGCAGAGCCATGGGTTGGAATGGGGGCTCAGATGTGCAGTCTTAGCTTTCACATTCCCTCAGGTGGTACTAGAAAGCAAACTAAAAATTTGAACAACAGTCACTCCCTTGTGAGTTCCTCTATAGTTGATGGTAGGATGTGAAGATGGTACTTTCTGAAAACATTTAAATTGTATATGATTACATAATTTGAACAAAGCAGTGTATCAGTGCTAAAAGCTAGTTGGCAGAAACTTTTGTCTTAAAAGTGATTTATTTAAAACTTCTACTGAAGCCCAGTGGACTTCTACATTCCAGCATCCAGGTGTCCAGTACTCTCATCTATAAGAGTGAGCTACTCGTCTAGAGGCTAAGGCAAGTTTCAGCTAGATCCAGCTAAGCTGGTCTGAACTAGTGGAATGAGCCAGTTGTAGCTGTTGTCATTGCATCTCCCTTTTGAGACTATGGAAGCCTAGGACTTAGTCTGTTAATTATCAGAGAGGTCATTGCTGTATGTGTTACGTGTTCATGGGGCTACTGCAGCAGTTATACTTTTTTCAGCAGTCTCAAAAAGTTGAATGTGAAAAATGTCTGAAAAAATTAAAAAGGGATGTTTTATTTCTAATTGTTCAATGATATAAGACTTCCAGTACTTTAGTTTTAGTTTCTCTCAGTCTTTAGTTTATTAAATAAAGATCTATAAACTAGGCAATGAGTGTTTATTGAGCATCAGGTATGTAAGGCACTAGAGGAATGTGATACTCAAGGGAATTCTTTTATAAAATAAAATTTCAGCTGGGTGTAGTGGCATGTGCCTGTAGTCACGGCTTCTTAGGAGGCTGAGATAGGAGGATCACTTGTGTCCAGGAGTTTGAGGCCAGCCTGGGCAACGTAGCAAAATAAAAATAAAATAAAACAAACATTTCTTTGTAATGAAATAACTCAGTTTAACAAATACTGATACATTAAGAACCTAGGCTCATGGCTGTAATCCAAGCACTTTGGGAGGCTGAGGCGGGCAGATAGCTTGAGCCCAGGGATTCGAGACCAGCCTGGGCAACATGGTGAAACCCTGTCTACACACACACATGCGCCTGGTGGCACGTGCTTGTGGTTCCACACACACACACACACACACACACACACCCCCACACACGCCTGGTGGCACGTGCTTGTGGTTCCAGCTACTCAGGAGACTGAGGTGGAAGGATTGCTTGAGCCCAGGAGGTTGAGGCTGCGGTGAACCAAGATTGTGTCACTGCTCTCCAGTGTGGTGACACAGTGAGACCCTGTCTCCAAAAAAAAATAACAATAAGTAAAGTTTAGGTTGGTGTTATTACTTAAGGTTCACAGTGCCACCAACATACAAAGCACATGTAGTTGAAAAGTAAAAAGAGGAATAGATAAAGGAGAATTAAGTTAGAAGAGGTAGATGAGACAGGAGAGGCAGATGTTTGTCAAATTGTGAAGCTATGTGGAATTTGCTTTTATTATTCTAGTCTCTTTTTATGCCTGAAATATTTTGTAATCTCAGATCTATCCATCCATCTAACAAGTCTTTATCAAGCACCTCCTGTGCTAAAAGCATTTTGTTGCTGTCCCAAGACTGAAACAGATAACCAGCTCTCTCAGGGACATTTGTATTTTAAAAGGAAAACACAAAAGTAGACATTGTCTGCAGATACGTTTGATTTGGCCTGCAGTGTTTTCAAAGTAGGGGAGATGTCACATAAATTCTGAGTTTGGGTTCTCTTTACAAAATATAATTTTTTTTTTCTTTTTACATTTCTTTGTGGCTCTGGTTGGCAGGAGTTGAGTAGATATTGCCCATTAGACTGGCAGGTATCCTTGAGTTTGCCAGTCTAAACTACTGCCTGTTGTCCTGAGCCTAGCTTACTTTACTCACTTACATTACCTGCCTTATCCTTTAGACATTTGAGTTTGTGGTCTGTTAAGTGACTGAGCTCTCATGGGATTCACCAGCTGTTACCTAGGTGAGTATTTGAATGGATTTTTGGGGTGGTGGCAGTGGTTGCATGTTATAGGCACCAGAAATTATGTTCAGTAAGCCACTACCAGTACCTGCTGTGCAAAGAAACATCTTCCTTGGGGAGTGAAGAACTAACCACCAGTTTTCTTGTGACATTTGTTGGTTTTTTTATCCTTAGTTTAGTGGATAAAAATAAGCGTTTAATTAGTGAAAACCCGACTACCTCCCAACCCCGTCTGTCCAGCTTTATGTTGACCTGGCTTTTAAAATCATTTATGTATTTATTTTCGCATTTTCGCAGTTCATTTAGTCTTCTTTCTCTATTTAGGAAAGTTTAATCATTATAGCAAAGGATGAGTCTCTGAAGAAGGGAGGATTGTTATATTATTTAACTATCCATACTTAACCAGGAAGGAGCATATTTTCCCCTCATTAAGAAGCCTAAGTATTAAAAAGCAATTAATACTTTATTAAAACCACAGTTACACCAACCTAATAAGTGACAACTATGTCAGTGGAAAAAAAAAATCTAGAATGTTTACTAAATGTTCCAGGCACAGGGAATACAAAGATAAGTAAGACATGGACTCATTCAGATAGCCCACAACTTATCAGTGTCAAAATTTACATTTCCTGAATATAGGGCAATGATTTATCTCTGAGAATTAATAGCCTTGAAAATATTTAAGAATATTTAGGCTGGAGTGGGACTTTACTTTGAATCAGATTGTGTTACCTGCTGTAAAGTGTGAAATTTAATCCCAGTTCTAGAAAACATTATAAACTCAGAACAAAGGAGTGGAGTTAGAAGTGAGTGGCCAGTGGAACTCTCAGCATGAGAGAAATTCATTTTTGTGATCTGATGAGTCAGAGGTTGCGGGTGGTGATGTTCAGAGGAATACATTTCTAGATTTTGGAAAAAATGATTCAGTTTTGAATTTGCTCAAGAAGTCCTCCTAGTAACAATATCTAGCATTTCTTTCAATTGGTGAGTATTAACCAAAAATGTTTACAATCAAATAAGAAGTTAGTAGTAGGCATAGAATTCATTTTATAGAAACTTTAGACCCTGGAGTGAATTATTCTGATAAAGATGATGATACCTATAATTGTGTGTGTTAGTGGGACTATAAATCTGAATCTATAAATCTAAAAATGTAGTAGGCATCTCAGTGAAGTGATTGTACCCTTTCAAATGGTTGTTCCAACTCACCTGCAGAACCTTTGTAAACTTTAAATACCCTGGCCCTGCCCCAGACTTAGTGACTCTAAATCTTAACCCCTGTGTAAGCACTGCTGTTCTGCCACAGAATTTCTGAGATCATTTGCTAGCACTTTGTTGAATCAGGATGGAGAGAGGGGAGAGGAGCAGGAGCCAGATACTCAGGTTGGGGTGACATGCCAATTCTCCTCACTGGAAAGTGGCACAGATGTAGTGACCCTCGGTCATGGTTTGTTTGGTCTCAGCTGCCCTTTCTTTAGAAAGTTGCATTATTACTGTTGGACATGCCTTCAAAATGAAATATCCTCTTTAAAATAAGCTCTTTTGAATAGATTTAGTATTTTCCGGGAATAAATTCTGAGTTTCTCAGGCAAGTCCAGAACTAAACTAATTACTTGCATATTCTTACTCTTACAGAAGCATGCTTTAAAAACTGCTGGTTAAAGTTATTGCAGTTAGAAGGAAATATTGTGTGAATTAAATTTTTTAAAAAAAGTTTTTAATGCTTCCTTAGAAGAAAATATTAATTTTGCCAATAAGTAGAAAAAACTGGAAGCAAAGTTCCTATAGTAACGTTATCTTTGCCTTTACACAGCTGCATTATTATTACCCCATTGGCCTGTGTGATTAATGCTTTTTCCTCACAACTGTGGAAGCACATAGGATTCTTTCTGTATCACTGCATATGAACTTCAATGCTGCTTTCCTAGTAAGCTGTGTAAATATGTGGTCTCAATATGTATCTCCAGTTTGACCTTTATGCTTTTACTCCTGCCAAACTTTGTCCTTGCTGTGGTATCTCACTACATCTATTGCAAACTTTTCCTCATCTGCCAGAAATGTCATTGCTCTAAAAATTTTTATTTTGTCTTTGTATCTCGCAATTCCTGACATTATGCATTATTTTCCCCCATGTAGTTCAAGCTGTTCATTTTCTCTCAGTAAAGCTTCTGTTTATAAGCTTACTGTTTTTTGTTGTTTTGCAAAATTAAAATATATTGCTTCCTAAATGCTTATTTGGCTCCCTGTCTTTGAAGCCAGCCTCATTCTGAGTTAAAACAAATATCTTACATTGATTTGTCTTCATAGTTCTTCTGGTTCCTCTTGTTCCTGTTGGTTATTTAAGGATGTGGCCTTAACTTAGATTCTTAGCTCCTCCTTTCCTCCCTCCTTCCAACATTATTGAATATTTGCTCTATGTTAGGGACTCTTTTGGTCTCCAGAAATAGAGCAGAGAGCAGCTTCCTGAGTGGTGTGCTTGTTCGCATGTTTTTTTAAGGGTCTAGTTTTATTCATTCCACAAATATTTAGCTGAATTTTTTTTTTTTGAGACAGAGTCTTGCTCTGTCACCCAGGCTGGAGTGCAGTGGTGCGGTCTCAGCTCACTGCAATTTCCACTCCCGGTTTCAAGCAATTCTCCTCCCTCAGCCTTCCCAGTAGTAGCTGGGATTACAGGCACCTGCCACCATGCCTGGCTAATTTTTTGTATTTTTAGTAGAGACAGGGTTTTGCCATATTGGCCAGGCGGGCCTCAAACTCCTGACCTAAGGTGACCTGCCTGCCTTGACCTCCCACAGTGCTGGGATTATAGGCATGAGCCACCATGCCCAGCCTAGCTGAACATTTAAGGTATACCAGGTACTATCCTAGCATAGGGATATAGCAGAAAATAAAACTGGCAAAGTCTCTATCTTAAAATACCTTGGTTTGGGTGGCTAAAACAATAAATTTATTCCTCATAATACTACTGAAGGCTGGGAAGTCCAAGATTACATGCTGGCTATTGTTGGGTTCCTGGTGAAGACCCTCTCCTTGGTTTACAGACACCTTCTTGCTGTGTCCACATGGCAGAGAGAGAGAGAAAGAGATCAGCTCTCTTGTTTCTTTTTATAAGGGCACTGATCCCATTCGTAAGAACTCTACCTTCATGACCTAAATAGCCCCACAAGTCACCACTTTCTAATACCATACATTGAGGAATAGGCTTTAACATACGAATTTTGGGGGGACACAAACATTCAGTCCGTAGCAATAGATAAAGAGCAAGCCACATAAGTTATCTGGGGAAAGAGTGTTAGGCAGAGGTGACACCAATTGCAAGGGCCATGAAACTGGGAGTGTTCCAAGATGGGTTCAGGAACAGCCAAGAAGCCAGTGTTGGCTGGCACGGTAGTTTTTGTGATTTTAGTTTTTGTGATTTTATTTGCATTTAAATCTGGAATCCATCTGGATGTTAATGAAATGAAATGCTGTTTCTAGAAGAAGGTTGTTGAAGTAATACTCTAGAAAGTTAGGATGCAGAGCCAGAGGCACAGTGCTCACCTGATCTGGGACATGGAGCAGTTTTCTCGAAGAGTTTCAAGAAAAGATACCATAACGGAGACGAGCCTTGTCTCATGCTTCTTATATTTATCCTCTGGGAGGATTTCGTTGGCTGTTACTGGTATAGCCCAGGACAGTGGTTCTCTAACTTTAGGGCTGAATCAGCATCATCTGGAGGGCTTGTTAAACTATAGACTGTTAACTAAGTAAGTCCCACCTCCAGAATTTGACTCTCTAGGTCTGGGTAAGAGCTGGAGAATTTTCGTTTTTAGTAAGTTTTCAGGTGATGGTGATAGTCCTGGACAATACTTTGAGAATCACTGGCCTAGGGGTTCTGAGCTTAAGCTCTGGAATGAGAGTTTTGCATTCAAATTTCTGTTCTGGTATTTACTAGGCTATGATTTGGGGTACTTTTGTGTGTATATTCCCCCTCCCCTCAAGCCACAGTTTGCTTTCTTTGAACCCAGGGTATGTACTTCCTAGAGCCACTGTGAAGACTAAAGAGAAATACTGTATTTGAAATAGCACATAATTGAAACCTGGCAAGTGCTCCTAATAAATATGAGTTGCTGGTGCTTTTACTGAGCTCTCTTTTTGGTTAGAGTGTGTCTGACCCAGTGCTGCTCAATAAAAATATGTAACATAATTTTAAAACTTCTAGTAGCCATATAAGCAAAATCAAAACAAGGCAAAATAAATGAATAATTTTAACACAACATACATGAAATATTTTAAAATATAATCAGTATAAAAGTATTAAGGTTTTAAAATATTATTTTCTTTATACTAAATCACTTAATTTGGTGTGTCTTTTGTACTTAAGCACGTTTCAGTTCAGACCAGTCACATTTTAAGTGCTTAATAGCCACATGTGGCCAATGACAGCTGTTTCACATGGTACCAGTTTAACCAGCACTCTTCCTCACCCTTTCCTCTTGGCCACCTCCATTACAGATTCTTAGTCTAATTAGTTATAGACGTGGAAGTAAGCTTGTTTTAGTTAATGCACAAAGAATGACCCCAGGCATGGCAGGCATCCTTGACAGGCTTTTCTGTCTCTTAAAAGTTCAGTCAGGGATAAGAGTTTGTCTTTGTGGGAGTCAGTTTTCACTAAGGATGTCATGTCACTTATAACCCAATGTCCTTTGAAAGATCTCTTTTTTTAAGTTCTGTGGGTTTGAATATTTCCCACTGGAGGAGGGTCTCTGGAAACCTCAGGAGTCTAAGGAATAACTCCGCCTGATTCTTAAAAGCTAGTCACGTGTGCTAACATTGGTTTCCAGAACTCAGCGTCTTGACTCATTGGACAGGCATTTTCCCTCTGTGTGTCTGTGGAGACTGTTGTGAAGGAGGATCCCCTTAGGATTTGTGATTATTTTTATTTTATTAATTTAATTTAATTTTTTTCATTTTTAAAATTTATTTTATTATTTATTATTTACTTTATTTTCTTTGAGACCTAGTTTCACTCTGTCACCCAGACTGGGGTGCAGTGGTGCAATCTTGGCTCACTGCAACTTTTGCCCCCCAGGTTCAAGTGATTCTCCTGCCTCATCCTCCCGAGTAGCTGGGATTACAGGCGCCTGCCACTACACCTGGCTAATTTTTGTATTTTTAGTAGAAATGGGGTTTTACCATGTTGGCCAGGCTGGTTACGAACTGCTGACCTCAGGTGAGCCACCTGTCTTGGCCTCCCAAAGTGCTGGGGTTGTTGCAATTTTAATAAACAGGGAAATTTCACTTGCCCCTGTGTTTCTGCACAGTAGCATATTTCAAAGGCTTGTGGTGTACTTTTGTCTTCAGTTAAGTATTCATTTAGCAAATATCCGAGTACCCACTGTGTGTCTGTCAGTTTTCTTACGCTTTTACAGACCCTATTTTGGAGTTTCATATTTTTCAGTGATTGTTTTTTAATCTTTTAGCTTTTATATTATAAGCTACTCAATGAAATCCTACCAGAAGGAGTTTTGGTTATTAAACTTTTGTATTTGTTCAGGATTCTTTTGACATTTAACCCATTTGAAAATAAATATATGAAATGTTAAGATTTTTTTGCCTGTGGTGATAAATCATGTTTGGTAATACCTTTAAATTTATAAATGGACAATGTGATTTGCATTTTTTTGAAAATACTTTATTCTTGCTGACTGGCTTTTTAAAAAATTGATTGGGACTTTTCTTGCAACTTATGTAACAAGTTTGGGAACTGTGTTGTTTCTTAGACTAGGCTTTTAAATTCACTCACCCTTGAAGGGCTCTCTTTTGAATTTGTATTTCTAGGTAGTATTTCCTATGCTTACAAAAAAAGGAATTTTTTGTCTTTGCTGCCCATCATGTATCAGCATTTAATTTATCTTTTGCTACTGAGAGAAAATGATGATTTGGGTGTGTTTGGCAATAGAAGCAAAACCTAGTATAGTGCAAATAAATGAAAAGAGTGGAGCTCCCACAATCATTCTTCTCCTCTATCAACTTTATTGTTTAAAAAGGTTCAAACCTACAGGAAAGTTAAAACACTAGAACAGTGAATTCCTATGTATCTTTCACTGAGACTGAGCAGTTACTTGCATTTTTCCACGTATGCTTTCCCTCTCTTCTTCTCCCTTTGTTTTTTTGCTGTCTTGTAGCTGGTTGCAAACATTGACACTCCACCCTTAAATTCTTCAGCTTATTCTCCCCAAGAATAAGGATATTATTTTACATTGCCACAATATTAAGAAATATACCTAAGAAAAATATCAATAATTCCATAAAATTGAATATACAGCCCCATTCAAATCTCTTTAATTGCCCCTCAAATGTTTTTTATTGTAGTTTTAAAATTAATCCAAGATTAGGTTTAAGTGTTTTATTATGTCTCTCTTATTTTCATCTACGCTGGTTCCTTTGACAAATTTTGGTTTGTTTTTTTGTTTTTCCTGTCATTTTTTTTTGAAGAGTCTAAGCCTTGATCAAAGTCTGTTTTATACAGTGTCCAACATTCTGCATTCATCTAATTGGTTTCCTCACAATTCACTTTAGCCTAAACATTTTTTGGCAATAATACTTTATTAGTTGACATGCATTTGTTACTGCATCACATTCCATAACATCAGATTGTGCTTCTCTTGGTATTGCCATGTTTGATCATGTACTTAAGTTGATGACCACCAGATGATTTCATTGTACACATACATTTTTCCATCTGTAATTACTGTGTAATCTGGTGAGTTCAATCTCACGTTTGGATTAAAATTTTTATCGTTAAGAAGTGTCTTTTTAATCTAGAAAAAAAAACAGGTTATTTAATAGCCTATGTCACATTTTGTTTTTGTCTCCTTTATGTGACATGATGAAACCATAGAGCTAAAAATACAACCTTTGCTGATTTCTGTTCGCCTTTAAAAAATGATTTTATTTTATTATTTATTTATTTATTTATTTATTTTGAGACTGAGTCTTGCTCTGTCACCCAGGCTGGAGCGCAGTGGCGTGATCTCAGCTCACTGCAACCTCCACCTCCTGGGTCGAAGCCATTCTCCTGCCTCACCCTCGCAAGTAGCTAAGATTACAGGCGCGTGCCACCATGCCTGGCTAATTTTTATATTTTCAGTAGAGATGGGGTTTCACCATGTTGGCCAGGCTGGTCTTGAACTCCTGACCTCAAGTGATCTGCCCACCTTGGCCTCCCAAAGTGTTGGGATTACAGGCGTGAACCACTGCACTTGGCCTGTTTTATTTTTAAAGAGACTGTTTTTCTCCAAATTATTGATAACATGAACTGCTTATTGTTACCAATAAAGTATGTGTGCACGTGTCATTTCCTTTAAAAACTCAGGAATTTAAAGTAAAAAAAAGTTTTCTGAAATATTTCATAGCTTGCCTTTATCTTACTCAGATCAAAATTGTCACGTGATAATGATTGGCTTAAATGTACTTACATTATACAACACAGTAGTATTTTTGTTTTGTTTATTTAGCATGTAACTCTAAGTTCTTTAGGCTCTTTGTGATATTTTCATTTTTTGCAAAGATACTAAAATCCTTGAAAAAGTGAATGTTACCAGTAAAGATAAATCGTTATCGAACTACCATTCCAACAGAGTATATCATAGGACCGGTAAAAGAATTGGATTTCTAACTTTTTAAAAAAACGATTTTTACATTTGCTTACTAGAATTATGTGTCTGTAGTTCAAAGAACAAGTTCATGGAGTGTGTGTCTGTGTGTGTGTGTGTGTGTTTTGGCTTCTGTTACAAAAAATATGATTACTTAACAATTATAATGTTATGATCCTGAAGATGATGGAGTCACTGTAGGAAAAATCCTTCAGTGTCTTCCATAGGACAGCAGCTTATTTCGCCTCCATAGTGGACCAAGGAACTGACAAAACACTCTTTTGTTTGGTTTTTATTTTTCTTAGAATGGCTTCTACTCACAATCAGGTTAGGCAGACCACCTGGTGTCTGCCTGTGAATGGGGATATTTATGAGCAGTCTGAAGCAGTTCTTAAGTGTCCACTTCTTTGATAGAGAGAGACTGCTTATTCCAAGCTCAGACATTACTTTTCTCTCAGAAATTGCCTGCCAACACCCCCCTCATAGTAGAATGACTAATTATGAGCTGCAGTCTTAACATTTTTCATTGTTTTGACGTTGTATGCTTGGCAGGGTATAGGGTAGCTCTTTACTTCTTCAGGCTGTCTATATTTATCAAATACAGTGTAGATGCCTTTATAATATTAAATATGTGATTTGTAACTCTTACTCTCCAATTTCTATCAATAAAGCACAGCTGCTTAGTTACAACTCTGGCTGGATTAAGCAGTTTGTTTTATTTTGTGGCTCACTAGAGTAATTTGAAACAATGAAGATTTACCAAGGATATAAGGCCAGATTTTTGCAGGTGCTGTTGTGTGTTTTGTAAACAAACATTCATCTTTAGTGGCTAGATATCAGGCAGGTCCCCCCAAATTTCTGGTGTACACTAGAGATCAGCCCAGATGTTTCTTATCCGGGGTGGGGGTAAAGAGAGGGTGACCCTAATGATCATGCTCAAGAGTGTTATGTTTGGCTGATCCAGTGGTTCTGACTGCCTTTGTTCCAGGCAGTGTGTAGCAGTTTAACAGCTCCTTTGAATGTGTTAGTGAATGAATGAGAGAGTAAAAGTTGGGGATAAAAGCAGAAAGGTGGTGGCATGATAATACTGGAGAACCTGCGTGAGCATATTAATTATATGGGTGCAGTATGCCATGTCAAGGCAGCTGCTGACTCTTGACAGATCCTATTAACCCCATGTTTTTTTCTTCTTCTTTTGAGGTGATCTTCTTAGTAGAAATTTAATTTTAACCTCTTTCTTAAAATAAGGAAAACTAATCTTGGGTGTCAGTCACATTCATAATTGTAGGGGCAAGCATTTTAGAAGAACTTAACTGTTTTCAAGCACTAAATTCTCAACCTGAGTTGTCTTCAGCAACCTAAGGTATTAATATGTCTAAAGAGCCCGGTCTCTTGGTTTCTTGTGCACGTAGTTTTTGGGTTTCTATTAATGAAAGGTTCTGGAGGTTCTAGAATAAAACAGGTATACCCTTTTGGAAATTGCATTATTAACATGCAGTGATCATTATTTCTTCACCATGTTGTTGGAAAATTTAATTTTGCAGTGGGAATAAAAAATGTTTAAGAATTCAATTGATGTTTATTAATTGTTGCCTATATATGTTATGTACTGTGCCTGGGGAGGGGAAATACAAAGATGAGTAAAGCAGGACCTCTTCCTTAAATGAAATTTTAGTTTTTAAAAAGCCTTTTAATGAGCACAAAAAGCCCTTTAGTGAGCAAAACAAACACAGTTAGTAAGTAAAATGAGTGCATGTGATTTTTTTTAAAGGAAACTATCAAATTATTCTAAATATAAAAATTTTAAACGAAATTTAAAACAGTGAGACTTGGCCGGGCACTGTGGCTCACACCTGTCATCCCAGCACTTTGGGAGGCCGAGGCAGGTGTATCACTTGAGGTCAGAAGTTTGAGACCAGCCTGGCCAACATGGTGAAACCCCATCTCTACTAAAAATACAAAAAAATTAGCCGGGCGTGGTGGTGGGTGCCTGTAATCCCAGCTACTCGGGAAGCTCAGGCAGGAGAATCGCTTGAACCTGGGAGGCGTAGGTTGCAGTGAGCCGAGATCACACCACTGTACTCCAGCCTGGGCTACAAGAGCGAAACTCCATTTCAAAAAAAAAAAAAGAGACTCTTATCTTTCTTATCTTGCAGAAGAAAAGGAATTTTAAGTGCAGATTTTCAATGGTTATAATTTTCCAACACCAGACAAATAATGAACACAAAATATATGCTGCTGTAAGATTATATTGATAGTCTCACAGTATTTCTCTTCAGCATTATTATCTGATCAACACATATATGAATGGAATAGTAAAACTTAACATTTATCATACACTTGTTATGTACTTATTTCTTTTTTATTATCACAAAAGTATAAGTGTCCTCAATTTAAATGAGGATGCACAGAGATTAGTAACCATCCCACAGTTAACAGAACTAATAGTTTAGCAGAGCCTAGATTCAAGCCAAGCAGTCTGATCTTTTATCCAACATTTCCTGAGTTCAGTTATTCTTAGCTGCCCCTTAACCCCCTAATAGGTTTTTTTTGTTTTGTTTTGTTTTCTGTTGAGTATGGTTTGGAAGAACCTGCAAAACTCTATCTAAAATGAAGGGATACATTAACTTTTCTTCAGACTAATATTGTAAGAGAAAAAATTTAAGGAAAAATTTGGTTAATTTAATTATCTAAATCATTTTCTGTATATTTTCCTTCAGGTTCTTTATATATATGCATATTTTTGCAGTGTATAAATATATTTGTAACCTTATATTCTACAATATGAGACATTTCCCATGTTTCTATTTTGTTTTCCAATTATTTTGAATTGTTGCATATTATACCATTGACCTAATTTATTCACATTTGCTCATCTTTTGGGATTGTTTTGGTTGTTTCAGTTTTTCATTATTATACATAACATAGTAATGAACATTTTCTGCATAGCATATTTTTCTTCTCTTGAATTATTTTTGTAGGATACATTTCCAGGAGAGTCACATGTACTCTAGAACTTCATATGTTAGTTTGTGCCTGGCAGTGCCTTTATTATGTGAATTAGGTAGGGAGAAGTAAATTTGCAGAATAAAATGTGTTATATTCCTTGTAAAGTCATTTTTGCATTATCCAGTCATTTTGCATATAAATAGTAGAAAGGGGTTTAGTTATTTATACTGTTTTCTTATTTCCATTGGGGAAAGTAAGAATTGGGGAGATACAGGCAATATTAAATTAGAAGTGCTTTAACGTATCAGTCTTCTTCTTCGGCATAGTCTTTTAGTTCCTATATTTTCAGGAGTATGGCTGGTATATGATTCCAGGCCCTACAAAGAAAATGAGAATGGAGGAAAGAATAGCATTGTAATGATAGAAGAGGGTTAAGGAACACCTGTTGACTCTGATGATAAGAATTATGATGGATTTGTCATTCGTACAGAAAGCTAGGAACTTAGCTCAGATGCATGCATAGTGTGAGAGACAAGACTCAAATAAAAATACACAGGTAGTTCATATCACTAGAGAGCCCCAAGCTAGTTTCTACTTGAAGTTAAGACAGCCACTGCAAGGAGGGAGGGATAGCTGTTGGGGTAAGCTTGGGAGCACTGTGAAGCACTTCTGTGGTCCCTTGTGCTCCTGGGTGAATTAACTGGAGGTGCTTTGCTTTCCTCATAGAGGGCCATGACCACTGTTTCATTCATCCTTTGAATCCTAGTGTATACAGTGCCTGACACATAGTAGGCCCTTAGTAAATGTTTATTCGATTTAGTAGAATTCATAGGTCCGTCAGCTTTGAAAAGAGTGGCTAGCACATGTGCAATTAAAATTGTGCTAGAGAAATAGAGGATTATTGGGCAGATGCACCAGTTTGGTGGGAAGAGACTTTGGTGACTTCAGTGGATAGGTAGCAGAATTGGAAGATTGTTCAGGAAGAAGGGATGGTGTTAACTGCTATATTGAAATTTCCTTTGAAAACTTAGGTTCACAGAAAAACCTGCATATGAATGTTTATCATGGCAGCTATATTATGATCTCCAGAAAATGGAAGTAACTAAAGATGTTCTTCAATAGGTGAATGGATAAACAAACTGTAGAATATTATTCAACTGTAAAAAGAAATAGGCTGTCAAACCACAAAAAGACATGGATGAATCTTAAATGCAAATTACAAAGTGGAACCTGATTCAAAAAGGCTGCATTCTATATAATTTCATTAGTATGACATGGAAGATGGAAAACTAAAGTGATAGTACAGAGATCAGTGGTTGCCATGAGTTCAGGAAGTGAGGAGGATTGAATAGGTGAAGCACGGGGGAATTTTTAGAGGGATGGAACTATTCTGTATGATCCAGTGGAATAGTGGCTACGTGACAGTTGTCAAAACATACAGAACTTTTGCAGCACAAAGAATGAATTTTAATGTGTGAAAATTAAAAAGAAAATGTTTAGGAGATCCCAGGATAGAATGCAGAATGTTTTAAAAACAGACTATTACAGATGTATGAAACATCTGTAATGAGGGGGGCGGGAGGGGGAGAGAAAAAAATGCTGAACTAAGTAAATTTGGAAGTAAGTGAATTCTGAAAGACTAAAGGCAAAAGAACCTGCACCTGAGTATTGTATTCTAGCTGATGAAGTTGTTTTTCATGGGTGTACAGGTTAACAGTTCTGATACTGTTATACATGTATACTGGAATTGACCAAATAAATAAATGGATGGTGGAAGCCAGATTTCTCATTGTTGGGGTGGGTATTTACAGAAGAGTAAGGGGAAGAGGCTAGAATGGTCCATGTGGTAATGAATTAGAGAAGGATATATCAGTAATGTGGATACTTAATGTGGATACAGATGGTTACATATAGAAATATTTACAGAGATGAATGTGTACACAGATTGGTATACACATATATTTCCTTGCTCTGTCTGCTGAGAGGGCCTAGATGCAGCAAACAGTGATTATATGTAGCACCTAGATCCTGGTTTCTAATAACCATTCTCCAATAGAAGCAACCAGGGCTCTTGGAGAAGTGGTCAGTTCTAGGACTGGAGTAGGAAATATATAAATTGAGCTTTGAACATATTATAGTGCCAAAAAGTAAAGTGCTTTAAAAAACCCCACAATGAAGGGGGCATGTCAGAGGGACACAGGAGCCAGCTGAAGAGCTCCCAGTGGCCCAAGCTGGAAGGAACTATTTGAACAACAAAATAAAATACTAACAAGTTGTAACCCGAAATATAAAATAAATATCCATGAGTCCATACTGATATATAATTAGTGATAGATAACTAAAAGAGGGAGAAAGAGATAAATTTGCCATGTAGCATTCCAAATAATTTATGTAGCTACTCTGCCATTAAGGAGCAAGGGGAGCCTGACTCTCTGTTCCTTAAGTGTGGGCTGTGCTGTGACTTCCAAGTGTGGAAAGGGAGGGAAAGTAACTTTAATGGAGAAACCTGACAAACACTGCCTCAGCCAGGTGATCAAGATTAACATCAGCAGTGATAATTCATATTGATTGCATATACCCTTGATATGGTGTGATGAGAATGGCCTCTGTGATCTTCCTCCAATCCCATTAATCCAGTTTAACCATGAGAAAAATCAGACAAACCCAAATTGATGAGCATTGTACAAAATACCTGACCAGTACTCTTGACAAATGTCAAGGTTATCAAAAACAAGGAATATCTAAGAAACTATCACAGCTAAGAGGAACATAAAGAGACATGACAACTAAATCTAATGTGGTGTCCTGGATGAGATCCTGGAATGGGAAAAGAACATCAGGTAAAAACTAAGGAAATCTGAGCAAGTGTGGACTTTAGTTAATAGGGTGTCAATATTGGCTCGTTAATTGTAACAAATATACCATACTAGTGTAAGATATTAATGATAGGAGAAATTGGCTCCTGAGTATATGGGAATTCTCTGTACTATCCTGGCAACCTTTTTATAAATCTAAAACTATTACTAAAAAATAAAGCTTTATAGATTCCATTGATTAGAAGGAAAAAATAAATAAAGCTTTTTTAAAAAAGGAAAATACTTCTGGGTGGCACAAGTAGAATTGCTTTTACTTATCCCCCTATTGGAGTTTAAACAATTTTTAAAAAAATAAAAGCAAATTCAGATACCAAACAAACCAAAAAACTTACTGTGATGATCCTGAGAGGTTTTGAGATGATGTTGATCTCAGATTGATATTGATCATTTGCGAGACCCATAGCACCTTCCATTAATTAATTATAAATTCTTCTCATCTAATTCTGAAATTGAGAAACTGTATTTCCCATGCCCTCCAAACAAATTTGTGAAAGAGCGAAAATTTCATAGATCCTGACTGTATTTATTAGTTCATTCTTATACTGCTAATAAAGACATACCCAAGACAGGGTAATTTATAAAGGAAAGAGGTTTAATGGACTCACATTTTGGCATGGCTGGGGAGGCCTCACAATCATGGCAGAAGACAAAGGAGAAGCAGAGACACATCTTACATGGTGGCAGGCAAGAGAGCTCGTGTAAGGGACCTCCCCTTTATGAAACCATCAGATCTCATGAGACTTAACTTATTTACTGTCAGGAGAACCGCCTGGGAAAGACCTGCCCCCATGATTCAGTTACCTCCCACTTGTCCCTCCCATGACACGTAGGAATTATTCTCTAGTAAAACAATAAATTAGATCAAGGATGCTAAACTCTGTATTCACCTAATATATCAATATTTAGACTAAAAGAAAAGACTAAAAGACAAAAAGAAAAGATATCAGACCAACAGCCATAACTCAGTTCTCTTGTGTGTAACTACTTTTTACTCCTAGAGACAAAGGAGTTGTCTTTACTTTTATTCCAAAATGAGATTTGGGTGGGGACACAACCAAACCATATCACTGACTGAGTCTTGCGCCTACCTTCTGCTTAATGCTTCTTTCTTTTTAGAAGTAGAAATATTCATGAATGAGAAAATTATAGGCACTGGACCTTCCTCTGATGCACTGAATAAAGCTCAGAGTTCGCTCTAATCACACTTGAAGGAGAATAGGTTGAAGAATGCAGGGTAATTTAGAAATGCAAGAATGCTTGTATATCCTTTTACTAAGGAGATTTTTAAAAAATCTTCAAAATAACTCTGACCACCCTTAGTGTAGAAAGTATTCTAACTCATTTTTATTCATTCTTTTAAATAAGTTACTTTCTCTTGACCTGGAGTAGGACAGTCCCAACTTCCAGTTGAATAATAATCCCCTAGAAACAATGCTTTGTTATTTCTGACACTGGTTCACTGCTCTCCTCTTCACAGATCCATTACTACTAGTGTTTGACCTTCTGGAAGGCACAAGGTGCTCCTGAAATCATAGTTAGGACTGGGAACTGAAGGGCTGATGCAAATGTATCTTGTAAGACAGTCTGTGTTCTGTTACAAATGATCTCCATCCTGGTGTTCTTTCCTGCCCAGTTCATTTATTTTTCCTAGGATCTTTGCACAGAGCAGAGCAACATAAACTCTATTACAGTCTTATCTTTTAGTGGGCTTTTGGCCAAAGGTTCAGAGCTCTAGAATTTAGAATTACTTTTTACTTCATAAAATCACAGGGTTGATGTTAGCACTTTTTTTTTCAGCCATTAATTCATCCCTTGGTCATATGTAAATAAACTAAATTTGTATGATGTAGTTGGTGGAGTGAGATGTCTGGTTTATTCAGCTTGGAAAACCTCTTTCAGAACATGGATAAACATGTATTTGTGCATTCCCATAGCTTCCGGCAAGCTCTGTAGAGAAGGTCAGAGGAATAAAAGTAAAGGCAACTCCTTTGTCCCTAGGAGTAAAAAGTAGTTGCACACAAGAGAATTGAGTTATGGCTGTTGGTCTGTTATCTTTTCTTTTTGTCTTTTAGTCTTTTCTTTTAGTCTAAATATTGATATATTAGGTGAATACAGAGTTTAGCATCCTTGATCAAATTTATTGTATTACTAGAGAAGTACATTTTTACCAGTGAAAATACAGTCAAGTGTGAACATTTTAAATGCAGAAAGCCTGAGATTTTGTCCTATTCAATAAAACGGCTGAATTATAGAATACTCAAGAGATGTTGTTTTCCTTAAGAAGATATACTATAAATATTCATGCGTACTAAGCCTATAGAAACATAAACTAGGCTTAGTTCAACAATAAATACTTGCAAGCTCAATGAAGACATAATGGATACAAAGATGATACCCTCAGGAAGCTTATAGTTTAGTTCTAAATTACACTACTGTATTTTCTTTTCTTTTTTTTTTTTTTTTAAAGAAAACAGTTTAACATCAAATGTTTCCCAGGTTTACTTTTTGCACAGTGCATACAGTTTTGGGAAAATATGTGGTTACAACACGATATTCTAGGCCAGTTATGTTGGCTCACACCTGTAATCACAGCGCTTTGAGAGGCTGAGGCGGGCGGATTGCTTGAACCCAGGAATCCGAGACAAGGCTAGGCAATATGGTGAAATCCCGTCTCTACAAAAAATCCAAAAATTAGCCTGGCTCGGTGTTGTGCCTGTAGTCCCAGCTACTCAAGAGGCTGAGGTGGGAGAATCACTTGAGCCCAGGAGGTGGAGGTTGCAATTGCCACTGCACTGCAGCCTGGGTGAAAGAGTGAGACCCTGTCTCAAAAAAACAACAACAATAAAAACAAAATAAAACACCCTATGATAGTCCACAATTTGTTCGATGCTACTCTAGATCATCCTAAAGGAAAAAGCAATCAGTACGACACCAAGTCTTTAGAATTTCGAGGATTGGTTGATATTATCTCCCAGTAGATGAGAGAGCAGATCTTATTTTTTTTCTGTGAGCAGATTCGCTGGCTTCATCTGGGCCTTCCCTATGCTAAGTTCAATTATTGATATTTTCTTTTTAAAAAGCCACATACCTTGCTAACACGAGAAGAGGGCTGGGGGGAAAATGCCACACTTGGACAGAATGACTATAATTATCAAAACCAGAAGGCCATCAACGTTGCCTCCAATGATGGTAGGCAAAGAATGTTACTTCTCATCTTTCAGGAAGATGACAATGATCTTAGTTCGTTGGTTCTCTATATTCAGCCCCTCATATAGAGATTTGTTGAAAGGATCCACAGTTCAGTTACATATCTTGGTAACAGTTTAGAGTGACCCAACGAAATCTCTGCAGCCATGGTTACATTTTCTTTATGTGACGTGATGGCATAGCTCACTGAATGCCATTCTTCCACATGCTGAACTAAATTGATCTCATAAGTGTGCTTCTGACTTTGGATGCACAAAGTGTAGGCCTGAAATGAAAGCTATTCCTGGGATGCACTGAGCAAATAAACTGCCATAGTCATCTGCCCCCTCTCCTCTATACCGCTGTATTTTAATTTAGTTTATAATAATTAAAACAGCTTGTACATTGTATTTTATTATAAATGCAATTAATGAAATATGAGTAAATGAACCTTTAGTATTAAAAACCATCCATAATCTTTTTTTTTTTTTGAGACGGTGCCTCACTTTTGTCGCCCAGGCTGGAGTGCATCAGTGTGATCTCAGCTCACTGCAACCCCTGCCTCTTGGGCTCTAGCAATCCTCCCACTTCAGCCTCCCAAGTAGCTGGGACTACAGTCATGCACCACCACGACCAGCTAATTTTTGTGTTTTTTTTTTTTTGTAGAGACGGGGTTTTGCCATGTTGACCAGGCTGGCCTTGAACTCCTGAGCTCAAGTGATCCACCTGCCTCAGCCTCCCAAAGTGCTGGGATTACAGGCGAGAGCTACAGTGCCTGGCTAGTCCAGAATCTTAACATTGCTATTTGTATATCTTTTTCCTTCTGCCTTCAGGGAACCCCTCAATCACTGCTTATTACTGTGAGTTTGCTCTAACCTGCTGCCATCACCTTCTGTCGTCCGAATGAAAAAACTAATTTTTTCTTGATGACTCTAATATTGTTTGAGGGGCAATTCTTCTTTTTCTCAGCTTTTCTCATTAATGTTGTTATCTTTTATATGAAACTGAAGGATGGCCAAATCCCATTATCCAGCTATCCTGGGTCAGCTTTCTAGGTTTTACAGTGGTCCCTTGGAGGATTTTAGGAGTCCTGTATTTTAAAAATTTGGTGACATGGGGTTTAGTGTAGAAGATGCAGAGAGGCCATGGGAAGGGATTCCAGTTTGTATCCCAGAACATGGATATATTCAGGTTGAGATCTTGTGATTGTCAAAAACTCTTGTGTATTTTGAAGGTGATTTCTGATAGTACATATTTGGTAGAATCTTACCAAGGAGGCATTTGATTTCCAACACGTTTGCTCATAGCATTATATTGCTTGCCTTGGTGATACCGTCAGTGTTCCTCCTCTGCAGGATTTTTATTTCTTTTAAATTTTTCTTTTCTTTTTTCTTTCTTTCCTTTTCCCTCTCCCTTCCCCTCTCCCCCTTCCCCTCTCCCCCTCTCCATCCCTCTTTAGGACAGCAGTGTCCTGATAGAGTTAACACACTTGGAAGTGCTAAAGCTGTCTACACACACACACACACACACACACACACGAATGAATAAGTAGGTCTTCAGATTGAACGGTATTAAATGTAACAATATTTTCATTTATACTTTGATCCTATATTTTCTAAATTTTCAATAATAGAATATGCAGAATATAAGTTTATAATCTTCAGACTTGAATTTTTAGCCCAATACATGATGTTATTGTAGAGTAGGAATGGTATGGAAAAATGAAATCGAGAGATAATTCTCAACCTTTATTCTTAATCATTTAAAGTCAGAATTTTTGTCTCTTCCATTAAATGTCTGGCTATAACACAGATCATCATCATGTGGCAAAGGTATGTCAGACTGAGAAAGAGAGTGGCAGTTCTTTTGGGGGGCTCAGTAATTAGAGCTTACCTAAAACC
The DNA here is from genome assembly GCF_000001405.40 of Homo sapiens. Classification (NCBI taxonomy): domain Eukaryota; kingdom Metazoa; phylum Chordata; class Mammalia; order Primates; family Hominidae; genus Homo; species Homo sapiens. The sequence continues at coordinate 38,004,926 of NC_000006.12, forward strand.
CAAAATGTTGAACTAGAAAATCACTGTGGTCTCTTCTGATTCTAAAAGTTGGTGATTTTCTTGACATCACAAATTCATGCAGTTGCGTGTGTGAATAGTGAGATGTTAAACCTGTAACAAGAAGAGATAGATCTTCTTCAGTGAGATAATCAGCTTCTGGGTGGCTGAGAAGTTTTTATATGAGTAAGATCAAAAATGAGAGTCTGCTCAGCAGATTTGCAGAGAGTCTCTGATAAATTTCTTTAGTGCCATTTCAAACCCCAGGAGCTCCACATATGATGGTTTTATATTGGGCTCTGTTATGGGCATATTCTATATCTCTACTCTCACTCTGCAGATCTGTCGAAGCATGTTTTGATAAAGAGTATTGAAGTCTCAAAGATGGGTTTTAATATCTTTACCAAAGGATGGCAGACATTGACAGATGGTTTCTAAGGATAGTTCCTTGCAATCAAATCTTATTTATAGTGCCAGTATATAAAATGAGTATAGGTGGTGTGCATTATTACATTATCAATAAAAACTAACAGTTGATTTCCACTGTCAATGGCATCTGACTTTTCTAGATCAGAATCATGTAATGTGGTAGAAGGAGCTCTTAAGTAGGATTGACAAGCCTTTATCTATCCTTCCCTCTCTGTTTTGAGCACTTGGGCAAGTCATTTGAGCTACCTGAGAGACTGTTTTTAGAATGAATCACTTTTCTTATAATGATGGATTTTTAAAAATCACATTAATTTATTATACAGTTGTTACATTCTGCATGGTTAATAAAGGATGACTTGCCAAGAGAAATCTTAATTTCATCAGGTTTCTAGAACAGTTTTTAAAACAGTATTGAAAACATTACTATGTTTTTATACTTCTTCACTGTGTATGAGGAAAAGTTGACCACTTGAGTGTTGTTATCAATGTACACTAAACTAGATGTACAGTTCAGGGGACATCAGCACATATATGGACATTTGGCAGATTTCTTGAGCCAATAATTCTGGTCCTTCTCTTTTAAAAGTTCTTAGTTAGGTAACCACAGATAATTGAACCAGAGAAGTCGTCTCATGGTGTGCTAAGTAAACACAGATGAAGATAGAGCCAGCTGACTTCAGCAACTCTTCTCTGCATGGTGTGTCTCTGAGACTTACATTGAAGATGTATAATATGGGTTACTTTTACTTCAGTTTCTTGTAGTTACAGCTTCTGCATGTATCATGCCCCAGAAAAAGGTAATCATCTTCCCATTATGACATGCAGTATACAATTTATAGTCTTTTTTGTGGGGAAGGAGTTGGGGAAGAAAGTGAGTTTAATGGACCTGAGGTAATGTTTAATAACAGGATATGTAAGTTAAATTGACCAGCTGTTGTATGTCTCTGTGTTTGCTGTGATAGAATTTGGGATAGTGAGAAATTTCACACTAATTTTATTCACACTAAACAATTCTAATTGTTTCTTTTTTATAAAAAAATGTGAAATTTGCCTAATTAAGAGGCTGTCCTTTTTAAATTAAATATAAATTTGGTGTTCTTCTGGAACTCTGCTGTTTCGAGTGCTTTTTGTCCTCATTCAGTATTATTAATGCAAGACAACCTGCTTGCATGCAGCTAAGCATGGCTTCTTTCTCTTATGTATAACACAGAGTGGGCAGGGTGTACAAAACTCATCTACATCCTTCTCAGAAAACTTCTGTGTAACACTGCCATGTGCTAAGCCTACGGAGGTGAGGAAGAGGGTTTTTTTTTTTTTTTTTTTTTTAATTGATGGTTTTGGCTCAAGCTTTGGAGGGACGAAGAAATGGTGTGGATTCTGTGAAATCACAGGATGTCTAAGTTCCAAGGGCTTTAGGAATTGCCTCATATCGTGCGTCTAAATATTGCACCCCTGCCCCTCTTCCAGTCCAGACTCATCCGAGAGGATCAGCACAATTCCATTAGTAAATGAAGTCACAACTTGGGGATTGATGGGGATAATTAATAAAAAGGGCCACAAGTGGTTCCAAGTGCTCCTGCAGTCATACACACACATACTCTGTTTAGCATCCCGAGTTCTCAGAGAAGGAAGAGGTGTGGAGAAGTTATTTGAATTTGTTAGTTCTCAGATTTTTTTATCAGGGTAAGCAGTTTTTAAAAATTAAAGAGTGAAGAGAAAGTGATGGACATACACTTGCCAACTTTTATTCATTTGGACATTTAAAAGGAAAATCATCACCATAGAGTTATAAATAAATTATAACAAATGTAACAATATAGCATATATTTAGCTTTATGAAAAACTGATATTGTCCTTCTCATTTAACTATAAAAATTTCATCACTGGCTGGATGCTTGGTGGCTCATGCCTGTAATCCTAACACTTTGGGAGGCTGAGGATTACATGCCTGTAATCCTAGCACTTTGGGAGGCCAAGGCAGGAGGATCGCTTGAGCTCAGGAGTTCAGGACCAGTAAAACTCCATCTCTACAAAAAATACAAAAATTTGTCCGGCATGATGGTATATTCCTGTAATCCTAGCTCTTGGGAGGCTGAGGTGGGAGGATCACTTGAGCCTAGGAGGTCGAGGCCACAGTGAGCTATGATTGTGCCACTGCACTCCAGTCTGGGTGACAGAGTGAGACCCTGTTTCAATTTAAAAAAAAAGATCACTTAGTTCGTTGTGTAGGATTTAGGAATTGCTAATCAAGTAGTTATAATTAACTTGAAGAATAATTTAACAGTATACATTTTAAATTTAAAACTATGGTATTAGCCTATATCAGCTCTAAGTGAATTCTTGCCTGATGCAAGATGTGATTCCTGCACAGCCACAGAGGGGTATTTTTAATTAATTTAGGCTCAATAAACTAAAGAAGCTTTTGGAAAATTTGAACACAACTGAGAAAGCAACCCACATCAGTTTCCGTAGGTACTCACAAAGCTGGGTGGTGGTGTACATTGGTTATATTATTTACAAATACAATTTTTGGGAGACTGTGGAAGGGATAACTTGAAATCTTGAAGAATGATTTAGGGCCTTGTTACCCAAAGTCTGATCCAGGGACTAGCTACATTAATAGCACTTGGGAGCTGCTGGAAATACAGGCCTCACCCCAGACCTGCTGGATCAGAACCTGCATTTTAACAAGATCCCCAGGTGATTCACATGCATAGCAGGTTTAAGATACTGATTTAGAGTACCTTTCTGAAAACAAGGGTTTCAGTTAGGTAACTTTCACATAGCCTTTGCCTTATCTAATTAACAAGTGTTCCAAAACCAGGATTATTAGAATAAATAGGTTGTTGAGAATAGCAATTAAGACTAGCCTTAAAAAAAGGTAGTATAGAAAGGCCTTGAGACCTGCATTAATGATAATATAGCTTATAATTAGCTTATCAATTAAATATGCATGGCTGTATCTAAAGGGCTTGAAAACTGTTTTTAAGGTTTTTCTTTTCTATCTTGATTTTATATTTAGGAAAACCCAGGTAAACTCACAAATAGAGGAACATTTTTTTAAGCAGGAAAATATGTAACAATTTTTGGGCCAAATGCTTAAGAAGTGAGAATTTTGAAATGGAAACAAAAGTTGGAATCTGTCTTAGAAGTAATCTACTCCACCCCTTCTCTCCCAGCAGTTTGAGTGCTCTATTTAAAGCTAGAATTTTGAGCATGAGAACGCCACTGTGGACAACAGAGAGATTTTCTCTCTCTCTCACCTCTTCTCTTTCTCTCCTTCTATCTCCCCCTCCACCACCATCTCTCTCATCTTCTTCCCTTTGTCCCCACCCCATTGCTTTTTTCTTTCTGCTTTTCCTGTTCCCTATCCTTACGCAGGATTGTTTTACTGTTAGCCAGGTTAAGTTTAAGCTTCTTGAGGACTTTAGTACTGAAAGACAATGGCTCACTTGTAAGACCTAGTTGAAGAGTACAGATTTAGATTTGTTCAGTGTGCTGTGATCTGTAAAAAAAAAAAATCACAATGGGATTTCTACTAATGGATATGTAAATATATAATCATTCCTTTTATGCTTACATCCAGGGTTTAATTAATCCTTTGGTAATTAAGAATCCCTTCAAAGTTTGCTTGTGAGCATGTTGTTCCGACCAGCTATTAGCTCCTATACTAAAATTGGTTGCCTTGCAGACCTGTGTTATCAGTAATAAGCACCTCAAAAGTCACTCAGGAGGAAAACCGAATGGAAGACCTGAGCAGAGGGAATCTTCATTGTATACCTTTTTGTGTCTTTTGAATTGAGCCCTTTGAGTATATTAACTAATCAAATAAATAGTTAAATAAAATTTAAAGAGAAAACTTTCTAAACTTTTTCACTATGAGTGTGTGATCTCTGATGCCAGGTACTGTTTTGTGGAAGGGGAGAAAATACTAGGTTTCGGTAGCATCTTAACAAGTGATAAATGCTTTTGGCTTTATTTCTCACTGACATCTTGTACTTCTGGTGGTGTATTTCTTCTTTCTACTGACCAGCAAGTAAGTTCCAAAATACTGCTGAATATCAGGTTAGAAGAGAGCCAGTGTTTATTTCCCACCCTGCAGTCTTCAGTGTAAATATCTGAAAATGGTTATATTGGGAGAGACAAAAAGATCTTCCAAATCTCTCTTATACATCTGTTAGTCTACAAGAGCTTGCCAAAACTGTATTCTGAACTTTTACAGGATCCTGCTATAACCCAGCATACGTAGCCACCATCCAGATTTTGTTTTAAAAGTAGGTGTGGTTTAATTTATATTGAAGGAGGTTTCCCAGGAAGTTCCTGGGCCAGATTAGGTCTCCTCCTTCATCTTAAACTCCAATAGAAATACAGAAACCTCTCTGCTTTGATCTGAATATGTTTTAAGAGACAATGTTATGACTGGTGGTTACCGTTGCATTTTAAGTTATAAACAGTATGTAGCCACTTGCCAGAATTAACAAATAGGTTAGAGTTACATTACATTCTTTTGAATCTGAAATTGATATTTTATCACTTGTTTTGGCCTTTTTGCTGAAATGAGAATTTGTGGACGGTGGGGGCGCAAGAGAAAAAAATGTTGGTTCCATGTCTGTCAGGTAACTGGCAGAGTTAAATTCCTATGGCATATTTCTGGTCGCAAAAACATCACTAAATGTCTAAATAAAGACCAAAACACTTCTAACATTGAATATTGACATAAATGTGAACTGTACATATATTTAAGACAGAAACTAAGCACAAGATAATATTTACCCAGTTATTCCAGCTCAGGGTGCCAGGTGAGAACCAGCCCTGGACAGGGCACCATCCCATTGCAGGGCGCACTCACAGTCACTCATTCTGGAACCGTTTAGACTCATCAATGAACCTAGCATGCATAGCTTTGGGATGTGGGAAGAGTACGCAGAAAAAAAACAGGTGTGCATGGGGAGAAGGTGTGAACCATATAGACAGTGGCCTCAGTTGGGAGTTGATTTTTTTCCCCCCTTACCATCCTTCTAATGAAATGATGTTGAAGGAAACAGTGTTATTTGAGGAGCCATTGTACAGGACTTTAACTGGGATTTTGAAAGTTTATATCTAACACTGTCATTTTGATTAGATTAATTCAGGTTTGGTGATATGTTGCTTGCTTTTGTCTTCAGCTGTTAAGTCTTTTCATGCCCTGGTCTATGACAAACATGGACCTGTTTTCTGTCACTATCATTTTGCTTTTACGCCCCCAACCTTTTTTTTTTTTTTTTCCGAGACAGGATCTTGCTCTGTCACCCAGGCTGGAGTGCAATGGCGCAATCTCAGCTCACTGCAACCTCCGCCTCACGGGTTCAAGCAATTCTCTTGCCTCAGCCTCCCGAGTAGCTGGGATTACAGGCGCCTGCCACCATGCCTGGCTAATTTTTTGTATTTTTAGTAGAGATGGGGTTTCACCATGTTGGCCAGGTTGGTCTCAAACTCCTGACCTCAGGTGATCCGCTCACCTCGGCCTCCCAAAGTGCTGGGATTACAGGTTTGAGCCACTGCGCCCGGCCCAACTTTTTTTTTTTTTTTTTTTTAAAGAGATGAGGACTCACTGTGTTGCACAGCCTGGTCTTGAACTCTTGGGCCCAAGTGATCCTCGCACCTCAGCGTCTCAAGTAGCTGGCACTTACAGGTGCATGCCAATGACTGGCTCATTTTGCTTTTTCTAAAAATTCATATTAATGGATGTATACAGTTGTGTCTGGCTTGTTTCAATTCGCATAATACGTTTGGGACTCATTCATGTTGTTTTCATGTAGTTTGTTCCTTTTCATTGCTTTCCATTGCATAAATTTACCACAGTTTGTTGAGCTGATGGATATTTGGGTTATTTCCAGTATTGGAGTATTTTAAGTTTCTGTAGACCTTTGAGTACAGGTCTTTGTATGAATGTATGCTTTTATTTTCTTGCATAAATACACACAGTAGAATTTTGGGGTTGTATGATAAAGTACAGCAGCTGTATGCTTAACTTTATAAGAAACTGCCAAACTGTTTTCCAGAGTGGCCGTACTGTTTTACAAATTCCCATCAGTAGTACATGAGCGTTCCAGTTGCTCCATATCCTTGCCAACACCTGGTGTTGTCAGTCTTTAAAAAATTTTGGTCATTCCACTGAGTGTGGAATGTAGTTTTAATTTGTATTTTTAATTTTAATTTGTAGTTTTAATTTTCATTTCCTTTTGGTTTGTGGATTTGTACTTTGTGGCATTTATGCTAAAAGTACCAAGGAGGAAGAAAGTTGTTTTTTTCTTCAGATTGTTATCATCTTGGTTTGTAACTTGTATGTTCTCAGAACATTATTTGATTCTCCACAATCAGTAGCACAATTAATTTTATATTAATTGGTTTTGTAGTTGTCCAGAACTCTATTACACTTAAAACGTGATCAAATACTATAAATTATTATATCATTTATGATCACACCTGATCAATTAAGAGGATTCGGGGAAGGTAAAACTTCATGTAAATCTTTGGAAAATGGTTTTAACCTGTTTCTCAGCTAATTAAAGAATACGTAGCTATATTTCTTGTCATTCTTTTTTTGGAAACTATAATATGAAAGTTCAAAATATAAAAAAGATACTTAAAATTAGACATTTGATAGTTGGGATATGTTATAGTACTTTGAAACAAATTCTGTAATAGTATTCAGAATTGAGATGTTTAGCACACACTGCGTCAGTTATGTTAAATGGTGGGGATGGGGTGTGGCAGGCAGTAGTGGAATGTAGAATGCTGCTGTATGCTGTGTAATGTAAGCATCTCCGTTCCTAGTGGAGAAGTTGCGTCGTGTTCTCAAGAAGCACAGAGGGAGACATTTGGTAAAGTACCAAGTAGTTGAATGAAATACAGTACATAGCAGATAAATTTTGTATATACTAACAAATCAGTAGCTATATTTGATATCCTGGGTAGCCGTATTTGATATCCAAACTATTAACACTTCATTACCCTGAAGAGCTTCCTCCTTTCTTTTTGATAGTATTTTTTTTTTTTTTTTTTTGAGTCGGAGTCGTGCACTGTCACCCAGGCTGGAGTGCAGTGGCGCGATCTTGGCTCACTGCAACCTCCGCCTCCCGGGTTCAAGGGATTCTTCTGCCTCAGCTTCCCGAGTAGCTGGGACTACAGGTGCGTGCCACCACGCCTGGCTAATTTTTGTGTTTTTAGTAGAGACTGGGCTTCACCATATTGGTCAGGCTGATCTTGAACTCCTGACCTCGTGATCCAGCCGCCTCGGCCTTCCAAAGTGCTGCAATTACAGGTGTGAGCCACCATGCCTGGCTGATAGTAATTTTTAATCTTTATGTGATGAGGTGTGCAGGTCCAGAAATCGTAACATGAATGGCAGTTAAAGGCCTTTGAGAAAGTAGGGGAGGGTGATGGATGCATCAGCCTCGGCCACCCTCTAGTGGCTGCTCTGACCATATTGCAACTTCAGTTGATCCTCTTAAGTGTACATCAGGAGGGGGAATGGCTGAGGGGCTTGTTGTTTTTTATACAAAATTCTTTTTTGTATTATAAAACATCTGGAGTAATCTAGAGGAATAACTTCAGTAAGGAGTTACCTTAAATATCAACATTGGTTATTTGGGTACTAGGATTATGGATGATTTTATTTTCATAATTATACTTGAGTGTATTTTCTAAATTTTACGTAGTCAACTTTTTGTTCTAAGTCAGAGAAACAGAAAGGAAGACTCACTGATCACCTCTGTGTGCCAGACACTGTTATATATATCATTCCTAATTCCTAATACACGAATTTGAGTTACATTGATTAGTATATACAAAATTTATGTCCTGTATTTTCAACTTCACTTGGGGCTTTAATGGAACACTATCATTCGCTAACATTTTTGTGGCACAGACTTCTTGCTGATGTTGTTTACCAGAGTGTCCTTTGATTCTACTTCAGTCTTGCCTAGTAAAGTCATCTTTCTCCCTTAATGAATATCTCACCTTCTTTCGGGACCACTCACCAGTCTGTGAACCTTCAAAACAAATACATTCCATGTTCTTATTCATGTTGACATATGTTTGATATAGTACATACTGCCGTCTGTTGTAGTTATTTGTGTGTATTGCCTATTTCCTAGCTTTGCATCCTACAGCCCCAGAACAACACATAGAAAGCACACAGTATTTGCCTAAAACCATATATTGGAAGCTTCTACCTGCCTCAGTTTGTGATGTAATGGTATTTGACTTATTTTAATCAGTTGCTTGGCATTGTAGCACATTTTCCTAGAACCAGTATTTCAAATGGTGTGTAGGTGCCTAAGCCCTGAAATACTGGTTTTAAAACTTAGCCACACATTTAAAAACTGGAGAGTTAAAAAAAAAACAAAAAAAACCTCCAATGTCCAGGTTACACCTCATACACGTGGAATCAAAGTATTTGGAATGGAAGCCAGGTATCAGTATTTTTAAAAAAGACACCCCATGTTATTTGGATGTTCAGCAAAAGTTAATGAACCACTACCCTATTTAATCTATACTGCATGGGTACTAAAGTTAAACTCCTGACATTTAAAGTTTTGCTTTTGGGGAAAATACTTTTCTCAAGCCAGATGCAAGAGGTTTTGATGGCATAAGACCTACAGATAACTAACAGGCTTATTTAAGCCCAGGTATTTATTGTTAAAGGAGGTATTTGTCCAACTTACTCTCAAATAGTTCCCAAAAAATGTTTGCAAGGGGAGAGAGAGAGAATGAGAATGGTAAAGCAAATGGGGGCAAAATGTAAACGGTTGCTGAATTCTATAAAGGCTGTATGGGATTGACTAATATTAGTCGTGCAACTTTTTTGTAAGTTTGTAAAACTTTTTAAAAGTTTTGTTAAAAAGAGAGAGAGAATTTGTTAACACAGATAAATCACTAATTGGTGAAATAGTAGAGATTTTTGTTTGTAATTTTACTTTATTATTATTATTATTATTTTTTTTTTTTTGAGATGGAGTTTCACTCTTGTCGCCTAGGCTGGAGTGCCGTGGCGCGATCTTGGCTCACTGCAACCTCCACCTCCCTGGTTTAAGCGATTCTCCCGCCTCAGCCTCCCGAGTAGCTGGGATTACAGGCACCTGCCACCATGCCCAGCTAATTTTTGTATTTTTAGTAGAGACGGGGTTTTGTCATATGAGTCAGGCTGGTCTTGAACTCCTGACCTCAGGTGATCTACCCGCCTCAGCCTCCCAAAGTGCTGGGATTACAGGCGTGAGCCACCATGGCCAGCCCTAGATTTTTGTTTTTAATTTTTAAAAATATTGGAGTGCACAGAGTATATCTGGCTTCAATCATCTCTTTTCATTCATGTTGCTGTTTGACTGAAATCCTCTTTCTCCTGGCGGATGGGATTGGCGGGTGGTCCTATTTTCTAAAGGGAGGAGGCATTTCCTATTTAATCTTGAGGATACAGGGAAGATGGTATAGAGTTAAGCATCAACCCACTTCTCTGTCTCTTCTTTTTGCCTCTTCTTTCTGCTTCATTGGCACAAAATACTGTTTCCATTAAGATGCTTAAAAGTGATGCAGGTGCAGTTCTGCAAATTTAGAAAATAATCATTCGTTGGAAGATACGTTAGATCGTTTAATTTTAACCTCCTGCTTTTTACCAATATGATGACTAAACCAAGACTGGTAGATGTAACCTTATACTTTATTTAAGGTCTACAAGGAGGAGGAGTATATATTTTACTGTTTCTCTTGTTATCTAGAATTTAACATGGGATATTTACCTTTAGGGAAATCTTTTATATTATAACTCTGCCCTGGATGCTTAGTTAGTTAACTGTGCTTTTGTAGTTTCTTTAAGGATTGTGGCTAGTAATTATGAAAATATACTAAATCTCATTACTAATCAGAGAAATGCAAATTAAAACAAAAATGAGGTAATTTCACACCATTTTATTGGCAAAAATTAAAATGTCTGGCACTGCCAAATGTTAATGAGGATGTGTGGGCTCTGCTATTGGTGGGTGTAAGAATTGAATACTGCCTTCATGAACAGTTTGGCAATATTTGATAAAGGAGGCATTCCTTTTGGCCTGACATTTCTAAGTCTGTATTCTGGAAATGCTTGTTCAAAGGAGTCAGGTACAAGAGTATTCATCATAGCAGTGTTTATGTTAATGGAAAACTTAGAAACAAGCCAACTCTCCAGCAGCAAGTGAATAGATTAATTGTGGTTTGTTCATACCCTAGAACACTATGCAGCTATTAGCAAGGAATACATCTCAAAAACATGGTTGAATTAAAAAACAAGTTTCTGAATGATGTGTATGTATGACACCATTATATAAAGTTGGGCAACTTGCAAAATCTTGTGTTTGTGGATACTTATTTGTAGAAATAGTATTAAAACATGCATTGGAATGCAAACCCTGAACCAAATTTAGGATAGCAGTTACTTCTAGGAAACAGAGAAGGGTATAGGATTTGAGGAGTACACACAGATTTTCAACTTGACCTGTGGTGTTTTCTTTCTTATTAAAACTCTGAAGCAAATATAGTGAAATGTTAAGATTAGACAAAGCTAGCTAGTGGGTGCAGTTGTTGTGTTATTCTCTGTAACTTTCTGTATATTTATAAAATACATGATTAGATACATTGAGGGTAGTATGTTTATAATGGGCCATACATTCAGTCACCAGTGGTAACATAGAACAGCAGACTGTGTCTTGCAGATGAGACCTAAGACAGTAGTTCCTTAGACAGTAGTTCAGAACTTAGGTTTTGGAGTCAAATATACCTGGATTAAATTACAGCTTATCCACTTGTTAGCCATCTGACTTTGGGCTTTAGTGTGCACATCTATGAAGTAACAATCAAACTTACCTCTTAGAGGTGGGTTGTGAGATTTTAAAAAAGTATGCTTCAAGTAATACCCACTCAATATATGATAGCTTCATTTAGCCTTTAACCACCTAGATTAAATAATTCTTGTTTCAAAGAACCATACTTCAGAGAACCATGGGACGATATGTTACAAATACAATATCGCTTCTTTTCTGTATGACTGGCATAATTAAAAGTTTCTAAAAGGCAAGTCCATGCCAGAACTTAAGAGAACACACTGGAGTTATATTCTGTACTGAGTTCCACCTACAAACTTAATTATGAAAGATGGTTGAGGTTAACTTTGTTATTGTGCTTTCCTCCTGGATAAGCTTGCTTTTTAAAAGGAAAAAGCTCCTTTAAAAATAGGTTCAGTTAAACTTACAATTTTGCAGCAACCTCAAATCCTCACTCTTAATGGATTTGTCCAGTGAAAATGGTAAACAAGAACACATACATGGTATGTAAAGGTAGATATAGGTACAACAAATGAAAGTATATTTTCCTGGACTGGAAAAATTCCTTTTTGCAAAGGTTATGTTTTTGTTGATCCTTTTCTTGATTTTCAGTGCAGAATTACTGTTAATATATTTTAATTGACCTTTGAGAGCTGTCTTAGGGATCTCTAGAAATATTATTAAATATATTCATAAGCCAGGCTCAGATATTCATAATCCATAGCGAGGAAAACTCTTCCTTACTATGTGTCAGAAAGAGAAGAAGGTAGATGACCTCTCTCCCCCAAATGTCTTGAACTTCCCTTTTCTAACCTGGCATTGCTTGCTTGCCTTCTGACCAAATTCATCACATTGGGAAGTGGAAGTATACATTGCTATCTGATGAGATTTCATTTTAAAAGTTCTCCCCAGTGAAAGCATTATAGGCACTTCAGAGTTGTGGGTGTTTGGCAGGTGTCTACAGCCAAGGAGAGTGAGGGAAAAGTGTTTCAAGCCCAGCTGTGTGGTAGAAATGGAGCATCTTCATCCAGCATCTCCCAGTGAATTGATCATGTGTGGAAACACCAGTCCAAAAGGTAACTCACAGCTTATGGAGGGACCAGAAGCTTTGGAATAAAGCACAGGAGAAGGAACCCATGTGAGGAAGTTGGGCAGGAGCTGTTTGGCGTTACAGTTAGAAGCATTGCCTTTCCATTCCACGATGACTTCAACTGGTATTTGAAGCTAGTTATTAGTGTGCCCAGTGAGCCATGCATTTCTGAGGTATCTCAGTGTTTTTAAAATAAAGTCTGAAATCTTGATCTGCTTAGTTCCACCAAACCCTGTTCAAATTTTCTGAAGGCACTTTAGCAGAGCTTGTCTTTTCATTTTGTGAATACTAAACTGTAAACAATGTTCTTAAAGCGGTAAAGGGAATATACATTTTTAGAATTTCTATATTTGATACTTGAAAAGTTGGGATAGAGGAGAGACCTGGTGTTTGTGTCTCACTGGAGAGGGAAACTCCTGCTCCCATTAAAAAAAAAAAGAATCATATATTTCTAGATGTATATTTCAGTCTTCCGGGAAACTCCCTTTACAGTTTACCTTCCTAGGCAATGATACAGACCTGTTTGTTTTATGGAAATGAGTGTTAACTATATTTTCTCAAACTACAGAAAATAATATTCATGTTATTCGTGTCAGCATTCTTGATCTCTGGTTTTGGGTATTGTCCCCTCCCCCAAGTCTTATCTCATTCTCAAAAGTATGCCTTTTCCTAGGTTCCCAGAAAACTACTTATAATTTGCCCTTCCCTCCTTTTTGCGGACTTTGAGGATCAGCTCCCTTTTGCAGTTGTTGGTGGACTAAAATGACATTATACTATCACAGTTGAGGTGCCAGTTATCTTAATATAATATGAGTTTAGCATGTTTATATGTGGCTTTTGGAATAAGATGGGTCAGGTAATATCACCTGTAACCTGACTCCTATTTTTATAAAATGGTCATTAGCCTCATCATCCATAATCTTTATTATAAAAGGGGCCCACTGATACTACACATTCCTTTAGTATCTTCTCATATTAATAAATGAAGAACATTTTAGTTAGGTTTGCATTTTGAAATGAAATACAAAGAACCTAAAACTATTGTTTTGTAATATATCACAAGTGATTACAATAAAGCCATTATCAGGTAACGTTTTCCTCTTTACATTCTATTTTCAAAACATATAACGTTTTATTTTTTTAAACATAAAAACATACTAAGTTTTTGAAGGGGAAGTACACACATTCCACAGAATTTTTAAAAGGTATAAGGGTATACGCTAAATCTCCCACCTGCTCCTGATCCCCATCCACACATTTATACTCATTTTGTTTTTCATATTTACACCTCTGCTGTGCCCTTTTCTTTCTACTCAGAATTTCTTGGAGGTCATTTCGTATCGGTACCAATGCTCATTCTTTTATTGTGGCTGTATAGTTTTACATTATACTGCCATTTATTAAACCAGTTCTCTGTTTTGGAGTATTTAGATTACCCCCTCCTAGGCTTTTACTAAAACAACTCTCCAGTTATTATTTGTGTATGTAGGGTACTTTGTACATGCAAGATTATATCTGTAAGATCAACTCTTTGATGTAGAATTGATGGGTCAAAGTGTATGTGCACTTTTCATTTTGATATTGCCAAATTGCCCTCTGTAGAGGTTGAAATAATTTACACTCCCACTGGCAGTGTTTGAGAGTCCATTCTCCTGGCAGCAGAGAAGAAACTTTTTATTTTTGCCAATCTGATAGACTTTTTTTTTTGGGACAGAGTGTCACTCTGTCACTCAGGCTGAAGTGCAGTGGCGCCATCTGGGCTCACTGCAACCTCCACCTCCTGGGTTCAAGCAATTCTGTCTCAGCCTCCCAAGTAGCTGAGATTACAGGCATCTGCCACTACGCCCAGCTGATGTTTGTATTTTTAGTAGATACAGGGTTTCACCATCTTGGTCAGGCTGGTCTTGAACTCCTGACCTCGTGATCCACCCACCTCGGCCTCCCAAAGTGCTGGGATTACAGGCATGAGGCACCACACCCGGCCTGATAGATTTGTTAAAATGATATCTTATTTTGCTTTAGTTTGTATATGTTGAGGTTGAACATTTTTAATACACTTAAAGAGTAATTCAGATTTCTGTGAATTTTGTGTTCATGCTCTTTGTCCATTTTTTCTATTAGACTTTGGGTCTTTTTTATTTGTGGGAGCCCTTTTCACATTAAGAAAATGAGTCCTTTTCTATACTGTGTGTTGCAAATATTTTCTCCAACAATTTGTCATTTGATCATGTATGGCATATGTTGAAATACAGAAAGTTTTTATTTTTACGTAGTCAAATATATTAGTCTTTACTTTTATGGCTTCTGGGGTTTTTTTGGGTCATTCTGAAGGTTGTCCCTTAGAAAAATTTATGTTTTCTTTAAATGCTTCTTCGGTTTGCTTTTTATAGTTAACTAGGCTTATGTTTTTGATGAAAGACATCTTAAACATTAATATCAAAACACCATTTTGTGTTTGTTTTTTGAGATGGAGTCTCACTCTGTTGCCCAGGCTGTAGTACAGTGTGGCACGATCTCGGCTCACTGCAACCTCTGCCTCCTGGGTTCAAGTCATTTTCCTGCCTCGGCCTCCCAAGTAGCTGGGATTACCGGCACATGCCACCACACCCAGCTAATTTTTGTATTTTTAGTAGAGACGGTTTCAGTATGGTGGCCAGGCTGGTCTCAAACTCCTGGCCTCAAGTTATCTGCCCGCCTTCGTCTTCCAAAGTGCTGGGATTACAGGCGTGAGCCACCACACCCAGCCTCAAAACACTATTTTGGCCTTCTCATAATGCCTTTGCTGTTTAACTGCAGGATGGGCCTGCATGGCATAGACTGTAGATCCAGGCACATGGGCAAATCATAGCTTTGTTACCTAACTGCTGTGTGAGATAGACAGATTAATGTATCTAACTTTGTTTTCTCATATGTAAAATGAGAATAATTATACCTGCCTCCAGAGTAGTTACGAGAATTGGAAGATAATGTATATATTAATTATATTCTTAAAGCACAGTGTTATAATTTATAATCCAACACACATTAGTTTTCTTCCTTCATCTGACTTAAACATCATAGTGATCGGAAAGATAATTAAAAATTTTTTTTTAAGTAGAATCACTTGGTGGTTAAAAAAAAAAACATGTTTCAAATTATCTCAAAAAAATACTGTGCTTTAGTAATACTTTTGTATTAACAAACAAGTCTCCAACATAACTCTATCCCTCTATTTATTGCATTATTTATAAATAAATGGTAGCATTTGCTTTCCAAAGAGGAGACAACTGCTGGCTTTTGTGTTAAAGCAAGACAACTATGTAATGGCATGTGGATAAAAAATATTTTTAAAATTCTTCCTCCTTAAAGGGAAGTTTAGGAAAATACATCTCCTTATTTTGCCTCTCTCCCCATTACACAGCCTGATATTGTCCAGATTGCTGTGGATCTTCTCACCAAATGAGTTTTGTATCTCTAAGTTAATTTTCTGCCAGAATCACTTCAGGCTGATGACCGTGGTGTTTGTGTATCCATTAAGCACACTGCCAGGATATGTCCACTACTTTCCACCTCTCGTATTAAACAGCTGTCAGCAGGTTTACATAGCTACTCTCTTGCTCTGCATTAAGTGTAGGGAGCCAAAGGATGCTATGTAAAATGGTCTATAAAGGAGTTACATAGAGCTGGCTTAGAAATCACAGAAGATAAATTCTGTCATCAGCTGGGTCAAATTTATTAGTGTTTTATACTTATATGAACAGAAAATATATGAAAGGAAATACATTTTAAAAATTCTGTTTCTTGGTTAACCTTTTCCTTTCTTCATTTAACAACCTCCAACTAGTAAAATTCAACAATTCAGAAAAAGCACATATTGGAGGAGTCTTGGGTAAGAAGCTCTCATTAAAGTTGTATATAGCACCCTGCTGAGCTTTACAATTGGTTTTGAAATGAAAATCTGTTAGATTAGAGCAAACATTATCCCAGCTGCCGCGATAAGTAATGTGGAGAAGATTAATGATTTGTCTATGAAAGCCAGTGAGCATTAAAGTCTGCTACTGTGCCCTTTTTAAAAGGTGCAGGTGAGAGAAGAGGTAGGAAAGAAGGGAGGACTATGCTATTCATAGCTACATGTTTATCTTCTTCATATGAGTTAGTGATTCCCTAGCTTTTTTTTCCCTTGATAAAACCAAGGAAGCTTTAAATTTCAATGATACCCCCAGGACTAGAATTTTTCATTGACTAGGGAAAGTAAGGTGGAACCGGAGGAAAAAAACACTGCTCTTATGTAACATTGAAGGTTCTCCCTTCTTCCAATCAGCAACGAAATTTTCTTCCTCTTTTCATGGAATTAATTGCAGTACCATAATCTGTCTTCTTGTGGTAAATGTCTGAAGATATATGGGTGAAAATTAGTGATGGTAGAGTTAATACTTTTCCTCTTCACCCATTGCATGCATCATTGAAGGTAAAATAGAGCAGGGCTGCTGTTATATAACCTTAGATTTCCTGGCTTGGTAGGGCTGTCCAAGACAATTCCTGCTTTCCCCATTCAGCAAGTGCCCCTGTTTTCTGAGACCTTCAGTGTGAGGCAGGGAGAGTGGCACCAGCACCACTGTGTGAAAATAGTGCCCTGACAGAGAAAGAATGGCTTAGATGAGTATTTAGGAGACCATCAATACTTAAATATAGGTTTATATATCATAGCAGACTTACAGTTTTATTAGCACAAACCTAATCTTGTGATTTGGAAATCAAGTCTGGTATTGGAACCAAAGTTGATTTTTATTGTTGTCTTTTTGAATTTTGGTATCCTGTAAACTCTTGCCATTCAAAATGTGCTCCTTATCACCTGAGAGCTTGTAAGAAATGCAGAATCTCAGGTCCTGCCCCATGCATTCCAAATACTAAATCAGAATCTGTATTTTAACAAGACTACAAGTTATTTGAATGCACATTAAAATTTGAGAAGCTCCGATATAAACCATGGCCTGCTTTTCTAAAATCAGCATCTATTATACTTTTCCTCTTTTCCAAAGTAGGCAAGAAGGCTTTAAAAATAAAAAAGGAAAGAAAATGCTTTTTGTTTCACCAACAGGAAGCCTGATCATGATTTTAATGTCATAGCAGTGCCATGTTTTTTGATGCTGTTTGTGCATCTTCCTGGAGACACTGTTTTAAAATGCAGCTATTTCTTCTTAATCCTTGCAACAGAAATAAGTCAGCTCTTTGCTGGTCTTTTAATAACAACAGCCACCATTTATTAAGAGTTTGCTGTGTACCACACGCTATACAAAGTTTATACAGTGCTCTAATCCTTAAAATACCGTCCTCTTCCCACTCCATTTTTCAAATGAGGAAATAGGCCCAAATAATTTTAATGTGACTTGCTTAGGTCATGTAGCTCCTAAGTATTAATGGGGTACAGACTTGATTTTGTTTGAGTCTAAAGACTTTAACCTTGCTTTTCTATCCCTTTACCATTTGGTCAGAATTTATCTAAGAGCAGATAGGTAAATTGTGTAATTTCTACTAACTTGTAATATGTACTTAACTTTAGGATTACCATTATTTTGATCCTGCAGGGCACAGCACAACTTGATTGGAACAGCCTTGGGCTGGAGTAAGGACTCTTAGTATAGTTCAGCCACTAGCTGTCTTGATGACTGTTTTGTTTTCTTTCCTTTTTCTCTTGTAAAGGCAAGGAACGGGTATGTGTGTTGGGAGTGGTTAGCTTTAAGGACAAAGAATGCATATTCTTTGAAAATAAGTAAAATCAAAGTTGCTACTAGAATGTACTATTCTTTGTGAATTCATCAATTTGTAAAAATTACTGGGAGAAAAAGCGTTTGGTAATACCTTTCAATACACTCTAACCATGAATCTATAAGGCTACAAGGAGCTTTCAGAAGAAAGCTAGCCAGACACTGAATCAAGGAGGGTTTTATCCTTCCGATAGGTTTTTATTCACAAAACCTCTCTAGAGAAGGAGCTATGCATGTGTGTGTAATATGTATTTTAAGGTAGACATTACCCCTTTTCATTGAAGACAGTTGATGTGATTGAAGTATTATTCCCAACAGCTTAGCATGAGACATTTAATAACATTTTAAGACATTTCAATAACAACATGGAAGTTTTATATTTTAAAAAGATTTGAGAGATCAAAAAATGATAAGTATATGAAGTAATGCATATGTTAATTAGCTTGATTTAGCCATTCCACAATGTGTATATATTTTGAAACAACATGTTGTGTATGACTATGTAATTTTTATTGGTCAACTTAAATAAGATTTGAAAGTTTTAGAATCTAGAATGTCCTGCCTCTAAGCTACCTGTAATCTGACTTTTTGGCATAGGCAAGGAAGAAACTTTTCATTTTGGCATGAGGAAAATATTCAAATGTAAGAGCAGTTTCATACACCTATAGACAAATGTCTTTTACTTGTCTGGAAAAATCCAGAACAATTCAAGAAGAAGAAATAGCTTTTACAAAAAAGTGATGTATAATAATTTAAGTGGTATTTCCGCTTCCTTACTCAGTTTAGTCTCTGATACGTCCTATCACTGTCTAAATTACTCCATTATTAGGGGAAAAGGCCAATTTTTAAAAGCAGGTTGGGTGCAGTGGTATGTGTATGTAGTCCCAGCTACTCGGGAGGCTGAGGCAGGAGGCTTGGTTGAGCCCAGGAGGTCAAAGCTGTAGGGCACTAAGATTGAGCCTGTGAATAACCACTGCACACCAACCTGAACAAAACAGTGAGATACCGTCTCTTTAAATCAAACAAACGAGACGAAACCAGGTTACTACTATTGACCAACTGTAGAAATCACTGGGTTCAGTATTCCTTTCTTTAAAAATGTATGATTCAACCCAGCAGTTCCAATACTAGTTATTGAAAATTCAAAACAGGTGTATAAAAAAGTACATATATGGCCAGGTGTGGGGGCTCACGTCTGTAATCCCAGTACTTTGGGAGGCCGAGGCGGGCAGATCATGAGGTCAGGAGATCAAGACCATCCTGGCTAACATGGTGAAACTGTCTCTACTAAAAAATACAAAGAATTAGCCAGGCTTAGTGGCTGGGTGCCTATAGTCCCAGCTACTTGGGAGGCCGAGGCAGGAGAATGGCATGAACCCGGGAGGTGGAGCTTGCAGTGAGCTGAGATGTGCCACTGCACTCCAGGCTGGGCGACAGAGCGAGACTCCGTCTCAAAAAAAAAAAAAAAAAGTACCTAAACGTGCATGTTTGTTGCAGCACTATTCACAATAGCCAGTAGGTGGCAGGCAGCAGCCTATTTCTTCCATTGGATGAATGATTAAATAAATGGTGGTATATCCATACAGTGGAATATTACTCTGCCATGAAAAGGTATGAAGTACAGATGATACATGCTACAACATGGACAAACCTCAAAAACATTTATGTCAAGTAAAAGAAACCAGACACAAGAGGTCACATATTATATGATTCTATTTGTATGAAATATGCAGAATAGGTAAGTCTGTAGAGGTAGACTCAGATTGGTGGTTACCAGGGGCAATAGGAGAGGGAATGGGGAGCAATTGCTTAATGAGTATGGGGATTCCTTTTGGGTTGATGAAAATGTTTTGGAACTAGAGAGAGGCAATGGTCAAACAAAGTTGTAAATGCACTAAATGCCACTGAGTTATTCACTTTAAAATGGTTTATTTTATGTTCTGTGAATTTCACTAAAGTAGAAAATACATATGTATTGTTCATTATTTCTCCTTTGGTTAAATCCTTTAATATATCTGGTATCCATTCACATGTCACATGATCATTCTGAGAGCTACTCTTCTCAGATTTCACATGTCTAGTAGATGTTAATATTGGATCCATTCATTACATTCCTTTGTTTTAGAAATATGTTTCCATTTTCTGACTCAGGGCTTAAGCTGCTGTAAAAATGGCAACATTAAAAATTCATTTTTCCTATAGGAATTCACAAGTCACATACTCTTATTAAGGGACATTACTCAGGAGAGACAAAGGTCTTTTTTTAGTCACATCAATACTTTTTCATAATTACTGGTGGTACTTTCACCTCTTAATTAGAAGTGGTGGTTTGTTTTTATCCCCCCTTTTTTAGGAGGCACAATATCCAAGTAATTTAAGTGGTATTTAAATGGTATGGAAGAAAAGATAATTTCTCTGAATTTTTATTTTTTTGAAACTTGTATTAACATCAGAGTCATTACTACAAAAAGTATACATGAAGATATTGAATCTTGTGAACTCCTTTTTTTTTGGTCTGTTTTGTTCTTAGTGAAATAGTTATGCTGAATTAGTGGTATTTATTACTATAAAACATTAGCCTTTAAACAGAAGACTAGTTTGGCAAATAGCTTGCTTACTCATCTTTTGGCCAGTCTCATTCATCCATACAGGGAATATTATTCAGAGATATAAAAGAATGAAGCACTGATACATGCCACAACATAGATGAATTTTGAAAACTTTCATGCTGTGTAAAAGGAGCCAGTCATGAAAGACTGTATGTTGTATGATTTCACTTATATGAAATGTCCAAAATAGGCAGATCTACAGGGACAGAAAGTAGATTGTTTTGCTTAGAGCTGCCGGTGGGAGTTGTCTGGAAAGTCGGAAGGGAATGAGTGGTCCTTGCTAAAGGGTACAGGGTTTCTTTCTGGGGTGATGAAAACAATCTAAAATTGGTTGTGATGCTTGCACAACTCTGTGAATATACTCTGCCTAAAACTATTGAACTATTGAATTGTACACCTTAGGTGAGTTTTATAATATGTAAATTGTATCTCAATAAAGCTGTTACAAAAATAACCTATTACTTAAAATATAAATTATTGACAAATTCTTTATCAGATCCATTTCTAAACCAAGTTCTTCAGCAAACCTCTTAATGTCTCTGTCCCCTAAATACACTTACATCCAGTTTATACTGGATCATTTTTATACTTGATATATTGTTTTATGACTTTTCTTCATAAATCCTGTTTCTCTAGTCCCAAGGTCCAGAACTACTCCTTCTTTTGCCGTCTGTTTTAGCACTGTGATCAGGAAAACACTAACTATATAAGGTCTCAGAGGATGATTACTTAGCCTTGACATTCTACATTACATTATGGATTCTGCTAGCATTTATTATTTGTATTACTTTAGGATTTTTTTTTTTTTTTTTTTTTTTTTTGAGACAAGAGTCTCACTCTGTCACCCAGGCTGGAGTGAAGTGGCAGGATTTCAGCTCACTGCAACCTCTGCCTCCAGGTTCAAGTGATTCTCGTGCCTCAGCCTCCCAAGTAGCTGGGTCTACAGGTGTGCACCCCCATGCCCCACTAATTTTTTGTATTTTTAGTGGAGATGGGGCTTCACCATGTTGCCCAGGCTGATCCTGAACTTCTGAGCTCAGGCAGTCCGCCCACCTTGGCCTCCCAAAGTGCTAGGATTACAGGCGTGAGCTACCACGCCCGGCCAATCCAATTTTAGGATCTTATGTGGTAGATATTATGGCTCTTTGCATTTTAATAACCAGAGAGAGAGAGAGAGAGAGAGAGTGTAATTTAATACTAGGTATCTCCCTCAAGGTTTGGGACACTATTTGGGAAGCAAATTTAGTTTTATTTCCTGCCTGCACATTAGCTAATTTACTCTTTACAGATGAAATTCCAGGTCTAAGTTTTTGAATCAATTAGTGTTTACTAAGTAAGGAATAGATTTACTGACTTTTTTTGGTGGGGGGAGGGCGGAACTAAGTAAATTCCTATTCCGTTCCCTAAATATTTTCCCCAGTCCACGAAGAGAGGTCTTCAAGAGCCTACAGGGCTCTAAGGACACAGGTTCTAGTGATGGATAGTGAACAGTTAGCTCCAAGTGAAATGATGTTGTCTTGGGGTTACAAACATGTTTGTCTCTCAAAATGAGGAATAGTTACGAGAGTAGATGATAGTGATTTTCTTGCGTGACATCCTACCTCTTGCTTTTTAAAATATTTCTCCCAAATATGAATTTGGCAAGTGCCTTTTAAATGCCTTATTGTCAACAAATAGTCTCATTCAGTACATGTTCAGAAACCGCATGGTGGATTTATGGAATCTTTAAGGTCCTTCTCAAAAGAACCAAAGAGCTTTGACTAGCCTATCGAGATAACCTTTTTTCTAAGGTTACCTTTTCCTTTTGTAGGTATATTTTAGTCTACAACTTGCCTTTCTAAAGGCATCTTTTTTATAATAGAGCATTTGTAATAGAATATATTGTTTAGCTGCCTTGGAATTAAGTCTATAAAATATCAATGAATGTACTAAGGCTTGAAAAACCCAGTGGTATATGTGTGTAACTTATCTAGCTTTCAGAAGCTCAGAGAGAGTAGCAAGGAATCAAAGCAAAATTTTGAAGAAAAACTGTTCTTCATGGCTGGCTGCCTCGGTAGGTATAAAATATTAATATTTGTGCAAAAGGCGGATGCTCTCAGCAGAGGCTTTGAAACCAATCTGGATGTCTTAGGCAGATGGGAGGTATGGTTGGGTAAGTGGAAGACTGACTCAGCAGAATGTCTCAGGGAGCCTGCAACTACAGTTTGGGTAGGAACACAACTAATTTCATTTGAGCACAAGTGCTCCTGAAGCTCATGACTGCCCTGCTATGGAGCCTTTCTTTTGTTTCTCTGTAATTTGTGCAGGGACTGAGAAGACATTGCTTTTTCTGAGGCTGGGCTTAAAGGTGGTTAGCCGGCATTCCCCAGGGCATTGTTTGCTCTTGTCAAGTTGTCTGCTCTGTTTAAGAGAGCACATTTGCTACAAGAATATTTGGAATTTGTCTTCAGTTTCTTATATCATGGATGGTTCATAAGTCTCCCTTCAGCCAGTATCCTAGAATGACAATCAGTTCCAAGAACAGGCTAAAGCACTTCCTTCCTTTTCTCTGTTCTGTAGTTTGTGCCTCATATTGAAATTTAGTTTTAAGAGTACTCATGTTATGTGGCATACTTGTACAAGACAGTGATGTATATGAGTTAGAAAACAAGTCTCTAGCTTGCATTGTTAATTTTGAGTAGGGTTTATAGGACCTATATGTTAGTGTAGTAGATATATTATTAAGAGAATTTTAGATACACATTACACCAAATTTTCTGTGTTGTATTACAGTTTTTAGAAATACTCTATTCCCCTCACATTATCTTTTTTTTTTTAAGTGTCTTATCACAACCTTGGTAAATTACAAATTTGAATGTATAGTGGTCTATATTCCATGCTTGCTTGTATTTATTGTCTAGTCAAGATGTCCTTGTTTTGAATTAATTTTCTCAGGCAACTGCTGATCTGCTTGATTAGATCCAGGGGTAGTGTCCCATTGCGACTAAAGTCTGCCTGACCTAGGGTACTATTGTAGTAAAGAATCCACTTAACTCTCCTTTGCAGTGTAGCAACAAAATAAGCTCAAAATTAATGTGCCAGTGAGTAAATTCCAAGTTGTAGCTCTTTACCTTGGCTTGAAGTGATTCTGTGGGGTCTTGGTGTGGCTTCTGGTTATCATGGATACATTTCCTGTATTCTATGTAGAATTCTATTACAGAGTATAGCTAGGTGACTTGGCTTTTTCCTTTCTTTGTGAAGCAAGGCATGGTGCAGAATAGTCCATTCCAAATCAAGCTCTATTTTTTGCTTGTAAGAAATTGTTTTAATGACTTCTGATTAAATGTGTTTTCAGTGAGGTTGACCTTGTCTCTCATTACAGAATCATGTCTTTCTCGACTGTCTTGATTGAACTTTACATAATAACCGGTGGAAGAAAAATAAGTTAGTAGAACCCAAATATTCAGTCTTGGGCATGCACAGCTATTTTAGTTTTATCTGAACTCTCTTACCTTGATAAAATGAAAGTTTGTAGAAAAGCCATTTAAAAGTCCATCAAGCTTCTTTACTCATCTTATTTAAATAGTACAGCTTATAAAACACTTTTGAAATGTCTCCATCAGGCCATATCTACAAACGAGTACGGGTGGGTGGCCCTTCTTTCTGACTGCTGATCTCAGGGTAACCAGAATAAATTGATTATACAAATTTTCAGCCTTTGGATTTCAGGAAGAATAGCTATTCTGATTTTCGTTTTATGTTTTGACTTTATTTCTACTAAATCAGTTTCTGTATTACTAAATACCAGCAAGCAAAGCATTTTTTAAAAGTTGGGTAATGAAATGTCTTCCTTGTGATTTCTTTTCTTTCTCTTAAGTATTCATTTGGATCTCTCTAACACCAGTGAAACAGCACAGCATTTATGGTTGTAATTGGCATAATCTCAGGCAATGACTAAAGTATGGACACATAGCCAAAACATATAAAGAATACCTACATATTAATTGAAGAGACATTCCCCCTCAAAAACCTTATAGATAAATAGGCAAAAATTTGGGTACTTTAAAAAGGAGAGATATTCATAAACACATGAAAAATATGTGTAACCTTTAGTCATCAGGGAAATACAAAGAAAATATGAAGCGTTGGTGAGGATGTGAAGTAACGGCAATCCTCATGCATTTCCAGTAATCGTATAAATTATCGTCATGTATTTTATCTTTGCATATGCTTTAAACACACAAAACATTGCTACTATGTTTGTTTTAAGCTTTTACTGATTAGAGCAAATACAAATAAGAAAAACATAAAGTTTATATTTGCCTTAAATTATTCTGTATTTAGTGCTTTTCATTTCTATGTGTAGATCCATGATTCTGTCTGGTATCAAATTTATTCTGCCTTGAAGAACTTTCTTTAGCATTTCTTGTTATGTAGTTCTGCTGGATATATATATATATATATATATATATATATATATATATATATATATATATAGCCTGAGAAGGTCTTCTTTTCATGTCTAATCTATCTTTTATTTTTCTTTCCTTTTCCTTTCCTTTCCTTCCTTTTTTTCCTTTAAAATTTTTTTTGTTTTGTTTTGTAGAGACAGGGTCTCTCTATGTTGCCCAGGCTGGTCTCACACTCCTGACCTCAAGTAATCCTCCCCACTTGGCTTCCCAAAGTGTTGGGATTACAGGCATGATCTACTGCACCTGGCTGTAAATATATGCATATATTTTTACCACAGTAAGCACTGTTTTTTTCTCATTATAATTCAGTTTGGGTATTTTCTATAGCTGTATCATCAAAACATACAAAATATAGAGCAATTCACACCAGTACTTACTGTGGTAAAGCTCACCATATGGGACAACAGAGAATTGGGGAACAATCATAATATAGCTACCCCAAACTAAAGTATTCAGAGAAAAGGACACATTTCATTCCAAGAAGCAGTGATAAGACCAGCAACTGATTGTTCAACAGAAACAATGAACTCCAGAAGGCAGTAGGAAGACATCTTTAAAAGGGGAGAAAGAAAACAATTGTCAAGTTATAATGTAAGCACAAGGAAAATACCCTGCAGAAATAAAGGAAAGAAGACATTTTTATCCAAACAAAAACCAAGGGAGTCTATGACCTACAGGTCTGCATTGAAAGAAGTACAAAAAAAAAGAAAAAAACTTCATGGGGGTAAGGGGATGCCAGACAAAGTGGTAGAAGGAATGGAGAACAGAGGATGAAGTAAAATTGTTGTTTAAATGAATGTTGATTGTGAAAACTAACAATTCTAGTGTCTTCTGGAGTTGAAAATAGATGCAAAACCACAATGGATGGCAGTAACATAATGGAAAGAGGGCAATAAATGGTGCAAAAGCTTGCTAGGGTTCTAAGTTGTACCTGAGATGGGGTAAAAGTAATTTAAATAAGAATGTGATAGATCAAGGATACAACCAGTGGAAAGAGCCAACCTTTCTTAAGGTTACGTAGCCAAGATAGGACCCAGGTCTTTCTGTATCCAAGGTGCTGCTTTTTTCACTACGTAGTTTTTTGTTTCTTCTCCGTTCTTGGTGCTACTACCTGTTTGTTTGCCTCTGTATTTGGGTCCCCTCTTTTTCAAAAATACTTAGTTACTCTGTAATCACATACCTGGATTTTGCTAGAAGTTTCTTTCACCTTCTGACTCATCTCCTCAATACTTAATAAAGTTTCAGATTCATCTTCTATACTACTATTGTCATTAAGCCATTCTCCTGATCTTCAGCAGATCTATGTTTTATGCCTTAAACTTTTATCTGTGACCCCACTATGCTCAGCCATTTTCTTACTTTGCCCTTCGGGAAACAACAAACTCCCTTTAGCATGTTCAGTCCTGTCCTCAATTCATTATATACTTGCAAGCCTGTCTCAGTTATGGCATCTTTCTTTCGTGCTGGAGGAAAGTTCTCAGACTTTGGAGTCCAGTAGACTTGAGTACTTGTATCCTGACTCTATCACTTCCTAGCTTTGTGATTCTGAGCAAATTTCTTAACCTCTAGGAGCCTTAGCTTCTCCAATTGTAAATGAAGATATTAATAATTATAACCGCCTTAAAGTTTTGTTGGTTAATTGAGATAACACTTAATTGCCCAGTAGAGTACCCACGTAGCCATTTTAATACCTTTTAATGTATCTCCTTTGTTATGCATATGTAGACTCCAACTTACAGTTTCATATTCTGCCCCTCCCCCCCCGCCCCACGCTGTCCCAGGGTCTTGCTGTATCACCCAGGTCCTTGCAGTGGTGTCATCATAGCTCACTGCAGCCTCAATCTCCTGGACCCAAGTGATCTTCCCGCCTCAGCCTCCCAAGTAGCTGGGACTACAGGGGTATGGCACCATGCCCAGTTAATTTTTGGATTTTTAGTATAGATGAGGTCTGGGTCATGTTACCCAGGCTGGTCTCTAACTCCTGTGCTCAAGTGATCCTCCCTCCTCAACCTCCCAAAGTTCTGGAATTACAAGCGTGAGCCACCATGCCTGGCCTGTATGCTGCATTTTTTAATGTATTATGAGCATTTATCTATGTTACTATAAGAGTGCTAGTAATACTATTATAGATTACTGTAATATAATCAATATAATAGTTACAAGATTTATATTTTATAGCAAAGATAATATTTGAAAATGTTCTTAATGGTATAATCCTAGGCTAAAAGGACGTATTATAATTTAACTATTTTATCATTGAATATGTCAGTTGTTTGAAAGTTTCACCAATAGAAATAATTTTGTGGAGAACATTTTTGTCAAGTCTTTGAGACAGTTAAGTTGTATCAGAAATGTCATTTGAACTCTGCTCAGTGGTCATGGAGCTGTGATAGGAAGTGTCTTTAGTGTCAGAGCAGATTATAGGAAGACATGGACCTCATTACCCAAAAGAGAATAAAACTCTGAGCACCTACTTTACTTAAAATGTACTGAAGAACTCTTGGGAAAGGTAGAGGTCTAATTGTTTTCAAAGGGCATTTGATAAATATCTTCATCTCTTTATTAAAAGCTAACATTAAGAGCAGCTGGGAGGAGTTGATTATCTAATAACTGTGGAGGGGAATGGTGATCAAGCAAAGCACAAAAGAGTCCCTGAACTTTATTTAGCTGAAGTTGTGCCTGCACAGTAGATGCCATGTCTTATCTTACCATGAACGTAGAAAACTTCTTTGCTTATAATTAGCATTTCATTGATTTGAGTGGTGTGTTTGAAATTGAATTATTATTATTTATTCAAATCTAGGAACTAAAATGTAAAGATAAGTTTTGGTTTTGTGTGTATGAATGTACTATGCAGAGTCCATGTTGCTACTCTGTATAAGACCCAAGCCTTGATTGCCTCCCCGGAATGCTAATACAAAGGCTGTCATAGTTACTTTGTGGGCTAAAGCTGTATCCTTTAGGAAGGCAGTGAGAAACTTACTGAAAAAAAATGGAAGCCTGCTAGCTGAAAAATTTAAACACATTAACCAAAATGGCTGCAAGTAAACTCTTATCCAAGAGCTAAATTCCTGAGAGCTGTTTGAAATAATTTATTTAGACCTGTAAGAAGATCAGAAAGGGGTTGGATTTAGTTTACTCTCTCTAGAAACTAAACATCATATAATATAGACTCTCATCTATAATGAGAAGGGATGTTGTATTCAGGAATAGGCTGGAAAATATTAATCCAGCTTTTCCAATCTTCATTATTTTTTTAAAAAAGGAAATTTTGCCTTTCTCTGTGTAAATCAAGTTGAAATGTTTCTCTAGCTAGAGTTGATGTCATTGCACCAGCCACTTGTTTGACCTAGTTAATAGAACTTATATTTATTGCAACCTTCCCCTCGTCACCTCATTTTAAGACAGGGGTTCACAAGGAATGGCCTGCAGGCTGCTTTAACCAGGTAATTAGAACAGCATGTGTGTGACAGCTAGTAGTTTAAAGCAGTAATTCAGCTGTGTCTGAAAAGATTATTCACCTTTCCATTTACTCATTTCTCTATTTGTACTGAATTTTACATGCCAATCCACAGTTTTCTATGTCAGTGCCTATAATTGACTGTACTTGTTACATAATTAGCAACTGTGCCTTGAATTGAAACTCCTTCTATCTTTTGTTTTACTGATAGCCAAGAAGCAGGTAGATTTTCATGTTCTCTCTGAAAGCTTTCAGGGATAGCTCAGTCAGTCAGTCAATCACAGGGTATCTCTATGACAACTCTTGTGACATTTATTTAATGGCACTTGGCAAAATAATTAAAATTAATAGCTTATTTAAACAAGCAGAGTTAAAGCTTTGTTTAAAAGGGTACTTACTGTTTCAAAATAAATTTTATTTTACAAATGACTTAAAATTCTAGAATTTAAAAAGACTTCTAATGAAAAAATATTTTCTAGCTTGTGCATTGATTTTCTAACCTTTTGTCCATTTAGGGATCTGAAAAAAAGTGGTAGTACAATGTTGGGCTTCTTAAACAGTGATTTCCTCAGCTTTTTAAGAAAAGCCTATTATGTTTTACATTCAGTTTCATCTTTTGTGTGAACTTAAATGTGCCAGATTGCATCTACAGTGTTTTTATTTAGTGGGGCAAACTAGTCTCTTCCTTTTCTCTTTGTATGAAGCTTTTACCTTCTCCACCTCTACTCCAACCCATGCAAGAAATGGAGATGTTAAAATGCAAGAAAATAATGCAGAATAAGAAAGGATAAAGTCCATTGGGGTTGGCCTAATATACTGTTGCTAAACCTGCTTTACTGAAAAGCCGCCTGATATATTATACTGGGATGTATCACCCTTTGATAGTTATTTTATTAGGAAAAAAGTATTTGCATTTCCAGTTCAAGATATAAGGAGCATCTAAGAAAGAACTACTGCAAAGCCAGCAGAGGGAGCACATCATGTGTTTGCTGGCTTGTCTTGAAAAATATGCAGTATCTTTTGAAAGATTCTTGACCAATGTAACTAAAAATAAACAAGATCATTTTTTCCAGTGTGGCTTCAAAATTAATATTTTAAAAAGGGGAAGAAAAAAAGATTCTTTGTCAAAAGCTGATAATGGATCTTCTCCCCAAATAGGGACTTCTAGGCATTTTAAAAAGTTGATCTAGACAAAAGAGGAATTAAGTTGAGTCCTCAGCAGGAATTGTAGCTTGTTCATTGAATGGTATTTATTTTCCCATAGGCCTTTTTGATTAATACTTCAAATTTGACTTTTAATTTGATACATACAATTGTTCTCATACCACTTCCCAAAAAGGGTTTTATTTTTATTTTTATTTTTTCTAAGTATGGAAATAGCAGCACATAAGAAGGTTCCTATTACATGTATAGGATTGTTGATGGTTGTCTTGCTTCTAATTTGTGCTGTTAAATAGTCACAGTTTACTGGAAATTTAAGTTTTTACACTTCCTGGGCCTAGTGTAAAGTTGATTTCCTGTTGAGCTTTCGGGGTTCATAAATATAGGCCTGCTTTTCTTTCTTGGTGGCTTTTTTGATGCATGGGATTATGGAAGTTTTATACATGCATTAAAGTTCTTTTTCCTTGGTGAACTATAGCTGAAGTGTGTAACTCGAGAGCAGTAAGAAATACTTAAAAGTATTTTGCTTAAGAAAATATCTTCACATGTGACATCCCGAATCTTCTATTATGTTTCTTTACTTTGCAGTCTCATTTTCAAAATATATTATCATAGCCAAGGCATTTTTCTCTAAACTTCTTTTTAACAAAGGGTTCCCTCCTTATGCTGCTCTAATTTTGCTTATTCAGGACGTGTCTCACGGTTTCTAAGCAACCAAGATAATACATATATAATAATTGTGTATTTTAGCTTTGAAAGTCTTAAAAATAATCCTCAAAAAGGGAGAGAGGGTGATTTGTTTTCTTAGGTACCCATGTTCTGAGTTATCAATATTGTTTATATTTAGACACTGACGAAATAGTAAACTTAGGTTGCTTAATTAGCATATGGGAGATCCTCATTAATGTAATTCTCTTATTGTACTTAATACAAATTCCTGCCTTTTCTTTTTCTGTAATATGAACTGTTGTGTAAGCAGTATTGAGTCATTCAAGAACTCAGCAAACACCACTAATCTAGGAAAGGTGCAGATTCTATCTCATATCCATGTTTTAATTTTCTAGAAATTGTTTAGGGTGGGAATTTCTAGAATGCTGGTGTGTGGAGCTTGGTTGACCTTCTAGGTGAAAAGGCCATTTAGTTAAAATTATTTAAAGCAAAACATTTAAAGTCTCTGGAAATTGTCCTAAGGGCACACAGCAAATGGAGAAATACTTTCAATAAAGTCTACTAAATCTCAGTAAGAACTGGAGACCTTGTGGCATTTGAGCCACAACCAGCTTCCATCCATTACCTCTCCCAGCTCCATGTTATGGAAAGTCTCCTCCAGGAGAGTGCAGCCAAGAATTCAGGGTCCCCTCTCTCCCAGACTCTTGAGTCTGTTCTCCCTGGCTAAAGACAGGACAGAATAATATATTCCCTGAAATGTGATAGCAGTTTCCAAGCACCACATATTTTCATTAGTAAAGGGTGAAAATCTAACTGGCTAAGGAAGCTTAAGCACTACCTTTGACCAGTAAGAAGTTTATGTGAACCCAGGGGTGACCCCTAAGAAGCCAGGCTGAAAGATAAAAACAAGGAAAAAAATCTGAGCAGGGACATCAGAAGCTGCATACTGCAGGGTAAATAGGCTTCACAGAATTATTCCAGCCAAGCCACTAAACAAACAACAAGCAACACCAGAACAGGGATAGGATAGGAGAGGAGGATAGAGGGTACATAACCAGACTTGGTTGTATTATCTAAAATGTCCAGTTTTCAACAGAAATTCATGCAGAAAAACTAGAAAGTGTGACCACCTACTGGGGATAAAAACAGAAAACAGAAATTGCCTTTGAGGGGGCCCAGATGTTGGATTTAGACCAAGACTTCGAATTATAAATACATTTCAAAATTAATGTAATTATAAGTAAATATAAAAGAGGTATGATTACAGACTCATCAAGTAGAGATTATCAATAAAGAGATTATACAAATAATCCACATAGAAATAGAGACTTAAGAAACTAACTTGACAAGCATGTTTTTAACATGTAAATACTAAATATATGAGTATATATTTTTTATTAAAAATCTTTTTCTTTCAAAAATTTTAACAGAAACAGGGTCTTAACTATGTTTTCCAGGCTGGTCTCAAACCCCTGGTCTGAAGCAATCCTCCTGCCTTGGCCTCCCAAAATGTTGGTATTACAGGCATGAGCCACCATAGCCAGTCTTAAATACATATTTTAAAAGGTAAACCATCTGAAGAGATATTCAGAAACTGTAAAATCAGAATTTATCTTATATATCAGTACTTTTTCATTTAGTTCTGCTTATTTTATGTAACACACCAAGTTGCTTCAGAGTTTGAAAAATGTCATGTTCTAAATAGGATCTAAACTCTAGTCATATATCCTGCCAACTCAACACATTCTTTGAGCTACTCAATCTTTTAGTGAATAGAGAATAGATATCCCTTGGCCATGTCTACCTTAGAACCTCTTAAAGGTTTGTAAGGTATAATGAATGGGTAAGTACACACAACGTAACATAACAGGCCATCAGTGGGAAATATTTTTAGTGTTATTTGAGTGACAACCAATTCGTGGTGTAGCCTTCTTATTGTCTCCCTGATGTCTGATACAAGCTGGCAATCAGCAGTTCAGTAGAACAGAATTTCTGGAAAGGGTAGTTGAGTTGTAAATTCATGTCAGAGTTCTGGTTTTAAGAGAAGTATGACTGCTAATTTAACAAGCATTATAATCACCAATCCGTCACCATTTCAGAGGTAGATGCGTATGTAACTTCTTGATAAAAATTTTTCCATGACTCGGATTGCGTGTGAACTTGGGTGACTGAAAAGCATTTAATTGATTGAAAAGCATCAGCTAACAGGTAAAAGGTATACATGCTTTAATGTAGGTAAAGCAAACAACTTATTCATGCCCAGAGTAGGAGACATAAGCAGCACTTCCATTGGGATGGGGCCACACAAAGGGTGCACATCCACGACTAACTCCTTGATTGGGCTGAAGACTTCTTGGGCCCTTTAAAAAGGCTCACCTTTATCATTCTAATGAAAGGCGGGCGTGTAGGTTATGCGCTGTTCTGGAGACCAGCCAAGTGGATGCCTGTTCACCAAGTAGAAATAACTGATAACAATCCCATCATATTCCTGAATGTTTACTGCAAAGTTGTATGAATCAAAGATTAATTTTCCATGCTGCACATTTTTAATCCTTTCTTGCAGTGAGTGACTTTTCCTTCACATGATCTTGGTATGTATTATATATGAGGGGGTTATGTGGAAGAAGAACGTGAGCTAATTAGCCAAAGAACAGAGAGATTGGAGGGTAAAAGCATTAAGGAGCCACACTCAGCTCCTTCATGGCAGTCTGCGTGTAGGGCCTCCAGGGCTGCTGTGCGGCCCAGCAAGTCAGTCTTCAAGGATTAATCAGCTGGCCCGAGGCCTCTAGTCTTTCACATCTTCTCCTGTCCTTCTCTTAGCCATTGAGATATTGAATACCCTAAAAGTAGAAGTAGCTCTGTTAGAGAGCTTTGTTACCCTCTAGCATGTTGACGATACATTTTGCTTCCTCCTCTGTGGTAAAGGCAGAGATGATGGATGCAGTGCAGCCTTTTGATTGCAATTAAAAAGGAGATTCTGCTTAGCATGGTGGTCAATTAGCTCTTTATGAAAAGGATTCTGACCTTTTATTTCATACAGATATTTAAAAATATGTGAGCCTTAAATGAATCTTAGCAACTAAAACTGAAACAAATGTACCATTTTAATTGGGTTTGGAAATACTGTACAAGATAAATTGTTTATAAAATGAGATATTTTTAAATGGCAGGGTTCACCTTAGGCCCCCAGGAGGATATTCTGAGGCAGGGTCTCTAAAGACATTCATATAGGAGAATGAAAGTCGTTTCCCCCCCGCTTTGGTGCTTTATTTTATTTTTTTTAAGAGAGAGAATAAAAAGTTTCTGGCATGAGATGGAAGATTCAGAATTGTCACCTCTACCTTTTCATGGTCAGTAGACTTTCATAGTCATTTGTCTTTACCAAATAACTTTAGTCTTCAGATGTTTACATGTCATTTTAGATGCAAAGATCTTTGAAAGCAAGGCATACCAAAAAGGAGCTGAATCTATATCATATAAGCGGCTTGGGGCAGCACTATCTCTCAGAAGCTGTTGGATCCCATCCTGAAACCTGGTTCATTTGAAGCTCAAGCTAACTGGGATCTGGCTGTTTTGCTTTTGAGAAGTAAAACTACGGAGGTTGAAGTAAACAGGTTTGGTTTTAAGTATCAGATAGGTTGGAAATAAACCTAGATCACATTTCTCAATCTGGAATCACCATACTATACTGTTAGTGTTCCAGAATTTCTCAAGTTTGAGAAACCTTGGCCTAAAGGAGTTTGCCAGTTATCTCTTCTCTGTATTTCTTTGTGTTTTGTTAATAAAATTTTAAAAGGTATTGGGTCTTATTTCTACAAGGTATGTCTTATTCCTCTTAAAATCTGCTTCCTTACTAAAGGACAATCTTAAAGGACCGTAAGTATTATTTGGAAAGAATGAGATGATCTGAGGGTGTATAGAATCTCAGTGTTTTGTCTCACATCAATGATTTTTAGCAACTTGAAGATTAAAATTGTTCATAGCCAGCTTTAAAACATACCTAAGGTCATGGAATGACCTAATTGGCCACTTTCTTCCTCTTTAACCTTTTCTATACACATTTGTGTTCTGGGTTGTAAAGGATTTATAATTTTCCCCAGGATTTGCCTCAGAAGGAGACACAAGAGGAGTATAATGTATTCATAAGGTAGAGTAGTAGTCAGAAGATAAAATGCATAAATTAGATGCATATGTGTCAGCATGGATATACATAAAAACGAATTGAGGAAAAGCTAGTTATAGTGTAAGACATGCAGTACAGTACCATTTATGTAAATTTTAAAAATCAGTACTCTGTAGTGCATGGAAAAGTATAAGTATGTGGTCTACAAGGAGACATTCCAGAGTCATGATATTGGTTGTGTTTACAGAGCAGAAAAGCACTAGGGAGGAGAACCGTAGCTTTATTAATAATACTTAAAAATTTTTATATGCATTCATATGCATAATGCAAATATGACTAATATTAAAATGAATTCTAAATGGTGGACCAAGTGGTTATTAGGCATGTTTTCTGTGCTTTGTTTTTAATATTTTTGAAAATACATGCTTACTGTGAAAGAAAGCCGACTATTGTTCAGAAAACAATATTATTCTTCCTCATTCTCTCACCTGAATATTATTACTCTTAAACTTATGCATCTCTTGAGACATTGGGGAGAGAAATGGATTAAAAACTAGAAAAAAAACACTGAAAAATTTTATTTTTGTACAGTCAGTATATAAAGCATAGTACTTTATAAGCCTGCATTTTCTACTTTTTTTCGTTGTCTGTATGTAGATACCTGCCTCAGCTCTTAAAGGACCTTCTGGTTGTTAACACTTACAGAAAAGGTTGTAGTGACTATTCTTGCATACACATCTTTTAAAATTTTTAAAAATTCATTATATATTTTTCAAACTTTCAAATTGTGGTAAAATTCACTTAACATAAAAGTACTATCTTAACAATGCTTAACTATACAGCTCAGTATTTTTCTTTCTGTGACTGGCTTATTTCACTTAATATTCTTAAAGTTCATTCATATTGTAGCATTGGACAGAATTTCCTTGTTTTTTAAGATTGCACAACATCCTGTTGTATGTATATACTACATTTTGTTTATACATTCATCTGTCAGTGGACACTTCAGTTGCTTCCATGTACGTATCTTTTTAAAACTTTAGTTTTGATGTGAAGTACAGCATTTAAAAACATAAATCTTTTAATTTTGATACAATTTCAAACATATACAGAAAAGCAGCAAAAACTAATACAAGATCTCCAGTATGTCCTTTATACAGATTCGGGAGTTGTTTATGTTTTGCCCCATTTGTTTTATTCTGTATGTATGTTTGTATGTACACACACCCACGTGCATATTTTTCTGAACCATTTGAGCATAAGCTGAAGACATCAAGCCTTTTAATCCTTGAATATTTTCATGTATACTAAGAACAAGGACATTCTCTTAATTTAACCACAGTACAATTATCAAAATTAGGAAATCTAATATTGATAAACTTCTGTTATCTGATCCACAGTCTATATTCAAATTTCATCACTTGTCTCAGTAATATCCTTTTTAAAGATAACTATTCCCTGCTGCCGCCTGTGCCCCTCCCCCTGCCATCAAGTTCTAATTCATTTCTGGCATTTAGTTATGTCTCCTTAGTCACCTTTAGTGTGTGACAGTCCCTTAGCCTGTTTTTGTTTTTCTTGACCTTTGATATTAGTAAGGGGTATGGGCCAGTTATTTTGTAGAATGTCCCTCAGTTTGTGTTTGATGTTTCCTCATGATTAGATTGAAATTACGCATTTTAGGGAGCAATATCACAAAAGTAATGTGTGTCTGTAGTGCATAGTATCAGGAAGCATGTGATTAAGGTAGTGTGCTCATGTCTCTCCACTATAAAATTCCTGCATTCCCTTACTAATTAGTAAGAAATTGTGGAAGATACTTTGAGACTATATAAATGTCCTTTTCTTCATGGAAATTTCACTTACTAGTTTTTTTTAGCATCTATTGATGACTTTTGTTAACTGCATAATTTCTTCTGTGTTTATTAGTTTGCTTTCCACTGTAAGAGCTTTTTCTTCTCCCTCATTCTTAAATTATATCATTATAAACCCATGGATTTCTATTTTATTTAGTAAGCTATCCATTACTAATTTCTATTGTTATTACTATTATTGATGCTCAGATTGTCCCAGATTTGGCTCCTGGGCATCCCTTCAAACTGATTTCTGTTTTGTGATGTCACCACTGTTTTTTTATCTACTTTTTCTTCTTCTTCTTCTTCTTCTTCTTCTTCTTCTTCTTCTTCTTCTTCTTCTTCTCCTTCTCCTTCTCCTCCTCCTCCTCCTCCTCCTCCTCCTCCTCCTCCTCCTCCTCCTCCTCCTCCTCCTCCTCCTCCTCCTCCTCCTCCTCCTCCTCTTCTTTCTTCTTCTTCTCCTCTTCTTTCTTCTTCTTCTCCTCCTTTTTTTTTTTTTTTTATATGAGACAGAGTCTCGCTCTGGGCCACTGTCATCCAGGCTGGGGTACAGTGACACAATCTCGCCTCACCGCAGCCTCTGCCTCCCAGGTTGAAGTGATTCTTGTGCCTCAGCCTCCCAAGTAGCTGGGACTATAAGTGTGCACACCACACACGGCTTTTTTTTGGGGGGGAGGGGGAGAGACAGGGTTTCACCTTGTTGACCAGTCTGGTCTTGAACTCCTGGCTGCAGGTGACCTGACCTCAGCCTCCCAAAGTGCTAGGATTACAGGTGTGAGCCACTGCCTGGCCTAATATATATCTTTTGTACTTGTTTTGTTTTCCTTAAAATGATTTTCTTAAAATAGAATTTGCTGCATTAAAAAGGTTATGCATTTAAAACAATGCATGGACTAAGTAAATCACACTTTTGGCCATTTTGAGGAGGAAAATAAAAGTATGCATGTCACATATAACTCCTTCTTGAGCTTGCTTTTTTTTTTTTTTTTTTGAGATGGAGTTTCGCTCTTGTCACTCAGGCTGGAGTGCAGTGGCGCCATCTCGGCTCACTGCAACTCCACCTCCCGGGTTCAAGCAATTCTCCTGCTTCAGCCTCTTGAGTAGCTGGGATTATAGGCGCCCACCACCATGCCTAGCTAATCTTTGTATTTTTAGTAGAGATGGGGTTTTGCCATGTTGGCCAGGCTGGTCTTGAACTCCTGAGCTCAAGTGATCCACCTGCCTCAGCCTCCCAAAGTGCTGGGATCGCAAACTTGGACCACTGCACCTGGTCGAGCTGCTTTTTAAGACCTCTCTTTTAAAGGAAATTTTGTCATTATTGGCTCTCACAAGAAACATATGCAAGAAAGGAAGGTAAGAAAAACAAGAGTATCTTTTCAGTGCCATTCAGGACTAATAGTTCACAACTATCTGAATGGTTGAACTAGGTTTATAGGGTGTATTTTCAAGAATAGATGGTTAACAAAATAGATCATTTATATTAAGTAATAAAAACCTACTTGAGAAAGTCATAGATTAGCGTTCATGGTGGGAGACGTTTCCCTTTTCAAATCAGACATTTCTGTATGTTTCTCACTTGAGCTCCTGCCAAGGATGCCCAGGACAGGTTGATATCTTCCCTTCTGTGCCTCACTTTGCTCGGATAAAAAAATAATGTATTAGATCATTGGTATTATAATCTTTTTGACTACAGCCTACATTAAGAAATATATTTTTTATTGTGATCTAATATACACATAAGTGTGCATAATAAATATATATTACAAAGTCAGAAGTTTTATAAGAGACAGTTTAACCTTACTGTGTGTAGTGCATGCTGATATTTCCTTTTCTGTTGTTTCTCTCATCTCGTCTTGTCTTGTCTTGTTTTTTCCTTCTTCCTCCCTCCGTATCTCCCTTTTCCCTTTCTACTGCCACCCTGTGAGCCACCATGCCCAGCCCTCTATTCTGTTTATTTAAAATGTTGCTAATACCATTGACCTTGATTTTAGGTTAAAAAAAAAAAGAACTCGTAGTAGATTTTTGCCTCTCCTCTCTCCTCCCCCTCTCCTCTGCTCCCCTTCCCTCTCCTCCCTTTCTCTTCTCTCCCCTTCTCTCCTATCCCCTCCCCGTCTCTTCTCTCCCCTCCACCTTTTTCTTTTAGCTTTTCTCTTTTCTTCCTCCCTTCCTCCCTCCCTCTCTCCTTTTCTCCCCTCTCCCCTTTTCTCCCCTCTTCCTCCTTCCCCTCTTCCCCCTTCCCCTCTTCCCCTTCACCTCCTTCTCTTCCTTTCCCTCTCCCGCTCTTCCCCTTTCAACATGGTCTTGCTCTGTAACCTAGATGGAGTGTAGTGGCATGACCTTGGGTCACCACTGCCTTGATCTCCAGGGTCCAAGGACTCCTCCTGCCTCAGTCTCCTGAGTAGCTAAGACTAAAGGTGCAGGCTCATGTCACCACACCCAGCTTGCTTGCTTGCTCGCTTGCTTATTTATTTATTTATTTATTTATTTAGAGACGAAGTCTCACTGTTGCTCAGGCTGGTCTCAAACTCCTGGCCTCAGGTAGTCCTCCCACCTTGACCTCCCAAAGTGCTGGAATTACAGGTGTGAGCCCCTGCGCCTAGCCCAAGTAGATTATTTCTAAAAGCCCTTCATCTACAGAATTACATGAGTATATTCTGTGAAACTATTTTTAAATGACACAATAAAAAAAATTCTGGGACAAGGTCTGTCAGGGCCAACAGTCAAAAATAACAGCTTCTCTTGTATACGTAATTGTGGCCATCTCAACAAAAACTAATCCAATAAAAAAGCATTCCAAAGTCTTTAATCTGTTCTTCTGAATACAGTCACTACTAGTATAAGCTAATTTTGGTGTTTTTGTTTTCTCCTTTAAACTGACCCTTTTCACACTTTTCCTTACACCCATAGCAGTACACTAATTACTGTCTTTGGTGCATTTATTTCTGGCCATGACTAGTTAATGGAGAAGATTTATTTAATTTAAAAAACATATTGCTGGATTTTAATTTGGTTGAAAGTAAGTCTAGTTAACACTCTTACTTTTTTTTTTTTAGATTGGCAGGGTAACGTTTTTAGTTTGTCTGAAATGAATGAAATTGGTCCTTTGGCCATCTTGCAGAAGAACTTGAGCGCCTGAGTGCTAGAGCCACAGTTCACTCTTGACTAGGCATCTTTAATGTCTCAGCAAGACCTTTGCTGCAGAGATGGTAATTTTCCTTGTCGCTCTTAGTTTTAGTTTTTCTTTCTAGGAAAAAAGATGAATGGAATCTAACTATCGAATTGATAAACAGTATTAAAAGAGGAATTGGGAATGTGCTGCAGCCTTTCTTGACATGCTAGTTTTTCCCTTGAGTTTGCACTACAGTGTTTTTCACATACAGAGCTAAGCGAAATGGTAAATCACTTTCATGAAATGGGAGTTTTGGGGCTGTTTGTGCGGAAGATATTTTTGCGAAGATGCAAAAGTAATTACTGTTTCTTTTTTGAGCCAGTCTTTTTAGATTTGTATGATTTCTGCTGAGACAATTGAAGTATAAAGTGTTAAGGAAATTGTACTGCTTTTGTTGTATTGTAGCTAGCCTCCAAAGCGTCTTCTGTTGATTTTTGTCTGTGGTTTTTCAACTCCTCCTGTTTTTAGATCTGTTACTTAGACTTGGCATGTCTTACCTTAAAACCTGTTTAGTTATAGCTGTCATCTCCCCATGTGGAAATTCTTTTATTTATTTATTTATTTATTTATTTATTTATTTATTTATTTATTTATTGAGATGGAATCTCACTCTGTCGCCCAGACTGGAGTGTTAGTGGCGGGATCTTGGCTCACTGCAACCTCCGCCTCCTGGGTTTAAGCAGTCCTCCTGCTTCAGCCTCCCAAGTACCTGGGATTACAGGTGCATGCCACTATGCCCGGCTAATTTTTGTATTTTTAGTAGAGATGGAGGTTTTGCCATATTTGCCAGGCTGGTCTCAAACTCCTGACCTCAAGTGATCCACCCAGCTCGGCCTTCCAAAGTAGTGGGATTGCAGATTTGAGCCACTGTGCCCGGCCATTCCTATGTCGAAATTCTAATACATTAGTTGATATTTCTTATGCATGCATTCTTTGCCTTGAAAGATAAAATGAAATAAGAATCTAATCATAGTTCCTTATATAGGAATTCTAATGCAGTTCATGTAAAATTTTGTTCCTAATTTGATATACATTTTTTCTAGCAATTTTTCTTCCTTTTAATCAGTAGTCTTCACTTAAATATTGATACAGATATAAATATATATTATCTCAAATGTTTATGAAATCTCCCACATAAAATAAGATTATGGTATTTTATTTAACACTACCTCTTTCTAATAAGAGTAGTTGAGTAAAAAATATCATATATAGATTACAATAGTTTTCTTTTTAAAATGATGATATCAGGACAAAGGGAAAATACAGATTGAGTAGTAAGACCAAGATGAGGAATTTGAACACAGAAATCCATATATAAACATCTATATAATCATTAAAGACAGTGCAGATTGAAATCTGAGCTTCCTAGGGATCAAAGCAAAAATGGAAATACTGTGTAAGCAGTTCAAAGATCATTGTGTTATGAACTCTAAAGTGGTTAGCGAGAAGAGTAGCGAACAGTGTTCTCAGTAACAGCTCTTCAAAAAGTGTTTTTTACATGGCTTTTTCTTACACCATCCCTCATTATAGAAGCCAAGGGCGTTATATTTGAAAAATAAGTACCGGTGATGATGACTGAACTATATCTCATTTTCCTTTTGCCCATTTGTCAGAATTAATGGTAAGCACCATCTCTCAGACTAATGCAAGATCTAAGCCTAATAAATTGCCTAAATGAGAAAAAAAATTATAAAGGATTTTTGATCTATAAGACTTCCTATTGAGCTGCATGGAATAAGAGTAAGAGATAATGGGAGTTGTCGTCTACATAGAACTTGATCGTTTAATTTGTTTAGTGCTATCTGAAGGAATTTGCCTATATCACATGCTATTAAATATTTGAAAGATAATTTCAGAATGGATAACTTCTGCCTCTTCCGCTGTTCCATTCAAGACATAATTACCCATGCTTGCAAGTGAAGTAAAAAGCATATTCCCAAATGAAAAATATTTCTAAAATGTGTTAGTTATACCCAATTTCACTTGTCTTAAGTGAAATTTAGACAAACCAGATTGGATTAACTAGGTATGAGGCAGTTCATTCCTAAGAAGGGCTTTGTAATAATTTGTTTTCTCTGTTTGATAGGGAGCTATAAATAAAAAAATTTAATACATTGACTTAGTAACCGGTGTCCATTTGAGAATCAGGAATGAGCCTGACTCGTAATCAGTAAAAGATAAAACCAACATGTCGTGGTCCTATTAATTTAAAACACAAAATTTTGAGTCAGGGTTAGATTATCTGATATTTTATAAAGAACAAGGATTTTAGTTGCTTGGAAATACAGTTGTTTCAGACAAAACTTTATTTTCAGTAAGCCAGTATCTGCTTAATATGGTTTTATGGCATTCATACACTCAGATTTTTATTAACGCTATTACAGAATTTAGTACAGCCTGGTAGAAAGTTCAGTTGATACCCCAGCCCACATTGTCTAGTAATCAGCAGCTGGGAAAATCAGAGTTAGAGCTAAAGTGTACTGATCTAGTATTATAATTAGTAATGGCTATATGTTTGAAATACGACTTCTGGCCAGGTGCGGTGGTTCACCCCTGTAATCCCAGCATTTTGGGAGGTATGCGGATCACTTGAGGTCAGGAGTTCAAGACCAGCCTGGCCAACATGGTGAAACCCCGTTTCTACTAAAAATACGAAAATTAGCTGAGTGGTGGCACACACTTGTAATCCCAGCTACTCAGGAGGCTGAGGCAGGAGAATCACTTGAACACAGGCGGCGGAGGTTGCAGTGAGCCAAGATCACGCCACTGCACTCCAGCCTGGGCAACAGAGGGAGACTCTGTCTCAAAAAAAAAAAAAAGAAAAGAAATATTACTTCTTTCAAACCCAATCTGACTTTTTCTTTGGCCCTTTTGGTCTGTGATCTGTGATGCTTTGCAGAATATAGTATCTTTATTCCTTTATCTGAGAGGGAAAATGTGCCTATATGCATATACAATATTGCATATAGTTTAATAAGATTACTCAAAATTACATGCAAAAGTTTTCTGTGCACACACACTATGAATCCCAGATTATTGTCCCCACATATTTGGTGCCCCTCCCAGTGTGAGGCTCATACTTCCCTGTCCTGATCATCAGGCTCAGCTACGTGACTTCTTTTAGCCAATAAAATGTTAATGAAAAATTTATTTGGCTTTTATGACCAGAAACTTTAAGAGCTGTTAGGTGGTTCCATTTCTCTTTTCCCTTTGCAGTGATACCAGCAGTGTTCCATTAAGGGCCACTCCTTCATTCTGGGTTCCTGGAATGAAGATACGTGGAGCAGAGCTGCTGTCTACCCTCAGTAGACCTATAATGTGATCAAAACAAATAAACCATTGTTATAAAGCCTGTAGATTATAGGGTCATTCGTTTTTGCAGGTAAATTAGCCTAAGCTGACTGATAATAAGAACCGTAGGTTAAGAAGATCTGTTCCAGACCTAGGTTTTTGGGTTTTTTTTGTTTTTTTTTTTTTTACTTTTTGTGTGTGTTTGTTTATTTATTTATTTTTGCGACAGGGTCTCACTCTGTTGTCCAGGCTGGAGTGCAGTGGTACAGTCATGGCTCATTGCAGCCTCACCCTCCCTGGGCTCAGGTGATCCTCCTACCTCAGCCTCCTGAGTAGCTGGGACTACAGGCGCGCACCATTATGCCTGGCCAATTTTTGTATTTTATGTAGATACAGGGTTTCGCCATGTCCAGGATGGTCTTGAACTCCTGAGCTCAAGCTATCTGCCCACCTCCGCCCCTCAAAGTGCTAGGATTACAGGCATGAGCCACCATGCCCGGCCCCAACATTTTTTTATTGGTCATTAAAAAATATATTCAGGCCGGGCGCGGTGGCTCACATCTGTAATCCCAGCACTTTGGGAGGCCGAGCCGGGCAGATCACGAGGTCAGGAGATCGAGACCATCCTGGCTAACATGGTGAAACCCCGTCTCTACTAAAAATACAAAAAAATTAGCCAGGTGTGGTGGCAGGCACCTATAGTCCGAGCTACTCGGGAGGCTGAGGCAGGAGAATGGCGTGAACCCAGGAGGTGGGGCTTGCAGTGAGCCGAGATCGCGCCACTGCACTCCAGCCTGGGTGACAGAGTGAGACTCCGTCTCAAAAAAAAAAAAATTCAATGCCTGTTTTATGAGGGGCAGCTGCATTATCTGCCATCCTCACAACAATCCTACACAGGTTTTAACGTTTTTGCAGTTGAGGAAACTGAAATAAAAGTAAGTAACTTTCTTATGGTCATGCAGTTTCTAAGTAGCTTAGGCAGGATTC
This sequence comes from Homo sapiens, assembly GCF_000001405.40. Classification (NCBI taxonomy): domain Eukaryota; kingdom Metazoa; phylum Chordata; class Mammalia; order Primates; family Hominidae; genus Homo; species Homo sapiens. The sequence continues at coordinate 38,048,788 of NC_000006.12, forward strand.
AAACAGGTCTGTCTGATTCTTTGTGTATTATACCTCTAAACTTTCCTGTTTGTTCCTTGCATTTATTTCACATATATCTGATCAATCATTTCTTTACTGATATGCAGAATCAATAATGCAGTTTTCAAAACTTTTATATAATAAGTTCATTTGTCTCTGTTTAAATCAAGGGTCTTACATTTTTGGCTTTCAAGGCACAGACGTCTTGTATTTGGAGGTTTTTATTTTTTTTACATTTGAAATCACATGCCTTTAGGTGAGACTTACACTTGCCAGTTAGCCACAATGACTAGCACTCCCTGTTGTGTTAGGCCACCTAACTTCACACATTCATGATACCCACCTGGTCCCTGAAAACTTTCGTATTTGTATCCCCAGGATTGGCTTGTTAGTGTACATTGTTAATGAAGCCAAAGACTTCGCTATAATTCATACCAGAGAAATTATTTTCATTGCATTAGTCTCAAGCTAGCAACTTTTTAAGAAGTCGGAAGAGGAATAGCAATCATGGTTAATCCAAGATTTACTATATGTCAGGCACCGTTCTAAGACTTCCACATGTATTATCTGATCTGCAAAATAACTTTATTAGGTAGATAGTATTATTATTCTCATTTGTAGGGAGAAAACTAGAGCAAGAGAAGTTAAGTAACTTGCCCAAGGTTACACAGCAATTAAGAAATAGAGCCAGGATTTGAACTCAGGCAGTCTGGTTACACACACCCTACTGGGACAGAGGATATGTAGGTTAGTTGTGCATGAGCTTTTCTCACTAGTGGAGAAAGCTTTTGTATCAGTAGTTGATAGCCTTAATATGGAGATAGATACCTTTTAGGAATTGTGAATTATATAAACATCATGTATTCTGATACCTTGGATTCACTGGATAAAAATTAGTCAGTTAGCCCTAATCTTGGGAAGATCATTGTCATCTTCTCTGAACATCCCCCTGATATGCTTTAATAGATGTAAGAAGAAAGTGTTAGTAAGCCCATCATTTCATCCTTCAAAAAAATATATCTTAGAAGTTTGAACCACTACTTGGTCTTTTACTCTTTGGGAAAGAGATTGACTCTCCTCGCTCCCCCACCCCCACCCCCACCCCCTCCCCCTCACACCCACCCCGTCTTCATTCACCACTTTTGAGTAGGCAATTAATTTTTTTTTTTTTTTTTTTTTTTGGGGGAGACAGAGTCTCTCTCTGTCTCCCAGACTGTAGCACAGTGGTGCAATCTTGGCTTTCTGCAACTTCTGCATCCCAGGTTCAAGCAATTATCATGCGTCAGCCTCCTGAGTAGCTGGGATCACAGGTGCACGTCACCACGCCTGGCTGATTTTTGTATTTTTAGTAGAGATAGGGTTTCACCGTGTTGCCCAGGCTGGTCTTAAACTCCTGACCTCAGTTGATCCACCCACCTCGGCCTTCCAAAGTGCTGGGATTACAAGCGTGAGTCACCGTGCCTGGCCAAGAAGGCAATTCATTCTTTGCTTCTTTTTCCCCTTCTAGAGATGGAGTTTTGAGATGTTACCTAGGCTGGCCTGGAACTCCTGGGCTCAAGCAATCCTCCTACCTCAGCCTTTCTAGTAGCCAGGTGATATGGTTTGGCTGTGTCCCCACCCAAATCTCATCTTGAATTGTAGTTCCCATAATCCCCACATCATGCTGGTGGGAGGTAATTGTATCATGCGGGCGGTTACCCCCATGCCGTTCTCGTGAAAGTGAGTGAGTTCCCATGAGATCTGATGGTTTTATAAGGAACTTTTCCCTGTTTGCTTGGCACTTCTCTCCTGCCACCTTGTGTAGAAGGACATGTTTGCTTCCCCTTCTGCCATGATTCTAAGTTTCCTGAGGCCTTCCCATCCATGTGAAACTGTGAGTCAATTAAACCTCTTTTCTTTATAAGTTACCCAGTCTTGGGTATTTCTTCATAGCAGCATGAGAACGGACTAATACCCTGGGACTATAGGCGTGCACCACTGTGCCCAGCTGACATTCTTAAAATATAACATATTGTATTTCTTGAATTTAAGCTGAACATTTGCAAGTTTTATCTTAAGGGAAAACGTGTCTCAAAAGTTAATATCACCACTCTAAGTTGAATTTACTGAAACAGATGCAGTGGTCAGCTTAGTAGCAGAGCTTAAATGAAGGAGACCTGAAGATTGGTGGTGTGTGACCCTGGTAGGAGATGATGAGGCTGAGAACTGAGTAGAAATACTCAGGGAGTATTGAGGGAGTATTTAGGGGTAGGAATAGCCCCTTAAGTCAGGAGCTGCCTTTGTGAATAGAGGGAAGCAAGAACGAATAGGACCAGATTGTAAGAGCATACATAGGTGGGCAAGAGCAGTCCCACCACCGCTCTACCCAGTCCCACCACCTAGGCTTTTCCCAGTCCCACCACCATCCTCTCCCTCAAAAGAGAGGTGCAGTGGGAATTATTTTTTTGTCTTTTCTCCTGTCACATCTGCATGGTAAAATGAAAGGCTAATAGCATTAGGACTGTGGATACAATTATAGAAATAATCAGTGATCTAAAAAGGGGGGTGCTAACCTGCTGTTTTTGCTAATTTATTCCCAAATACTTTTCTACTTTTCTATTCTGTTGTCATTGAAGTCTTTATGGGACATTTAAAGCCTTAGGTCTGGGGTAAAATATTGCAGCCTCCAGCCTCTCCAGCAGTTACGTTCATGCCACTTCTGTGCCATTGGAGTAATTCATGAATGACACTAAGGACTAATGGCTTGAGGGGAAGTCTTTAGATTATACCAAGGATCAACTGTAAACAAAGAGAAGTTTTTTGTTTTGTTTTTAGGCTCCAACTTGCCTATTTTATTTTGTCAGCTTTACCCAGTTTTTCCACAATATGCCAAACCCTATCTGTAATTTTGATGGCTGAACTGTATGTATATATGCGCACACAGCATAAAGTGCATATTTTGTTAGAACTAGATTAATGCCACAATATTCAGAAAACTTCTCCCTGTGTTTTCAAAAAATTGACATATTTTGTGGTTAGACTGAAATGAGGTAAATGTACATGTTATTGTAGTACTAATGGATTGTTAGATATTTGCTGTAATGTTAACAGTTAATTTATGCCCTGTAAATGAATATTGAATATGAAACACTGTTACAGGGAAAACTGTATAGTCTGCACAATAAATGCTGTATAGGAAACAAGCCTTACTCCAAATAATTTTTTTTGCTAGTTCACACCTCTGAGTAGTTGGCTCTATAGGTGTGAAGAATCTAGAGAATGTATAATTTCAGTGATAAACTAGATTATAAAGTAAGTTTAATTGCTGAAAAGAGTAAGCTTTGCCAGCTTCATATATTCTCTTGTTGCCTGTTTTTGCAAGACACATTTCAGGATATGCTTTTGGGAGCCAATCTAATGTTACCTGTATTTGCCTCTCGTAAAAATCTTAAGCTTTGTGATTTAAATCTAAGCAAGCAGGAAGTGACTTGAGAGACCTTGTAAGTCCTGTTAGGACCAGTTATCCATGATGAATAATAAGGAAGAAATTTTTATATGTGTGGGGATAATTTATGAAATCCAAACATCTACTTATTGACAGGGTGCTTAATATTTCTCCTGTAGGTAGGAGCACTCTTGCTTCCTATAAATACATTTTGTAGCAATTTAAAATCCATTTTAAATTGTCTGTAAGAGAATTAATATTTTTCAACTTTGTGTGTTCATCAGTATCCAATACGCTAAATTCAGCAAATTTATATTATGTATTATGTGGCAGGCATTTTGCTAGGGGCTGAGGCACACTGTGAATAAGACATTCATTTATCCAACAAATATTTAATAAAGTACCTTCTATGGGTAATCTTAAGGACTTCCCTTAGGAAGTAGTGCTTATATTAAGAGTTCAAATATGAGTAGGATTTACCAAGGTGAATATGAGGATAAAAAAATCTCCCACGTGTCATGATTAAAGCACTCCATGTTGACCGCCGGGCGTGGTGGCTCACGCCTGTAATCCCAGAGTGATTACAGGCACGAGGCTGAGGCAGGGAGATCATTTGAGATCAGGAGTTCGAGCCTGGCCAACATAGTGAAACCTTGTCTCTACTAAAAACACAAAACTTAGGTGTGGTGGTGCACGCCTGCAATCCCAGCTACTTGGGTGGCCAAAGCAGGAGAATTGCTCGAACCCGGGAGGCGGAGGTTGCAGTAAGCCAAGATCGTGCCACTGCACTCTAGCCTGGGCGACAGCGCAAGACTCCATTTCGAAAAAAAAAAAAAAGAAAAAGAAAAAAAAAATAGCACTTCGTGTTGAGAAAGAGCATGGAGTGTCTGAAAAACCAAGAGCACTGGAGATGGCTAAAGCAAGGAGAGGGAGAGGAGGAGCAGTGGCATCAAATGTGGCTGAAGAAATAGCTAGTAGCTGGTTCTAAGTTCTAAGCCATGGTTAGGATTCTGGATCTGGTTGTGAAGGCAATGAGAGACCATTGAAGGGTTTAGGCAGGGAGGTGATGTTATCAGAATTTGTTTTCTTACAATTTTTTTTTTTTTTTGCAATCATTGTGGTTGCTTTGTGGAGAGTAGATCAGACTGAGCCGAGAGAGGACACAAAGATTTCAATTAAGATGTTATCGAGTCTGGGCATGGTGTCTCATTCCTGTAATCCCAGCACTTTGGAAAGCCAAGGCAGGCAGATTGCTTGAGGCTGGAAGTTCGAGACCAGCTTGGCCATCATGGTGAAACCCTGTCTCTACTAAAAATACAAAAATTAGCCACACGTGGTGTTGCACACTGGTAGTTGCAGCTACTCGGGAGGCTGAGGCATGAGAATCGCTTGAACCGAAGAGGCTTGAACTCAGGATGCCAAGGTTGCAGTGAGCCGAGATTGCACCACTACATTCCAGCCTGGATGGCAGAGTGAGACTCTGTCTCAAAATAAAAAAGATGCTATCAAAGGAATCTTATAGATGATGATGGCTTAGACTACAGTGGTAATGGAGAAATAGATGGATTCAAGAGATATTTAGGAGTTGTAAATGACTAGAATGGTAATTTGGGGGATACAAAATTAAGAAGGGAGAATGTGAAGTTCAAGATAATTCCTGGCTTCTGACTATTCTCTATGTGAATGTTGATATCATCTGATGAGATGGGAGGAAGGGCAGAAGACAAGGTCTATTTTTTTTTTTGAGGTATTACTCAAATTGCAGATTCATGGACATAAATAGGGAACATAGGATAGGAGTCATTTATCATCATTAGGATATATACAGGTAGAGGTGTGTGTGTGTATATTGTATGTATATATTTTTAACTTATTTGAAAGGACATAGGCTGAGCATGGTGGCTTACACCTGTAATCCTGGCACTTTGAGATACCAAGGTGGGAGGATCTCTTGAGCCCAGGAGTTTGAGACCAGCTTGGGCAACATAGTGAGACTCCATCTCTATCAAAAAAAAAAAAAAAAAAAATTTAAGGTAGCTCGGTGTGGTGGTGTGCACCTATAGTCCCAGCTACTCAGGAGGCTGAGGTGGGAGCGTCACTTGGGCCCAGGAAGTCGAGGCTGCAGTGAGCCATGTGTGTGCCACTGCACTCCAGCCTGGGTGACAGAGCGAGACCCTGTCTCAAATTAAAAAAAAAAAAAAAACAAGGAAGCACACAAAAACCGTGCAGTGTTATTCAGTCTGTCTATTCTGAGATCAGTGAAGAGAGTCTGATTTTTTAAATTAATAAAAATAATTTTTGAAAGAGAAAAAAATAATAAAAATAATTTTTTTTAAAAAAGAAGATAGTCTGATTTTTAAAGAGAAGGAATCGCCATGAGAGGTTGGGTGAGAATCTGATAGGTAAAGGCGTTTTGCTTTTGCTTTTTAAAGAAGCTAGAAGATAATATTCATGAAAGGACACCTAAGTAAACTTAGCCACATTCAATAGCTCACAAGTCCACATAAGCTACAACATATGCATAAGGTGATAAGGTTTTCATAGTAACCAAGTCCATAAGTGCATTGGTTCTTGCTAACTCCTGTTTAAACAGTTTATTCTTGCTGAGGCTGTTAACCCAGATTAACATCCAACTACCAGAATTTTATTAAGATTTTAATCAGAAGGCTAGAAGTCTGGTTTATGAATTGGCTGGCTACTAATGGCTTTGTAGCTTTTTAAAATAAGATATTTAAGTTTTGCGGTTGAGATGGGGGTGGGGGACAATGCAGCTTTAGAAAACTAGAAATGTTTCTATGAACGGAAGCTGTAGCCTATTATGGACATAAATTGGGTGGAGAGGGGATGGTGAGCAGAACCCTGTTCTGTTAAAGGAGACCTTTATACAGTGCCTTATATGAACCAAACTCTTGAGATATGGGAAATGAATTTTTATTTTTAAGTGGATTGAGAAACAAAAACCCCTGGCAACCTTTTCCATTTTTTAAAATTTGACTACTTGAAACATGAAGTATTTTATGGTGTGAAATACCAAACTAAAGCTTCTGGTGGGTGCATGGATTTGTAATCTGTGATTTATAGTCAGATGGGGTTTGGAGACTGAGAATGGAAATGTGGGAACCAGCAGTGTACCCTGTGCAGGCTGTGAGCTGTTAACATTTTGGGAAGCTGGGAAGTGGTTGCTTCAGTGGTGCATGCTGTAGTGGGAAGAGCACAAACATTAAGAGTCAAATAAAGCTGAGTCTCAAACCCTAGCTCTAGCATTTGTTAAGGAGGGAGCAGGTTTGCCCAGTTTATTTTGAGGGCTAAATGAGAAAATGAATGCAAAGCCCCTGGCAGAGTGCTTGACTCACAGGAGGCGCTTAATTCTTAGTTCCTCTTCTACTTCGAATTTGGTTTCCTATATACCCAACTTTAGTGTCTACAATAAAGATAGAAGCCTTATTAGTGAGCCCAAGTAGTCCTAATGAGTAAGTTGGAACAAGTGCAGTTGAATTTCTCATCTCTACTTACTGATTATGAAATTAGAAATTCACAGGTATTAAGCACTTTATCTTTTAGAAATGCCGACCCACATGATGCTAAGAGTACCCTTAAAGACACACAAAACAGTTTATGAAAGGTTTAAAGTAACAATTGATAAATACTTTTAAATGTAATCCAGTGATGGACTTTCTGCAGGAAAGCATTGGCCACTTATTTATCCAGTTAATGTTTATTGAGAACCATTTTTTGTCCTGGATCCTGAATAATGTAGGAGACTGACAAGTGAACGGATGATTCTTATATACCATAGTAAGTCTTGTGCTATGGGAAATCACAGAGTGCTGTGCCAATAGAATTTGATAATACGTACCAAATGCTGTAAAAATGTACGTCCTCTCTTACCAGTTGATATACTTCTATGATATAACTTAAGGAAGCTCAATGAAATCTTGTTTATAATAGTGAAAAGTTGGTAAATGAAAACGTGTAACACTAGTGGATTGGTTTAGTTCATGTATCTATAAATGAATGAGACCACGTACTCATTAGTGATCACCCATTTATATTTGACAAAGAAGAAACAGTCATGATTCCTTGCTAAGAGGAAAAAAATAGGTTATGGAACAGGGTTAAAAAGAATTAATTTGTTTTCAATGAGAGAAAAAGTTTAGCAAAATTACCGAAATTCTTTCTAAATATTTTGAAGAAATCATTCTGAAAGACGTATTATTGTAATAATCTAGAAGTGGGATTGGGGGTCTAAGCATCTTGCCAAATCAGCATTGTACATCTGAAAGATAAACAATGGGGCATGTGCATATCAAAGGGAGTATTGCATAGTGGCTAGATAGGGTGTAGTTCTAGAGAGACTGCCCAGGTTAATGGGCTTGTGAAGCAGGACAGGACAAAGTGCTTTCACAGTGCTCCCAGTATTTTAAGTGCATTTTGTAGTAAGAAGATTGACGTGTGAAAAATCATTCTGAAAACAGTGGAGAAAACTATGCCAGTGAGTATGTGGGTAGCCAGTCCCTGGGACTTCACTTTGCTAGCACCATTAGGTCACTTTATCTTCTGGAGACATTCCATTTCTGGGTACTAAAGGTTTCAAGCATATCTTTGTTGAGAAATTATTTTTCCCCTTAGATGATAATAAGGTAAGTTGCCAAGATTTGGGCTGCTGTTCACTCTTAACAGTATTCCCATTAAAGTGCAAACGTTTTTAAATTCAGTTTTTACAAGTAACAGTTTGCTTTGGAAAAGCTTTATTCACATAAACCTCTCTCAGGCTGACAACTTTATTCAAGACAAGTTTAAGACCTTTGGATATACCATTAACTAACTTATAAAATTAGTTATTCCTAAGTTTTTTTCTCATTTAGAGAGGTGGGTAAGCTTGGAGACTTCTAGTTTTCTCATTTATATGAGAATTATAAAATATATCAAGGGAACAGACCTTCACTGTGTCTGAATCAGATGCAGTGGCTGTTTCTGGACCTTTCATCTGCACTGCTCTCCAGTGTAGAATGATGGGAGGCAGGCTCTGTGCCTCATATTTTGTTGTTTACTTCTTTACATGTAATATAAATCTGTTCCCCTTCATTTTCAGAGTAGACTTCTGAGAGTTTCTTTCTTTTTGGCAGTAATCAGAAGTTGGATGCTGGGTGGTTCAGAAAGAAAGGCCTAAGAGAATAAGAACTGTGATGCAAATATCAGGGCCAAAATGAAGAGATAACTCTTACTTAGTGCCCCTTTCTTTAAGTTAGGAAAATACCTTTTCTTTTTAATTCTGTCATTTGTTAAGTACTCATGTGCTAGGTTCTTCATGTACATTATCTTATTTAATCCACATTTTCCTGAGAGGTATAAATAACCACCTCCCTTTGTTTTACAGAAGGCCTCAAAAGATTAAAGAATTTGCTTTTAGCTATATGCCCAGTAAATAGCCAGGTCAGGATTTGAATCCACGTCGTCACTCTAAAGCTCTTTGTATTGCACAGACTTTGGCATGGAAGTTAGAAAATTCTAACTCAGTTTCTGGTGAGTTGTAGTAATTTTCTCAGCTCTTGCATTCTCTATCTGTAAAATGAGAGGATTGAGCTGAATTTTTAAAGCCATTACAGGTTGTAACATTCTGTGATTCCTGGATTCTTTTTCAGATTCAAGTAGAGAATATATAGAGCTTCTACTCCTCTCTTTGTGAGCAGCCAGTTGGGTTTGTATGTTAGCCAAATGATGTTATGACACCATCACCCTGTGCAGGTGTAGAAAAGGCATAGAAGGAGTATGGGTTAAAAGAAGGTACACTGTGTCAACTGCTGATTCCTAAAAGAAAACCTGAAGTTTTTGAACTGCCAGTTCACAAAAGAGAACTTGAAAGTACCTGAGCATCAAAGTAGCATGGCAAGCATGGGCTGGAGAGTGTGTGGGTGGGACCTGGTATTCATAATTGTCTTTAGATACCAACATCCTTCACCTTCAAAGGCTTATTGTGCCTGAGTGAGTAAGTTTCTGTGTGTGCATCTGTCTCCAGGCATTGGGGATTATGCTAGATGGTACAGTGATGACTCAGTTTCAGTTCTTTCAGGATCATATAACATTTCCAATTAAATGGTAGACAGATGGTTATGGGAGGGACACAATGATTATTGACATAGGAGAGCTAATGAGATTACATGACATAAAAAAGAAGTATCATTATTGCAGTATTTTTATTCCATTGATATAGTACCTGTTTCTTGAAGGTGCTATACAAATAACACTGAGATAATAAGCCATTTTTAAATGTCAAAACATGGAAGAACAAGAAAGTGGCTAGGAGAAATAAATACACAGAAAAGAAGCAGTGGGGGCTTTAGAGCACTGATCACCTTAGCAGTTACTAACTGGCTACATTCATTGCACTCACTAGTGGTGCTGGAAATGGCTGGGGGCTTGACATGGAGGTCTCTTTCTTGGGCCATCTTGGTGATCACAGTGCCACATCCTGTGGTTGTGATTGAAGACCATGGGCTTTGTTGTCAAATGGACCTGTCCTTGCTACTTATTAGCTGTTAACTTAGAAAAAATTACCTAAACTTTCTGAACCTCAATTTCTTTATCATTAAAATGATGTTATTTATACCTTCCTTGTTAGGGTTTTCCTGATGATTAACATAAATACGTTATACACATAAAACATTTAGTTCAGTGCCTGGCACATAATAAACGCATCATAAATGCTAGCTATTCTTACGCTGAGAATATGTCAAAAGGTAATGATTCTGATGAAGTTATAGAGTATGATAGCAACACTTCCCTCTGGTTCGAATGCTATGTCAAGTTGTAAGAATCTTGTACTTCTCTGAATTGATATAATAAACTATAATCTGTACTTCATAGAGTAGCGTTAGATTTTTAAAATATATAGAGAATAAAGACAATAATCACACTCAGATACCTACCAACAGCTTAAGAAATAAAAAATTACAGAACAAGATAGAAGACCCGTTTTTCTCCTTATCCCTTGGCCTCAAAGAGATAATCACTGTCCGAAATCTGGTATATTATTTCCTTGAATGTTTTTATCTTGTAATTATTATCATTCATGTATCCATAAACAATATGCGGTATTCTTAACATATTTTAAATTTTTATATAAGTATTATTATACCGTGTATATCTTTCTGTAGCTCACTTGCTTTTCTCTCTCAACATTCTTTTTGAGATTTTTCTATTATACTTGTAGCCTTATTCATTTAATCACTGTAGAGCATTTTAAGATCAATTTTCTGTTAATGGACATTACCTGTCTTTGGATATTTTTGTGTGCCTCTCACCATCATACCACCCTCCCTCAATCTGAGATTTAACTGCTATTCTGAATTACGCTAATATTCAGGGGCTTTGAAAAGGTTTAAGGCCACAGGCGCTGTGGCTCACACCTGTAATCCCAGCACTTTGGGAGACTGAGGCGGGCAGATCACCTGAGGCCAGGAGTTGGAGACCAGCCTGGCCAACATGATGAAACTCTGTCTCTACAAAAATACAAAAATTAGCCGGGTGTGGTGGTACACGTCTGTAATCCCAGCTACTCGGGGGCTGAGGCAGGAGAATTGCTTGAGCCTGGGAGACGGAGGTTGCAGTGAGCCGAGATCATGCCACTGCACTTCAGCCTGGCCAACAGAGTGAGACTCTGTCTCAAGAAAAAAAGAAAATAATTCATTCTCTAATTGTTGGATACTTGGTCTTTGTATGCTTATTAATTATTTTGTGTGAGCGTTACATTAAAATCGTCCCCTGTAGGAAATTTGTCAGTTTCTCATCAATATAACCATTTTTGGTTTAAGTACAGTTGGCCCTTGAACAACACAAGTTTGAACTTTGTATCCCTGCTTATATGAAGCTTTTCAACCAAACCCAGATTGAAAATACGGGATGCTAAACCTGTGTATATGGAGGACCAGTATTTAATATACGCTGGTTCAGTAGGGCTGACTGTGGAACCTGAGTATATGCGGGAGTTCTGAAACCAGTCCCCTGTGTATACTAAGGGACGACAGTATTTTGTGGCTTTGGAGAAGCCTCTTTTACTATTTTATAATGATCCTCTTCACCTCTAATAATACTTTTGACTTAAAGTGTACATATTCTGACAGTACTCTAGCCATAGTAGCTTTCTGTTCATCCTCTCCTCTCCCCTCCCGTTTTTCTTTTTCTTTCCTTTTCCTTTCTTGGTTCTTTTTTTTCCTCTTCTCCTCTCCCTCTCCCCCTCCCCTCCCTTTTCTCCTCTCTCTGCTTTCTCTGTTCCTGTCCTGTCCTGTCCTCCCTTCCCCTTGCCCTGCCCTTTCCCCTTCCCTTTCCCCCTCTTTCTTTCTTACTCCTGGACTCAAGAGATACTCCCAAGTAGCTGAGACTACAAGTGTGCACCACCACCCTCAGCTCATTTTTTAAAACTTTTAGAGATGAGGTCTTGCTGTGTTGCCCATGTTCGTCTCAAACTTCAGGCCTCAAGCAGTCCTCCCGCCTCAGTCTTCAAAAATGCTAAGATTATAGGCGTGAGCTACTGTGCCCTGCCTGTTCATTTATATTTATTTGCCAGGTACATTTTTTTTTATATACGATTGTGTTATACTTGGGAGATTGGCTACAGGACTCCCCTGCATATACCAAAATCTGTGCATACTCAGGTTCATCAGTCTGCACTGCAGAACCATCGTATATGGAAAGTAGGCCTTCCATATATGATTTTTGCATCCCGTGAATATTGTATTTTTGATCTGCATTTGGTTGAAAAAAATCCACGTGCAAGTGGACCCACACGGTTCAAACCCATGATGTTCAAGGATTAACTATACTTTAACATTTTGTTTATCCTCTCATATTTATGTTTTTAGTATGTCCCTTGTAAATTGAATACAACTGGACTTCATTTAGTCCAAATATTCTGCCTTTTAGCTGATAAGTTCAGTCTGTTTACATTTATTACCATTACTGACATATTTGTACTTATTTCTACCATCTTATTATGTGTTTTCTGTTTACTCTGCTGTTTTCTCTGCTGCCTTTTTCCTTATGACCTTTCCTTCTGAAAAGTTTGAAAAACTATTCTTTATTCCCTTTTTCCTTCTGATTACCCTTAAATTTTTAACATGCGTCTTTGGCTTTGCACAGAATGTTAAAATCAGTATGTTTGCATTCTTCTGAATAATAAGGGACCTTGGAAAACTTTTAACTCTAGTACCTTCCACTAATCTTAAACGTTTTTGACCAGTGTTTTACTCCCATGGTTTTTTAGTCACCCAGATCAGTCTTTATTATTGGTGTTGTTGCATTTAATTTTTGTACCAACTTCCATTGTTTTCTAATCCTCAGAGACTGTGAACTCCTTAATTAAGCTCGTTTTCTATTTTTCTTCAGATTTTCAAAAGAAACAGCCAGACGATGATTCCGCTCCAAGTACAAGTAACAGCCAATCAGATTTGTTTTCCGAAGAGACCACCAGTGACAACAACAATACCTCGATAACCACGCCAACTCTTAGTCCCAGCCAGCAGCCGCTTCCGACAGAACTGAATGTAACTTCACCGAGTAAAGAGGAGTGTAAGTGTCTGGCTTCTGAGGGGTGGTAGAGAGAGCAGCTTAAGAACTTTAGATGAGCATCTTGGTAATGCCTGACCCCAGAAAAAACAGCACTTCTTTTAATTCAAGATAAGTGTCCACATACAAGGCCCAAGCTCAGCAAGTTAGAGAATAAGTTTCAGCCATTCCTGAAGAAATAGCCTTTTATACCGTCAAAGTACATGAAGTTTGAACCAGTCTAGAGAGCAGTGGCTCTCACCTATGTCTGCACATTAGAATCCACTGGGGGTTTTTAAAACAATTTTAATCTTTAGCACCATTCCCTCGTTCTCATTTAATTGATCTGGAGGGAGGCCCAGGGATCTGTTATTTTTAACTCCGCAGAGGATTTCTAATATGCAGCAAGGGACCAGTAAGGGATTCTAACCCTAAAACCCTAATTTAGGAGCCTTAGATTGAAGCTTTACCTCTGTCACTAACTGGGCCTTGACTGTTTCTAAGCATTTAACTGAGATAGCACTATACTTCATAGAACATAGGATGTTTAAAGGAAGGAGGAGATGGTATTACTCTTCTGTAAGTCTTCAGTGTTGGAATGCTATTATGTAGGTTAGAAGTTCACTGTCTACTTAATTTCTTTTTTTTTTTTTTAGATACTCACTCTGTTGCCCAGGCTGGAGTGCGGTTGTACCATCTCAGCTGACTGCAACCTCTACCTCCTGGGTTCAAGTGATTCTCCTGCCTCAGCCTCCTGAGTAGCTGGCATTACAGGTGCCTGCCACCATGCCTGGCTAATTAGTAGAAACAGGATCTCACCATGTTGGCCAAGCTGGTCTCGAACTCCTGACCTCAAATGATCTAACCACCTTGGTCTCCCAAAGTACTGGGATTACAGGCATGAGCCACCATGCCCAGCCCATTGTCTGCTTAATTTTTATAATGTCATAATATACATCTCTTTCCCTCCATCCCCCATCCCTGGCGGTATGTGAGATATACATCTCTTTTAGGGCACAAATATAGTTGATAGTATTTGTTGAAAATTATAGGGATATTATGACATAGTAGTTTTTGCCTTTTAAAAGCTCTACTTGGCCAAGCCAGGAGGATTGCTTGAGGCCAGGAATTTGAGACCAGCCTAGACAACATGGTGAGACTCTTGTCTCTACCAAAAAAAAAAAAAAATTAGCCAGGCGTGGTGGTGTGTGTTTATGGTCCCAGCTACTTGGGAAGCTGAGGCAGGAGGATCTCTTGAGCCCAGGAGTTCAGGGTTACAGTGGACTGTGGTCTTAACCATTACACTGCAGCCTTGTGAGACCTGGCCTTTTTTTTCTTTGAAAGCTAAGTTGAAATTTAGTATTTCAAGTTTCATGAATATCTAGAAACACAGTAGGTTAGAATGTTCTGTGTTCTGTATACTAACTTTGGAAAGGTTAGCAGAAAACAAATATTTATCTAAATCTGTCATAAACTGCTATATTTGGTAATATCGAGAATATAAAATAAGCAAGGTCATAGTCTTTGTCCTCAAAGAATTTGAAGGGGAAATTAAATATATTTGTTGTAGTTTATCAGTGGTTATCAACCAAGAGTGATCTCCCACCCCACAGCCCCAGAACATTTGATAATGTCTGGAGACCAGGAATGCTGCTAAATGTCCTGCATCACATAGGACAGTCCTCTGCAACAAAAAATCATTCAGCTCACGATACCAGTAATGATGAGCTTGACAAACCCTGATACATGTTTGCATACACCCATGTTGGTCCTTATGTATTAAAGACAGCAACTGTTGAAGGGCATTGACCTACTGAGGAAGTGGTGGTAAAGATGGATAGAAGGTGGTGAAGAGACATACTAGACAGAGTAGAATGAGCTGTGGAAGGAAAGCTGCATGGAGTTTCTCAATGGCAAATGACTGTCTTAGGGCCATTTGTGGAAGAGAATGAAAGACAAGGCTGGAAGGGTAAGTTGTGGCCAAGACATAGAGGCTAAATGTCCAGCTAAGCTATTTGGACTTGAGACAGTAGCCATGTTTTTGAGCAGAGGAGGTGATATTATTACAGTTCTTTGGAGAAGTAACCTTGGTTGTATTGAAAATGGAAAGGATTAAACAGGAATAACATTGCAAAGAAAGAATTTTTTAAATATTATAACTTATTGAATAGAGGCCAAGGTGTAGAAATCATATAAGAGGAGAAAAAAAAAAACGGTGAAAATGGTAGTGGTCATGCTAAGGCAGTAGATTTTGTTTTGTTTTAAAAAATCTTTTCAAGATCATGTACTTACTGAGGAGTTGATGACAGCTGTGGCCTCTTGTCCTAGAAAAATATACACCATCCATTTATACCCAATTTTGCATAAAATTTCTCTACAGCTTATTATGGCCCTTGGGTTAAGAACTCCTGGTCTAAGGAAAAAGTTGGTCAGGATCTCATCTGATGGAAACTGGATTGGATTCGTGCATACCAGGATCGGGCCACCACAAATCAATTCAAGCCACCAAAATGCATGTGAGGCTGAGATAACAGTAGCTACCATTTATTGAGCACTTTGTATATGAGACATTATTCTACATGCATATTTTCTCATTGTTTTTCGTGATAACCCAATGAGGTAGATAGTGTCATTATACTCATTCCATAGATGAGGAATTAGACACAAAAAGATTAAGTAATTTGCCTGTGGTCACAAACGAGTAGATACCAGAACCAGGATTCAAATTTAGGCATTTGGCTTCAGAGTTCATACTTTTAATCAGTTAATTCACAATGTGAAATACAACTGTCATAGAGAATAATATTTGTGTGGGCAAGAGGAATGCTTTCTCTCCCTGTCATTAAGATATGTGGAAATCCACATCATAACCAAGAGTTACTTGCCAGTTTAGGCCACTGTAGACTGCTATGGGCTTTTTTTTTTTTTTTTTTTTAATATGAATACCTTCAGCCTGATTAAAGATGTCTAGTTCTACTAGCTTCGTTTCCTTTCTCTCTCTTCTTGGTGACATCATTGCTTTGAACCATTGTATGTTTCTCTTAGACTTATACTCTCTGAAGCTAATCTCTTTCCTAATTCCTCAAGTTTCTACAGATCTAGGGAAATGAGATTTGCCAGTTGGAGATATGGTGATGACTTAAGTTTGTATTGTGTGCAACTGGGCAGGTTGAGTTGGAGCTCAGAGGAGTGAAGTCAAGATTGGCTTCATCCACATGGAGATGATAGTTTAAGCCATAGGTGTTAAGTGAGGTTGCCAAGAGTGAGAGCAAAGAAAAGCAGGGAGGGCTGGGCACATGGCTCACGCCTGTAATCCCAGCATTTTGGGAGGCCGATGCGAGCAGATCACAAGGTGAAGAGATCAAGACCATCCTGGCCAACCTGGTGAAACCCCGTCTCTACAAAAATACAAAAATTAGCCGAGCATGGTAGTGCGCACCTGTAGTCCCAGCTACTCGGGAGGCTGAGGCAGGGGAATCGCTTGAACCCGGGAGGTGAGGTTGCAGTGAGCCGAGATCACTCCACTGCACTCCAGCCTGGCGACAGAGTGGGACTCTGTCTCACAAAAAAAAAAAAGAAAGAAAAGAAAAGCAGTGAGGATAAACCTGTGAGTGAAACTTCTGCACTTAAGGAGCAAAAAGGATAGAGGAGGCAACTGAAGAAGTCAGGAGGAGAATGATAGTGGGCAAGGTCACAAAAGCCAAAGAACGAATTTCAGTTTAGATAATAATAATGTTAGCTCACATTTATGAAACATTTGCTATATTCTAGACATTCTTCAAAGTTCTTTAGATGCGGTAACATTTAATTTTCAATATAGCCTATTAGGGTAGGTGCTTTTATTATACTTGTTTTTACAGATGAGGACATTAAAACTTAGAGAGGTTCATTAACTTTCTGCCCTAAGTTATAGAGCTATTGCAAGGCAGTGAAGCCCATGCTCTTAACACATGAATTTGGATCTAGAGCCTATGCTTTCAGTCACTATAAGATATTGTCACAATATTATGAAAATGCTACCGAGGCTGTAAACTGACAAAGAGGCACTTGGATTTGGTGATCATAAGAGGGATTACCTAAATAAACTATTTAATAAACTGTTTCAGTGGTTTGTATATTCATTTAGCAGTCTTTGCTGAGTGTCTGCTGTATGTTAGACACTAAGTTAAGTGCTGAGTATAGAAATGAGTAAGATTAGGTCTTTATAAATAAGGAGGTCACCTTTTTGACTACATATGTCTCTCCCTGGGAGTCTGGCTTGTTCTCCCCAACAGGTGCATAAGAATTTTGGGGTGGAAGGGGGGAAGTAGCTAGTAGTGGTTAACAGGCATGTCATTTGCAAAGCTTTTTCAGGTCAGCTTTGCTCCCTCACCTAGGTTGAAAGCAGCTGTGCTAGAGTGAGGAAGATGTGTGCCAGATTTGGGGGTTGAGAATATGGCGTAAGAAAAGTACCTTGAGTTTGTTAAGAGCTGTCAGGGTGGATGCTTTAAAAATCAATGGGAGATAAAGTGATTGCCTAGTAGCAGTGAAGACCCAAGTGAGACACTAAACAGCCTGATCCATCTACATCTTGCAAATTTTTTAAGCTGTGATCTACCAAGGTGACAAAGGATGGCGGAAGAGGCAGCAGGAGATTGCCTATGTTGATATTTTAGTATCCTCAAGGGACCAGAATTTCATCTGTGGGTTCCTTCTTAGCTTCTCCTGAAGAGATGTGGAGAAGTAAGATGTAGCAGTTGTTGGAAAATGAATTTGGGATGCCAAATCCAAGTACCGTGAAATTTGTAAACTATTTAGTAGTTATGGATCCATTGTTATTGCATAGAGCTAGAAGTGCTACATTTTGTTTGGGGCTTGTGGAAGGTTTTATTATTTTTTTTCCTAATGTACAAGAAAACAGATGTTGCTTAAATCTACTTTCACCTTCTTACTATCAACATGAACTTGAACTATGAACATATCAACAGAAAGTGGTGAGAGTCTGGGTACATTTTCTTTTGAAAAGACTGCAGATAGAGCAATAACTATTGACAAAAGTATGTAAAACTTAGAAACAGGACTAATTTTTACCCAAAAGAATTTCTTAATACGCTTCCCTGCAGGTAAATGAAGCAGGTATCTAAAAGCTCTTAAGTGATATTTCTGTATCTGAACATAAACATATGTCTCCCTGTCCCAAACTGTGTGTGTCTGCAGAAGAGTCCATGGAGCTTAGCCGTTGGAAGCCTTTTCCAAAAATATGTAAACAAAATTCAAATAGTGACTAAAGGACTTGTTACAGCATTTAAATGCGATAGTAATGGTAACGGCTCACAACAAGTATCCTTGCTAAGTACCAGGCACTGTTCCAAGTACCTTATATGCACAATCATCCCTCATTATACACAGGGGATTCGGCGCATACTCAAGTCTCACAGTCAGCCCTGTGGAACCCACTTAGTGAAAAGTTGGCCCTCCATATATGTGGGCAATACTTATTTTCCATCTGTATTTGGTTGAAAAAAATGTGCATCTAAATGGACCCACACAGTTCAAACTGCTCTTGTTCAAGGATCAACTGTATTAACTTACTTCATCTTCATAATTACCCTGTAAGGCAGGTACTTCTATTTTATCCATTTCACAGGTGTGAAGATGGAGGCACAGGATGATTATCTTGCCCAAGATCACAGAGCACTCTGGCTCCAAGGGCCTGGGTCTCTGCCACCACACCATAGCTGCCATTCTCTATCATGATTTACGATCTAAAGGACATTGCATGCAAATTAGGCTATACAGTGGAAGGTGTGTTGGACAAACTCTTAAAAAGAATAAAACATTTCTTTCTGCTTTTGCTACTGCCTATTTACTGTTCTCCCAGTTTTTAGATTTTTTCTGAGGGAGATAAAGTGTGATTTGTAGTTAAGTTTTTTGACCCAACTTTTGCAGAGAGAAAGGATAATGCCAGGTTGTAGTTAGAACGCTGGAATCAGTTGTTTTGTTGTTCTCAAGTACAGGCAGATGATTGCTCACAAGATGAGGAAGTGCCCTCTTAGCTCTTTATACAAGTCAGCTTTTCTGTTGTTATGCTTTTAAAGGCCTGAGCATCCCTATTTATGACCTGTTTGGTAACATGATGTGCATGTCTACCTGAGTTTTTGGATTTTTCTTCCCAGTCCCACTAGCATATTGAATGGAAATGGAGGTGTTTGGGGGGTCATGGCTGGTCTGTCTCTTTCTAGGCAGGAGAGGAAGAGAACTGATACCTGCTGCTAGGGAGGATTAATGGCAAGAAATGGACTTGTTTTCAAATAGTCTGATATTCTAAACTAGCAGTTAGAGAGTACCTATCTCATACAAAACAGTCTTCTAAGCTCTGTGGAGGTACATACTAAGAATTAAACAGCAACCAGCTCTTACATAAAACTATAGTTTACAACAGGGGTTGACAAGCTATAGCCTACAGGCCAAATCCAGCCTATCATCTGTTTTTATGCTGCCCACAAGCTAAGAATGATTTTTATTCTTTTAAACAACTGAAAAAAATCAAATAAATATTTTGTGAAATGTGGGAAATACATGAAATTCCAAATTCAGTGTTTATAAGTAAAGTTTGATTGGAACACAGCCCCACTCATTTGTTACTGTATTGTCTGTGGCTGCTTCTGTGCTACAATAGCAGAGTTGGGTAGTTGCTGTGGAGACCCAATGGCCTATTACAGAAAAAGTTTGCAAAACCCTGTTTTACAGAGTTCTTTGATACACATGTTCCTAGAATCATCTTGACAGTGTGCAGCATAGGTAGGGCAAATATTCTCCTTCCTATTCTATAGATGAAAAAGGGAGGTTTAGATAGTGACCCTCCTTAAGTCCCAAGAGAGGGCCACAACTGAACTCTGGGCCTTTTGCATCTATAATACGGGACTCTGGTTTTTTTCCTGCTCTTGTCTACTGCATCCACCCAAGACATACTTTTGTTGTAGTAAAATAAAATATACAGAAAAAGTGAGAACCATATTAACTGGCATGTTAGTGAGGATTTTTAATGACTAAAGCTTCGTTTCCAGGTGCTGACTGGATTTTCCTTTAATATGACACTGATTCCCAAAATAGAAATTTCAGAACGTACTCCACCTCTGGTTAAATTAATTTGGTTGAACACAGATTTCCATTGTTTCCTTGGAAACTGGTTTCTGGTGATATCGTAGCTCCCTCAGGGATATTTAAAAAATGGTAGTGCCTTTTAACAGATGTCCTTGCTAGACTGCCCCGGGTCTTTGAACATCCATTGGGCGTCATTGGCTACATATCTTCATTTCTGTCTGACAAGCCTTAATCTGTTCCCTGGAAATTTAGTATCACTGCCACCAAGCGGCTAAACTTCTGATTTGTTTGTTTTTACCAATTAAATTTCTAATAATCTCTAAATGAAACCAGTGTTCCCTTTTTCAGACTATGCCTACTTCAGGAGGCCAGATATTGGGCAAAACAGGCTGGTTTCTTCTAGTAAAGCATTTAGAAAATATTGCCTATTAAAAAATATTTTATGACTTCCTGCTGGGCTGGTTTTAAGTGAAATATGGTGGGGAGATTTATTTACAGTTCTCTGTGTGTGTGTCTTTCTCTTTGCTTTTCTCTAATGAAGCTCAAAGCATCAGGCCATTTATCAGAGATAATTATACAACAGATGGAGTTTTTCCGATATATAATAGTCTCAAAGTGGAAGATTCTTTCCCATAATGAAGAATGCCCAAACTTTAAATGTCTCTTTTGATTTTAATTTAACGGTGTTTTTTTCCCCAGTGCATTTATTCATTCATCCCAAAGCTGGTTCTGCAAAGCATGCTGCTTTTATTAGGGCTGTGTTCTGAAAAGATTGATACTTTGCAGTACAGTATAATAATGTACAGTTATATGCTATATTGAAGTGAAGAGCCATAATTTATCAAAAATCAATGTGTGAGATCATTAAGTTAATCTCTGTCAAAATACAGGAGTTGAGCAGTTCAGCAGTGTTTTCTTATAGAAATTCTTTCTGTTCCATAATGTCAGTTGGATAGGAACTTGTTTAAGTACTGGTAGTATCATCTGACCTTCCATTTGTAGTCAAAATAAGAACCAGATTAAAGCAAAACCATGATTTTTAAGTTATTCATTTTCTGGCTTGCTTTTCTTTTTCAAAACTTTTAATCCTATTTTTAAGTATGCAAGTAAAACATGACTACATTCTCAATTTTTGAATTACAAAGACACAGGTTTAGATAGAATAGAACATGAAAATATTCTAACGTCACCACCATCAATCACCACCACCCAATTCCTACTTTTTACAGAAATAACCGCTGTTTATTCATTATGGGTTGTATTTTTTCTATGCAGCTGTGTACATGTTTACATACAAGATTTTATCTTGGCTGGGTGCTGTGGCTTGCGCCTGTAATCCCAGCACTTTGGGAGGCTGAGGTGGGCAGATCACCAGGTCAGGAGTTCAAGACTAACCTGGTCAACATGGTGAAACCCCCACCTCTACTAAAAATACAAAAATTAGCCTGGCATGGTGTCAGGCCCCTGTAATTCCAGCTACTCGGGGGGCTGAGGCAGGAGAATCGCTTGAACCCGAGAGGCGAAGGTTGCAGTGAGCCGAGATCACTCTAGCCTGGGCAACAAGAATGAAACTTAGTCTAAAAAAAAAAAAAAAAGATTTTATTTTTATATAAATGACAGCATACTGTATATATTGTTTTATAACTGCTTTTTAACTTAATATATTTTAGAGCTCTTTCCAAGTCTACACATGGAGATCTGCCTTACTCCTGCATAATATTCTATATTGCCCTTACTATCCTTTTCTCTACTCTCTTCTCTGGAGGTTGTTTTTAATATTTCACTATTATGAGCCATGTCAAGTAAACAGTTTTGTACGTGGCTAATGGTGCATATGTTATTTTTCCATGATAAATACATAGAAGAGGAACTAACAAGTCAGAGAATATGTATATTTAAAATTTTGATTTGCATGGCAATATTACCTTCCAAAATGACTGTATGACTTTATATTCCTAAGAATGATGTTTGAGAGTGATTGTTTACCACAGCATTACCAATATTAGGTGGGTTTTTTCTTTGTTTCTTCTTCTTTTTTTTTAATAAGTTGGGCAAAAGAATAGCTCATTTTAACTTGTGTTTTCCAGACATCTCCTGATAGTGAGATTCAGCATTGTTTTATGTGTTTATTAGCAATTTATAAGTCTCCAGTGATTTGCCTATCAGTGTTGTTCTTTGCTTATTTATTTTTTATTAGCTATTTTTTTCTTACTGATTTGTAGGAATTCTTTTATATATATATATATATGTAACAAATTCTGGATAAGTATTTGTTACATATATGTAAAAAAAGAATTCTAGATAAGTATTTGTTACATATATTGCCAGTTTCTTTTGGTATGTTACTTGGCTTTTAATTTTCATTTGAGTGCCTTGTATTCATTAGAATTTTTTAAACTTTAAGTCTGTTGGTCTTTTGTCTTCCAGTTTTCTGTCTTTCTTAGAAGGCTGTCTGAATCGTAGAGTTATAAAAATATTTTTCTATGTACATTTAATACTTTCATGGTTTATCTTTTTCTATCGTTAGCTCTTGAGCCCATCTGGAATTTATTTTGTATTTAAGGCATAGAGATTTACCTTTATTTTTTTTTCCCAAGTGGATAACCAGTTATGCAAAAACCATTCATTGAATAGTCCTAGTTTAAAATGCTAATACTATTACATAAAGACATAGATCTGTTCCTAGGCTCTTTATTTTGTTTTATTGGTCAACCTGTATATTTCTGAAACTGGAATATACCTTTATAGTATGTATCAGTAGCTTCTGATTTGGATTATATTGAATATATAGATTTTTTTCAGAATAATTGACATTTTAATAAACTTTTGGGTCTTCTCATAAAGGAATATAGTTTGTCTTTATTTATTCAAACCTTCTTCTATGTTCTTGGCAAGAGAATGTCATCTCTCTGCACAAGTTTAGAGACTAAGCACCAAATTAGCAGAGGCTTTATTTTATGCTACTTTGCTCTGTCCCAGAACACCTAGCACACTGCTGGCATAGTACTCAATAAATGGTTAGTGATTTAAATATTTAGGAAAAGTTTTGTTTTTAATTTTTCTTACTTTTAGAAACCTACTTTATGTGTTTTGATACATTAAAGAAGGGACTTCTCATTGCCTGTACCTGATTTTTGAATAGCTACTTAATTTTTTAAAATAATTTTCTGTACCATACAGTAACCCCAAGACAAAGCAACTCAAAAAAAGGCAGTGTCCCTACCAGATTTTGAAAATTTGGATGCTTTGTGGTGGTAACAATTCATCTCAGACTTTTGGAATAATGAGAGTCATTTTCTGTTTCTCTCTCTCTCTCTCTCTCTCTCTGTCTCTGTCTCTGTCTTCAGTACAAATAGGCACTTGCCTGTTGTAAAATAACCATTTTTGCTCGTTGGTATTTATCACCTAAATTTCCCTCTTGAAGATTCCCACTTGCAAGAGAGAATACTAGCAAGCTTTTAATACTCATTTTCAAAAGTCCCTTAAGAAGTCTGCAGATCTGAAAGGTTAGTTTCCCAAAAGATTACCTCAGTCACTTGTGAGATTATACAGTTACTGATATTCAAACTAGATTTTCAAGCAACATCATCACTGTCCCCCCTGCCCCCAATATGGATTTCTTTAAATGTTCGTATTAAATTAAATGCTCTGTCCTTCTCTGTGAAAGTAAAGGTCATGTAAACAACCACACTTCACACAGCTTTAGCTCTTGCACTCGTCATATTTTTATTTTGTGTAGGTACAAGTAATATGTGACACTGTGCTGATTTTAAATTAAATCTAAGCTTTATTTATGACAAAAATGTTTGGCTGAAAAAAAAACATAATGGCATTTATGTGAATGTGTTGAAGCAGCCATTTTAAGCTTACATAAATATATTTTAATTGTGCTTGTGAACTTCTTTCTGAAAATTCAGAGCTGCCAATGCCAAAAAATGACTATGTAACTGTACATTTTGTATTCATGGCCTCTGTTACTTTATAAACCATCTCACTTTTTGATCCATCAAAAAGATGATTCTTTAGATTTAATAAAAACAATAAGATGGCACCTTAGTGAGGAATTTTTAAAATTCTGAAATATCAGTATAATCCCTTCACTACACAATTAAAATTGTGACATTTTCAACTATTAGTTGCAAAGAGAGATCCTATTATTAAGACCTGACAGTGTTCACTTCTGCCTGTAAAGCAAGACAGTTGGACTAAGGTAATTTCTGTTTAGTGTCACTCATCATATTCCAGCTGTGGTACAGCTAGCTATGGGAAAGGCTCAGCAAAGAGGCAGAAGAGAAGGGCACCGGTGTTCCAAGTTGTTTTTACAAGTCCACGCAACAGTACCTGTGGCCTGAATAGATGTCTTTTTTTCATTAGTCCTGAAGCCTCTTAGGAAGAACATGCACCAGTCATTTCCCTTTCTAAGGAAAGTGTTGCAGCCTTTTTTCAGTAGCTGCTGCAGGCTGAGATTTATGAGAATAGTCTTGCTAGCTGAACTATGTTTGAAAAAAAAAAAAAAAAGCTCTTCCAGTGCTGAGTGGTGTCTCCATTAATGTTGTTATGAGAATCATGCTTGTGTTGATGGTAAAATGCAAATGATGCAAATCTAGAAATCGGAGTTGAGCCTTAGTTAAGCCTGTAAATAGTCAAAAGTGAAGCCTAAATTGGAGAGGTGACAGCCCCTAATTTTGTATTCGTATTAAATATGCTTTGTCACAAGAGAAAAACAAAACAGTGTCTAAAATTAGTACTGATTTTATTAGCCAGGTGATATTTTGACCTCTAATAAAATGGGGATTATTCTATTTTTATCCCCAAGAGGGTGATGATGTCTTAGAATGTCACTGTTAATCGCTGTTGGACTTTATCACATTTTGAAGTATCAGTGGTAAGCGTTTGTCAGCATCTTAACATATGGAAAGGTATAGGATTCTAGGTGAGAGATTACATCTGAAAAACTAAAATTGAACATATTTAACTGCTTACCCAGAATCCTTTGAGAGTTCCATGAAACATGTTTTTACTCTTCTTACATACGTAGCAGAAATGGAATGTCTTGGTTTGAAATTTTGACTAGCTTATTCCACTATCCCTTACCTTTATTTACTTAAATATTCACATTTTGTTGAGACTGGGAAACCCTTTTACTGTTATTTACACTTAGTACATCAGTTGGTTTCTGCAAGACTAGAAATAAGTCAGTTGGCACGTAAGGAGTATGGGGAAATTGGATCTTATATTAACCTTTAGGTTCACTGGTTCTATACCAGTGGTTCTCAAATGTGGTCCAAAGATCCATAGAAGTCCCCAAGTCCCTCTTAGGGCATCCATGAGATCTTTCCTTTTCCAACTACATATTTATGTAATAGTGTGCTTTCTTCATATTCATATAAATAGATTAAATACAGATATAGACATGAAAATCCAAGTAGCTTCCTTTAAGCCAGGCCACTCTCATTATTTTTTAAGTTGCAGTTATTTTTCATAAAAGAGTAAGTTTTTATGTTGACATCTAATTATTTTAATTTTAAATGAAAACATTTTTGTCAAGTTATAATTTCATATGGGATAAATATCAATGATGTAAGATACATAAAAAAAGTTTCTTAGTGTCCTTAGTAATTTTTAAGCTTTAAAAGTTCTCAAGACAGAAAATACTAGCATGAGGACTACCATGCTAGTAAAGAAGTTACAGAAGAAAAGCTTGGAGTTAGCAGAGGTTGGTTCATGAGGCTAAGAAAAGAAGCCATCTCCATAAAAGTGCAAGGTGAAGCAGCAGTTGCTGATGTAGAAGCTGTAGCAAGTTAACAA
The DNA here is from genome assembly GCF_000001405.40 of Homo sapiens. Lineage (NCBI taxonomy): Eukaryota > Metazoa > Chordata > Mammalia > Primates > Hominidae > Homo > Homo sapiens. The sequence goes on from NC_000006.12 coordinate 38,074,643, forward strand.
AAATACCTAGCTGAGATCGCTGATGAAAGTGACTACACTAAACAGCAGATTTTCAAAATAGCGAAAATAACCTTCTATTGGAAGAAGATGCCATCCAGGACTTACAGGAGGAAAAGTCAGTCCCTGGCTTCAAAGGACAGTATGACCCTCTTGTTAGGGGCTAATGTAGCTGGTGACTTTAAGTGGAAGCCAGTGCTTATTTATCCTTCTGAAAAATCCTAGGGCACTTAAGAATTCTGCTACATCCGCTCTGCCTGTGTTCTGTAAATGGAACAACAAAGCCTGGATGACTGCACATCTGTTTATAGCATCATTCACTGAATATTTTAAGCCTACTGTATAGACCTACTGCTGAGAAAAAGATTCCTTTCAAAATATTATTGTTCATTGACAATACACCTTGTCACCCAAGAGCTCTGATGGAGAGGTACAAGGAAATTTATGTTTCCATGCCTGGTAACACAGCATTGATTCTGTAGTCCATGGATTAAGGAGTCATTTTGAGTTTTAAGTCATAATTATTTAAGAACTACATTTTACAAGGCTATAGCTGCCATAGATACTGATTCCTCTCATGGATCGGCCAAAGTAAATGGAAGATCATCTAGAAAGGACTCACCATTCTAGATGCCATTAAGACCATTTGTGATTCATGGGAGAAGGTCAAAATATCAACATTAACAGAAGTTTGGAAGAAGTTTATTCTAACCCTCATGGATGATTTTGAGGGGTTCAAGACTTGGGCAGGGGAAATAATTGCAGATGTGGTGGAAATCACAAGAGGAGTAGAATTAGAAGTGGAGCCTGATGAGGTGACTGAATTGCAATCTCATTATAAAACTTTAATGGATGAGGAGCTGCTTCATATGATTGAGCAAAGGAAAGTGGTTTCTTGAGATGGAATCTACTCCTGGTGAAGATACTGTGAACATTATTGAAATGGCAACAAAAAATCTAGAATATTACATAAACTTAGTTGATAAAACAATAGCAGAGTCTGAGAGGATTGACTCCAATTTTAAAGAAGTCCTGTGGGTAAAATGCTGTCAAACAGCATTACTACAGAGAAATCTTTTGTGAAAGGAAGAGTCAGTTGATCTGGCAGAGTTGGGTTTTTTTGTTTGTTTGAGACAGAGCCTCGCTCTGTCGCCCAGCCTGGAGTGCAGTGGCGCAATCTCTGCTCACTGCAACCTCCACCTCCCGGGTTCACGCCATTCTCCTGCCTCAGCCTCCCGACTAGCTGAGACTACAGGCGCCCGCCACCACACCCAACTAATTTTTTTGTATTTTTAGTAGAGATTGGGTTTCACCGTGTTAGCCAGGATGGTCTCAATCTCTTGACCTTGTGATCCGCCTCCCTCAGCCTTGCAAAGCGCTGGGATTACAGATGTGAGCCACCGATCCCGGCCTCGTTTTCTTTTTTTAAGAAATTGCTGCACCTACCCCATTTTTCAGCAGCTACCACCCCCTGATCAGTTAGCAGCCATCAACATTGAAGTAAGATCCTTCACTAGCAAGAAGAGTATGAATCACTGAAGACTCAGATGATCATTAGCATTTTTTTTAGAAATAAAGTTTTATAAAATTAAGGTATGTACATTGTTTCTTGGACATCATGCTGTTGCACACTTAATAGACTCTACAACATAGTATAAATATAACTTTTATATTCATTGAGAAGCCAAAAAATTTGTGCAACTCGAACTTTATTGCCATATTTGCTTTATTACAGTGGTCTGGAACCAAACCCATAATATCTCTGAGGTATGCCTGTAATTGTTTAGGGGAGTTAAGGTGGAGTGGTAATACGATTTTGTTGAGAAAGACACCCTTATTAGCAAAATAGATAAGCTACCAATTGCAACTTTTGACCCACTTTGAAAATTCCCTTCTCGTAAATTACTAATTTAGATTTAAATAGTGTGAAAGATCATGCACTGAGTTAGGATTAGAACTTCTAACTCTGGGAGATTAACACTTAGATTCCTTAAAAAGTTTTGTAAATGGTTTAATTTGGAAGTTTCATTTGGAGAAATAAGAGGGCTATTATCTGTGTGTTGAAGAATTTCTGTAAACTTAGATTCCAACTCACTATATGTATCCTTGTTTTTAATTGATGGGGCTTTTCAAACTCAATTATATAGACAGCCTAGGTGTGTCCTTTCTGATTAAAACAATTCATGAATCCCAGGTTTAGGGTGAGGTTGGAGATTAGGGTTTTCTTTTCTGAAGAGATTACTTTTCTTGTGCATTCTACTGTGTACCTGATACACATTAAATACTGTCAATTCTTTGCTATTTTAAATCTCCATTTGTATATTGAAGGTAAAAGAAGGAATATTTAACTGCTCAAGAAATGTAGATTGTTTGAATTTTTTGAAGATAATTTTACATTCTTAACATGGACACATCAGGAAACAGTGCAGTTTGTTTCACTATCTCCATTGCATAGATTTTTTGAGGTTTATTTTGTCCTTTTTTTTTTTTTAAGAGGAATCCTCATCAAGAAATTCTTGATAAGATATCCTGAATCTCTCTCTGCCCAGGGAGGCTTAGGAGGAAAAAAAAAAGATATTCTGAATCTCTACAGAAGGGAGAGAATTGTAGCCCTTTAATTTGTTGTCCAGAATTACCTTTAGAACTGTGAGCCTGGAAAAGTGAGATGCTGCAAAGGTAAACAATGTACAGATTATGATAGAGTGGAATTGACAAGCTGGTTAAAAACGGATGATGCATTTTTAATTAGCCTACAGTGCCTTTAGTTGATAAAATAATTAGATACTTTTATGTAAATGTCATGTTAAGTAAGAAAATTGAAGTGTTACAGATCTACAAAAGGAATGGCTATTTTTGAGTATTAATGTTTTACAGTTACTATGAAAGGACTGATAGTAGAATATTTGATTATTGTGCTTCTGGCAATGTTTAGCTGACCAATTCCGTGGTAGTCTATTTTTTTCTAATTGATGTGCTGTTATTTGTGTTGAAGGTTTTTAGCACATGATTAACTGCAGCAAGTGAGGGCTAGTGGAACCAGAAGCCAAAAATAACCAGTCGTCACAGCTATTTTAACAAAACTTTTCAGAGTAGATTGTTGATCTCTATTTCAAGATTAAGAAGAAATGGTATTTTTCTGTATTTACTCAGCTGTGGATTTTGAGTGCGTGAAAGGCTAAATGCAGCTATCCTCCAAACCACTGTTCTTGACTTCCTCCTTGAGTTGTAGTCTTCAACTAGCCGATGGGATTGACCACTACATGAGTAGGTAGCCCTGGGTTTTTTGACATGCTCAGTAACTCTATAGGAGACTGGAAAAATATAAGAATTCTGGTGCTTCACTTTGAAATGTGTGTGTTGATAGTTAATGGGGTATCTTTATTTACTTCTGTTTTTGCAGGTTACAGTGAAGTGAGTATGCAGATTTGACCCATGTCTTCAACTTTATAGGGCTGCAGTCAGTACTCTTTCCCCGGGAAAATCTACTACCATATTGCAAATGCTGTAACAATTTCTACTTGTTGGGAATACAGCTGAAGAATATAGTTTCATGGCTTTTATGTGGAATTGCAAATGTGATCCATAGTGCTGCATTATGTATGACATCTTTAATACAAGAATAGAAACATCCCTAGAAGAAAAGGTAGAATATTCACTCTTCTCTAGTCACAAACCAGTTACCAGAGGCTTTATTCACATGCAAACTCCAAACTTTAAATTGTTGAAACTTGACATTTTTTAAGGAAAAAGTCCTCTGAATGTAATATCAAATGCAAAATGTTAGTCTGTTAATAAATATCTCCGGATAATGAAGAAACTTGAAAAAATTCAGTTAATTTGCTTTAGCAAAAGAAAGCAAAAAGCATTTATGATGATTGGCTAAAAGTTATTTCAGGTTGGTTAATCTTGATATCATCTGGCTCAGAATCCCAAGAACCTGTTGTATTAAGCAAGGAACTTTGTAATTTTTTTAGACATTAATAAACCCAAACTCAGTTGCCACTGATACAGGCTAGAAGATAATGGTTTTAATTGTTCTGTGCTTAGAAATACATCTATTGTCCCAACCTCAGTCCCGGTCAACACACACACATACGTACTACATTTATCTATAGAACCCACAATCATGAAGAGGCTTTCTCACCTTTTTCTTTAGTTACTACCTCTGTCTACCCTGTTGTTTGGAAAGAAGAAGAAAGGTGAAAAATGGGAGCCAAGTTTACAGTGAGTCATGGGGACTTACGCCAGCCACACTCTCCGGCATTAGAAAGTCCAGAGAGGAACTTTGACCCTTAATGTCAACTCTCAAAACTATTTTGTTTGCTGCAACCAAATGTTACCCATGTTATATATTTTGTTGTTGTTGTGGACAGAAACCTGAAAACATTTTCTGTGAGTGGCCCTTAATTTCCTGCATTGATTTTAACAGAGTTGATTTGGAACTACCTGTAATTGTGTGGATGACAGCGCAATTAGTGTAGAATATATGTGTGGTGCTGACATGTTCCTGTTCTGGGTTTTAAAGTGTTTCATAGGTTGTAGTTTGCCAGACCAAATTTAACTCTAAGCTCTCTGTTTATAACATTGCCCAATTATCAAAGCTGGGATATATTATTACTGCCAGTTACTCTTGCTGTCAATTTGTCTTGGCTCAACTATGGTTCCATTTGTACTTTACTGTAATATAGTGAATACATTGGATTAGGTTGTTAGTTTAACAAGCTCTCTGGAGAACACCTTCATGATGATGCATGTTGAGATATGCTAGGAAGCCTTAAAGTTTATTTGCAGAAACCTACAGAAATGTATTCACTAGAAATTTTTAAAAGAATAAACTCTCAACCTAAAGACAAGGTAAAGATTCTCTTATTTGATAATCCTCTAGAACATATGTAAATATGTGTTAATTCATGAGTCTCAGCCAGATTTCTTTAGGGATTTTGATTTGACAGTTTCTCCTTTCTTATATAATTCTACTGGATGAATTATTTTATGTGCTTTAAAAAAAGCATTTTGTTAGTTAAGCTGTTACCCTTGTGCACTGTGCAGCTCATGGTGTTATGGGAACTTAGTGATCTTGGCCAGATACCGAGTTAGGGGTAATCAGAAATTAGAAATGACTGGACTGTTAATATTTACATTGTGCTCAGCTGGTTTATAAAAGTACACTAACTTCCTCCTATGTCCACCCCAATCTCTTACATCAAAATTTCCAGGGTCAGGGCTTGGGAACTTGTATTTTAAAAAATGATCCCCAGGACTTTCTGGGTGTTGGGAATGTTCTCATATTTTAATCTATGGTTGTTACATAGTGTGTATGTGTTAAAATCCCTCAGGATGTACATTTAAGTTCTATACACATCATTCTAATATTGCATTCTCTCAAATGTTACACCCTAATTTTAAAAGTTCCTCCAAAAAAAAAAAAACACCACATGTTCTCACTCATAAATGGGAGTTGAACAATGAAAACACATGGACACAGAGAGGGGAACATCACACACCAGAGCCTGTCGGAGGGTGGGGGTCTAGGGGAGGGATAGCATTAGGAGAAATACCTAATGTAGATGACAGGTTGATGGGTGCAGCAAACCACCGTGGCACGTGTATACCTATGTAACAAACCTGCACATTCTGCACATGTATCCCAGAACTTAAAGTATAATATATATATATATATTAAAATATATAATCTGTTACTCTTCTGATTAAATAGTTCGCAGTAGTCACTTAATGAACGTTATTAAGCATTCACTGTCTATGTAGCAATGACCCAACAGTAGATAACAGTGTGATTCTTGATCCTTGGGAACATAAAATCAAGTGGAAGAGAAAGTGATAATACATAATATAAAGTTTTATGGTTTATGACATCTTTCTGTACAGATGATTCATCAAAAGTCGCTTATTGGCAGTTTTACTATTTCCATTTTTTTGTTTGTTTTGTTAAAGAAACCGAGGATCACTTATCCAAGATTACTCAGCAAGTAGGGAGTAGTTGTCAGACTTTAACTCAGTCTTCTAAAAAGCCTATACTTTTCCAGAAATAAGAAGGCTTCAGTTAACAAAAACAAAGAACCCTTACATGGAAGCAGAAGTTACAGCATTTTATGGAGCTATAGAAGCCAGTCCAGGAGGGTTTTTGAGGATGTTGAGGCTGTGTTAGCTTTGCATGTTTCTCATTGTCTCTTCTTGTTCCCTGTTTTCATGTCGCAGTTTACCATTTGAACCTCTGGAATTTTAGTCCATTACACTTTATCTGGTGAATGTGGCATTTGTAGAAAAATGTTCAGTTGAAATTACTCTGCTCTCTGGTCTGCCTTTCGAAACTGCAATTTATTCTTGCCTCATTTTCAAATTCTTGCATTTCCAAGTAATACAAGCCAATGATGAATGTTCTCCTTCCTCATTACATATAGCCTTTATTACCTGTTTCATGTTCTTTGGCACTCGGCCACTTTCTATCTAGCTATTTATTGCTGTCATGTATTGTTCTGCATTTATGTACAGAAGTTTTTTCTTTTTTTTTTTTAAAGAAAGATTATGATCTCCATGACTGTGTGGTGACACATAGTAGGTATTTGCTAAGTGTTCTTTGAAGTCAGCAGTGCACTTACTTGGTTTTTTCCTCTTTTAAAATTTCCCATCTGTGTCTTCTTACACTCACTAAGGGTTGTTGCTGTTATGGCCTTGTTATAGTAAAGAGTAAGCTAAGAGGGAGCTCCTTAGGTGGGCTCTCCAAGTCCTTAAACCCATGAATCTCGGCACTATACACTCTAGGAACAGGTCTCAGAGCTCTTTCATCTTTCCCTCCTTTTCAGTGAGTAAATTAAATGATATGAATTATTGTTGTAGGAGATACACAACTCTGCCAAGTAACCATCTTTTACTTCTGCTAGTCACAGTCACCTGGGGACCCTTTTTAAAATAAATGTGTAACATTTGCCTATGTGTCCTATTCCTTTATGATCACCACTGCCCATCCCAGGGCATGTCATTGGGGAGTGTTGGGGTATGTATCAATATCAACCTCAGAATGTGTTGAAGGTCTTGATTTTGCAGAATGAAATTATTGATTTTCAAGCCTTCACTCACCCAACAACTATATCTCTTGCATACTCTTGAATTATGCTTATGCATCAGATCTCTGGGCCCACCAAGATTCCATAAAGGGCCTCTCGATATCATATTTCTTATAATGAAACTAGATATTCTTCCTTGGTCAGCAATGCTTTCTTTATATATGAAAATGATTCTTATTTCTTCTGACAAGCAGTTTATTGTTTCTTAAGGCCCCCTCCCCTTATTATGTAAGGCTAGTTTTTCAGTAAATTCCAAGGTAGAGTGACTGCTGAGAAACCAACCTAAGAGAGAGTACTCTTGCTCATCGTTCTGTGGAAGATTGCATCTCCCCAAACTTGTGGGTAATTTCCTCTCACCCAGATCTGAATTCTAATTAAATTTTTATTCTTTAACTTGTTAACATTATGTGAGACTCGGCTGTTTTTTTTTTTTTTGTGTGTGAAAAGCATGTTAGAATGTAGAAAGACTATGCATCTCTGTAGACTAAATTGCTGAACTAAAATTAGGTCCTTAGAATTAACCCACCACCACCGTCTTTCCTACTACTTCTCCTCGTTATATTTTCAGGTTGATCTTTTCCTTTTTAAAGTTTCTCTTTACTCAGGAAAGCAACTATATGGGCATGTAAAGGATGTGTCCTGACTGATGCACCTGCCTTTCTGTTTCTAGGTGGGCCATGCACAGACACAGCTCATGTCTCATTAATCACACCAACAAAAAGATCCTGTGGTACAGGTATGTACGTCATTCTTATGTGAATTCATCCTTATTTGAATTCTTCACAGAAGTTAGCAACTGGTTCTAACTTGGTGTGCTTCTCAGGGTACTCTGATTTCTTCCGTCAGTTGTGAGGTGATATGTGCTTAGTATTCACGGCGGAGTGTCAGCAGAGGTCAGAATGATGTTTTTGGGGAGTCAGATTGACTGAGTAAATGCAGCTAGATCCAAGAAGGTGGACATCAAAATATACATAATTTCTAATATCTGAAGAACGTTATTAAGACACAACAGAAATGCAGATCATTGCCCAGTTTGTAGCATGTAACTAATCTGAGGGCCAAGATTGAAATTTTAATAGTTTTAATGTAGAAAATCAGTGTTTTAAATTGACTATTGTAGTATCCTACTATTTTTGGATAATTATTTTCTGTCATTCGATTTAAAGCCGTGGATATACTGAAATTTCTCTTCTAGATGCATAGAATCCCAAAAACATCTTTGTGCATCTGTGACATTTTTATTAAATATGAAGTCATGAATCTTGTGGCTCTCTAAAGAGCAGTCAGAATGCCCATTGTTGCCTTCGCCTGTAGCTTAATTTATTTTAAGCGATATTTGCCTTTTCTAATAATGCTGTCTGCTATTTAAAATATCTCAAGGATTATATTTGGAAGAGTCAAAATAATTATATTGTTTTTCTAAAGGTCACAGAGTATTTTTCATAACTTAAAAAATCCTTGTAACTCCCCAGCAGAAGTAGCACAAACTGTTTCCATGTACAAACTTAACACTGCAACCTCAGCTCCTTTAAATGCTCATAATTTGATGCTAGGCCTCAGTCAGGCCCATGTTTGCATAGTTTCAAAGTAACATCCAGGCACTGAATTCTAAGGAACTCAGTTGTACTCTTCTCTTCCAAATGACCAGCTTTGAGGTAGGGTAGGGGGTGTGAGATAGTCTTGGCATGTTCTTATCCCTCTTGTGCCCGGTTCCCAAGCTCCACTAGGTAGAGTAGATTTCTTTTTTTTACTGAGGTAGAAAAGAGCTGTGCCTGAAGTGAGATAGACCATCCTGATTTTAGCCAGCGGGAAGTCAGAGAGCCAACTACCTGCCCACTCCAGCCAGAAGCTTGAAAACATTCAGTGTCCTTTGATTTGAGGTCCAGCACTTCAAATGCACAGTACTTTAGTCTTTTGTTTTTCCTTCCAATCTTGGCCCTCAGAGAAGGCTTTACTGTTAAGCACTACCACTATGTTCAGGTAGCAGTCAAGGAGTTGAACCTTGAACACACTGGGTCATCCTGAGAGGTTTGGGAAGGAGACTCATGTACTCAGATGCTGAAACAAGCAGGAAACTCTGGTGAATATCATTTACTTGTGTCCATCTTCTAGGTAGATCTGTTTCCTCCTCTCTGATCCTATACTATTTTGTGTATCTAAAACTAATAATGATATTTATTGTATGCTTACTACATTGCCAGGTATTATTCTGTATATTTTATATACATGGTAATTTAATTTTCAGAACAGTTCTTCAAGATAGTTATTATTTTTCCTCTTTTACAGATGAAAAAAATGTAGGCACTCATAAACTTAAGTATATTTTCTGAGATAATATTGCTAGTAAGTGATGGAGCCAAGACTTGGACACGGATCTTTAAGACACTAAAGCCTGCGCTGTTTTCCCCTATATCATGCTACTGCTTTTCACATTTTATTGTAATTGTTTCTTCTCCTAACCAGACTGTGGAAAAGCAGACTGTTGAATGAAATATGGAAAAAATGAAACATATATTTGGAAATATAGCATACACTAAAGTAGTTTGAAAATGTGAGTTCTAAAATCACATCTGGTTTCAGATCTAAGCTTAGCCACTTACCAGTTGTGATTTTAAGTAAATAAGTTAACATCTCAAAATTTTGTTCTTCATCTGTAAAATGGGATGATAAATCTCTCAGGTTTGGTGTAAGAAAAAAATAATATGCTCACCTAATAGACCTTCAATTACTGGTAGTTTCCATCATCTTAATGAGGATTATATCTTTATAGTGAGCACCCATTAGATGGTGTTGATAAATACATCAATGAGTATTTTAGGCAGAAAGAAGAGTAAAGTAGAAGTACTGGCATTCTTTGCTGTACTCAGTTTTATTAACTGATTTTATATTGATCACGTTCTTTGTTACATGTCAGTATTATAGTGGCAGTTGAAGGTGGTAATATTTTTAGATCTCCGTTAGTGAAATGACAGGCATTGAGCTCTCAGTCATACCTTTGTAGGCCTTCGTTGAGGTGAATACCTACCTCTTAACTAGAAAAAGATGGAGAATTTCTTGCTTGGAAGGAAATTAATGCAATGTCCAGGTCATCTCCTAAAAAGCCTGAAGGAAAATTGAGATTTCTCAGCAATGGACATTAAAGGTCATCAAGTTAAGCCAGCTGTACTTCTTTTCAAGAAGACTGTTCTGTGCCCTCTTAGGCTAGCCAGACTGCCTCAGCCTTAAATATTGGCCCTGACTCTAAAGGACAGAGCTTCCTGATTTTGAGAGGTAAATTGAAATGATTTATTTTGAGAACCACAGGTTGACTGTCTTTGTCTCCATCTTTCTCTGTGTCCTGCAGTCAGCAGGTTGCCCATGGTGGGGATTTCAATCATTTTTCTTCTGAACCACCAATTGTTATTGTTATTTTGCTGGAATGTTCTTTGTAGCCTTTATGTCTAGGCTCTTCAAGTTAGGATTCATATCTATGACATGTGCTGTACAGTGCTTCTACTGTGAGGTAGTCTCCCAGACAGAAACCACATGGGCCTTCAGGCATAGATGGTCAGTAAATAATTACTTTACAGTGGTGTCATTTCTTAGGAGACACAGAGTGAGACCTTAAGTGAGATCTTACCTACCTCCTCCCATCCAATCTATCCATACAAGGTTGGACCTAAAGCAGCCTTGAGCTTAATAATGATGTGTGTTAGAACAAGGATACTGAGATTAGACTAAGGTGGTTCTTTAAGTCAGCCGTCTCTGACAAAGGGCACACAATGTACTGTCTGAGGTGTGTGGAGAAAATAGCAAAAGCTCTTTATCTCAGCCTTAATTTATATTTTGCAAATTCACTTTATTATATGTGTGTGTGTTCATACATATACTTTTATTTATTTATTTATTTTTATTTTTTAATAAAGACAAGGTCTTATTATGTTGCCCAGACTGGTCTCAAACTCTTGAGCTCAGGCAGTCCTCTCGCCTTGACCTCCCACAGTGCTAGGATTACAGGCATGAGCAACCGTGCTCAGCCCATACATGCAGTTTATAAACAGCAAATACACACACAAATATATACATATTAAAGGTACATGGCCAGTTAGATAGGACTATGCAGTTTAAAAAGGTTAATGACTTCTTCAGTAAACAGATCATTTTCTTCTTAGTACTTTGAAAATTAGCTCTAAGGATTAGCATTAGACCCATTATTATGTGGTTTAGTAAGTGAAGACCTCAGTGATTGATTAATCAGTCACCATTTGTATTTCAAGCAATTACTGTTTTGATCAGGTGAAGGGTATTGTCATATTTTAGAGGTGGGCAGCAGTGTAGAGTGGTTGGTCTACAACTATCAAAATGAGAGAGGCAGCTCTTTTTTAAGAAATTGTTTTGTGATCACTGTGAGTCTACGAAGCAGATTGCAAAAAGTAGCTGTAGTAGCAAATGAAAGATCAGTTTGTCTTTGTGAGATAGATGGGAAAGACTTTTCTTTATATGATGGCTTTTAGCCAGACAGAATTATTAACAGTTAAACTCATTGTAATCTTTAGATTAAAAAAAAATAAAAAAGCAACACGATGATCATTTTGGTATTTAAACAGAGAGAAATTAGATAGATGAAGGGTGTGTGGTCGTTCCCACTCCACCCCACCCCTACCATCTTTGTAGAGTTCTAGGATCTCCACAGTCAATGAAGAGTTGAAAAGTACTGCCAAGTCCTAGGTTGCTTTTGGTTAGAATGTGTGAGTTAAAGCACATCATACCTTCAGATTACTAGACAGAGTTTACATTTCTTCAGAGCTCAGAATGTTTTCCACATGTTCCCTTGTTAATTCTCACAACATTCCTGCCAAGAACAAGTATTTTGTGAAGGAAAGAGATCACTTTCCTTGGCAACAAACTACAAGAAGATTCCCTTTTGTCCCTCATCTTTTCTAACCGTCAAGTTATACCTTCAGCTAATAAAATACTGTAACCGGAGTTACAGTCATCTCCTTTAATTTTATTTGGAAGGTATTTGGATATTTAGCTGGCTATCTTCATGACAGTATATTTTTATGTTTAAAGTGGGCACAGATTCAATGCAATCCCTATCAAAATACCAGTGACATTCTTCACAGAAATAGAAAAAAATCCTAAAATTTATATGGAACAACAAAAGACCCAGAATAGACAAAGCTATCGTAAGCAAAAAGAACAAAACTGGAGGAATGACATTATGAGACTTCAATTTATACTACAGAGCTATACTAACCAGAACAACCTCAAACTGGCATAAAAAGATATGTAGACCAATGGAATGGAATAGAGAACCCAGAAACAAATCCACACACCTACAGTGAACTCATTTTTGACAAAGGTGCCAAGAACATATACTAGAGAAAAGAAAATATCTCCAATAAATGGTGCTGGGAAAACTGGATACTCATGTGCAGAAGTATGAAACTAGACCCCTGTCTCTCTCCACATACAAAAATAAAATCAAAGTGGATTAAAGACTTAAATCTGAAACCTCAAACTATGAAACTACTACAAGAAAAGATTGGGAGAAATATCCAGGACATTGGTCTGGGCAAAAATTTCTTGAGCATACCCCACAAGCACAGGCAACCAAAGCTAAAATGGACAAATGCGATCACATCAGGTTAAACAGCTTCTGCACAGCAAAGAATACAGCTAACAAAGTGAAGAGACAACCCAGAGAATGGGAGAAAATATTTGCAAACTACTCATCTGACAAGGGATTAATAACCAGAATATTTAAGGAGCTCCAACAACTAAATAGGACAAAATCTAATAATCGATCAAAAAAACAGACAGAAGATTTGAATAGACATTTCTCAAAAGAAGACCTATGAATGGCAAACAGACATATAAAAAGTTGCTCAACATCATTGATCGTCAGAGAACTACAAATCAAAACTACAATGAGATGTCATCTCACCCCAATTAAACTGGCTTATATTCAGAAGACAGGCAATAACAAGTATTGACAAGGATGTGGAGAAAAGGAATTCCTTGTACACTGTTGGTGGGAATGTAAATTATTACAACCACTATGGAGAACAGTTTGGAGGTTTCTCAAATAATTGGGCTCCCATATGATCCAGCCATTCCACTGCTGGGTACATAGCCAAAATAAGGAAATAAGTATACTGAAGTGGTATCTGCACTCCCATATATATTGCAGCACTATTCACAATAGCTAAGAATGTTTCCAGCATGAAATGTTTCCTTGCTGTTAGGTTACTGGAAGTTTATATGATATTTTAAAAATTGATTCAGAAGCTAAAGAGTGTTGGTATTAAATCAGAAGTGGCCCCATAAATCTTAGTAATACCTACACTTATGTGTTTTATCTCCTGGTAGAGTCAATATTCATGGAAACAATATTCATTGGAAGCAACCTAAGTATCTACCAACAGATGAATGGATAAAGAAAATGTGGTACTTATACACAATGGAGTATTATTCAACCATAAGAAAGAATGAGATCCAGTCATTCTTTTTTTATCTGTTCCATCATTTGCAACAACATGGATGGAACTGGAGGTCATTATGTTAATTGAAATAAGCCAGGCACAGAAAGACAAACGTTGTACTTTCTCTTTTATTTGTGGGATCTAAAAATCAAAGCCGTTGAACTCATGGACATAAAAAGTAGAAGGTTGGTTACCAGAGGCTGGGAAGGGTACTGAAGGGTTGGGGAAAGAGGCGGGGATGGTTGATGGGTACCAAAAAAATAGAATGAATAAGATTCACTATGTGATAGCACAACAGTGTGACTACAGTCAATAATAACTTACTTAAAGAGTGTAATTGTATTGCTTGTAACTCAAAGGGTAAATGCTTGAGGGGATGGATACACCTTTTCATTTTATAGTCCTTTTATTTCTGAAATTAAAATAAGAAAGAATTCATAGGCAAGTTTGTGGACTTGACAGTATTGTCAACAGACTTTTGCTCCGCTCTATCTATATTCACTTTTACTCTTCTTCCAGCACATATGTTGAGTAGATAATATTCTCTCTGATAGACTTGAAAAAGGATGGTTAAAACATGCTGTGTGTATGTTTAAAATGTGATTATAATTAGTAGAGCAGCAAATAAAATAACTATTTGTGAGGCCATAAGGGAGCTGTAGAAGTGTCTGAGATTAAAGCAGATGAGACTAAGAACTGTTCCATTAAATATCAAGGCAGTTTTTCCAGAAAGTGTCATCTTTTTACCCTATAAGAAGCATGTTAATTCAATTTTACTTTATATCCCTCTCTCCCTCCCTCCCTATTTTCGGTCACCTGTTTTCCTTTCAGTGTGACAAACAGTGACATGAACTAGAATAGCTTTGTATTGTTCATTGTTCTCTTTTTTCCCCCAAAAAAGAGAACAGTTTTTCCCTTTTCTTGACTCACTTCTTTTTTTATTTGAGATAGAATCTTGCTTTGTCACCCAGGCTGGAGTACAGTGGTACAGTGGTGCGATCTTGGCACACTGCAACCTCTGTCTCCCGGGTTCAAGTTATTCTCCTGCCTCACCCCCACCCCCCAAGTAGCTGGGATTACAGGCACCTGCCACCACACCCGGCTAATTTTTGTATTTTTAGTAGAGACAGGGTTTCACCATGTTGGCCAGGCTGGTCTTGAACTCCTGACCTCAAGTGAACCACCTGCCTCGGCCTCCCAAAGTGCTGGGATGACAGGCATGAGCCACCACACCCAGCCTTGACTCACTTCTTTTGTACAGCCTGCTTATGATATTGTTTCTTCTTGCAAAGACGAGAAGAAAACCCCCTTCATCTGGAAGTTAAGAGAAGATTGATGTGCTGAACACTTTCACATCAGTGTTTGGAAGCCAGTTAAAGGGAAATGTTTCCTTGTTGTTAGGTTACTGAAAAGTTTATATGAGATTTTTAGAATTGATTCAGAAGCTAAAGGTGTTGGTATTAAATCAGAAGTGGCCCCGTAAATCTTGGTAATACCTACACTTGTGTGTTCTGTCTCCTGGTAGAGTCAATATTCATGGAAACATTTCAGCCAGTACATTTAATCCTAGAGAGTTGTGTCAGTGGCTATGAACTGTATTGTTCAATATTACACACTATAGTTGGCTCTTCCAAGGAGGACTTCACATCTTCCTCTGCTCTGTGAAGTTTTGTTTTTGTTTTTGAGAGGGAGTCTCGGTCTGTCACCCAGGCTGGAGTGCAATGGTGCGATCTCAGCTCACTGCAATCTCCATCTCCCGGGTTCAAGCAGTTCTCCTGCCTCAGCCTCCTGAGTAGCTGGGACTACAGGTGCGTGCCACCACACCTGGCTAATTTTGTATTTTTGGTAGTGACGGGGTTTCACCATGTTGGCCGAGCTGGTCTCGAACTCCTGACCTCAAGTAATCTGCCCACCTTGGCCTCCCAAAGTGCTGGGATTACAGGTGTGCTCTGTGGCATTTTAAAGGGAGGTAGCTTCGGGTGTGAGTTCAACTGTATAATTCACTTTTCAAATCTTTCTTGTTGGTCCTTCAGGTATAGCTCTTCCCTCAGGTCTGCAGTATCAGCATTTGAGGCAGAAAATTAGAAATTTGACCTACTTATGTAATATGCAAGTTCCCATCAGGAGAATATTAGGGAAGATATAAACCTTTCATTTTTTATTAGTGTTTAATGTAACCATTGAAGAAAGATCAAAACAGTAAATCTGTCATGGCAAGGAAAAAGTATTTAAATAAATGTTTTACCTTATGCACTCATCATCTTGGGTCCTGAAGGAGTTCATTTGATTCCTGGGGCAGGGGACAAAAGGAATATCAAATATTTGGCAAGATTGCAAAAATTTCTCTAATCAAAAAGGTGCCATCTGACCATGTTTTGCCACAGAAAGCAGTTCTCACCAAAGTTTATCATGGCATGTCATAGTGGCTGTTTGCTGACAGTGTGTGGGTTTTGGCCATTCAGTGGATGACTGGGAAAGGGAAATAATCTACTAATTGCTTTCCCTTGGGTTTTTTGTTTCCCTGGAAGAACTTTAATCAGTCTGCTTCTATTGTTTATGTTGAAGAATAGAATGAAGGAGTGAGGTAAAATATACTAATAATTAGATGATTTGATACTCAATATGTAAATAATAGGTGGGTTTAAAGGCACCTCACACAATGTATAGATTTCAGATAAGATGAGGGAAAATTAACTGTTTTGTAATTGGAGCCCTAAATGAGAGTTAGGTCCCATTGCCACCTACGTTTGTGTTACAGCACAATGTATAATGTGTCAGTTTGCTATACTTAAAGTCAAAAACTTGTATCCAAGGCCTCGTTTGGGCTTTACTCAGGAGAAGCAGGGGCTCCTCTTCTGAGAAAAGGCTGAACATAAGTGAATAAGTGGAACATCAAGCCAGGATGCAGTCTAGTCAAGAGGAATTTTTGCACTTGAAAAATAAAAATGCACTCTAGTATAAAAACGAAGGGAAGCGTCATGTGGCTTGTTGCTCTTTTGGAGATGTGTGTGTGTAAGAAGTCCAGGCTTTGCTGTTGAGCTTTTCGTGATTCACATGCTTTGCACAAAGTCAGTTTGCATCAGTCCACAAATGCAGTTACAGCTGGTTTTTTTTTTTAATAGTCATTTATTTTATCATAGGTTGCATTCTTACCAAGGAGAAAGAGCCCTGAACTTTCATTAATTAGCTGTTCTGTTGCTCCACTGGGGCAAAATGCCTGAGCCAATACTATTTAAAAAGCATATCGGGAATTTAATTCCCCTCTCCTCCTTTGAAACTTTAGGATTTTTTTTTTTTTTTTTTTTTTTTTTTGGTGGGGGTGTATAGGTCTGGGGAGTGCCTTTCAGGTGCTGCTCCATAGCATGTGTGTGCCTGTTAGAAGGCAGCATGTTAGAAACGCAGCCTTCCCAAAGCAGTCTTACCAGAAGGAGTGGGATAGAACAGCCACAAAGCAACATTATAAATCGTCTGAGCCTTGCAATGATACTGCCCATTAAGGAGCCTTTTTTTTTTTTTTTTGCCCCACTCAGTTCCTGGCTCTACTAATAGAACAGCGCATCAAGCAAGGCTGTAAATAAAAGTTATTACATAATAGGTGGGTGCCGAAGTGGAACAGACGGAGCTGAGGCATGGAGGCCTTATTACTGCTCATCAGCAATTATAAACAGGATAAAGTGTCTGGGACTTGCGCTGATGCAGCGAGGGCTAATAGAGGCTGGGGATGACACTGGGCAATGATAGGATGATGTATGCTGATGGGTTTTACTGCCTCATCTTGCTGCTAGCTTCCAAGACAAGTTGTATTCTCTGTTTTCCTGCTTGCTCATCTGTCTGAAGAGATGGTCCCATTGCCTCTCCCGCCAGCAGGTGGGCTGGCATTTATTCCTCATACCTGTGTCTGCTTCCAAGGCACCCCCCTCGAGAAGGATCTTCAGAAATATTTCATAATCATGGCCGATTAAAGTTGTAATCTTATTGTATAGTCTGCCATCATAGTTACAGATCACACCCTCAGAAGGAGTTGCTTATGTGGATTATAGCACCAGCTGAGACACTGTGGTTAGGCAGCCAGTCCAGCACTTTACTAAAAGACTGCTGTGACAGAGTCCTGTAGTAGATTCTGTAGGAACATGCAAAAGAAGTGATAAATGTGTATCTTGCCCCTGGGAGCTTACACCATAGAGAGAATAAGTACAGAAACAAGTACAACTAATTCCAGCTTTTGCGAGCAAGAGATGTAACTTATGTTTATTTCAAAAAGTGAAGAACAGGAAGATAGATTATGCCAATCATTAGGAGCAAATATAGTACTAATGTTGTATTTTTCTTTTCAAGAATTATCTTCCTCGTGAAATGCTTAGAATTCACTTTAGAGTCATGGGGAATGATGAAGGGATACTAGAATGTGGAGGGAAAGTCTAGGAGTAGGACTGTGTTTTCCAGTGAATGGAAAACTTCAAATGTGACTTGGCAATGCTTTTGAGTAGCACATGAGCACCTAGTACTTGGAAAAACTGAGATACAGCTCTGTTCAACTTCGAGTGCTCAACTTCACTAAATCACAGTAATGAGACCTTTGAGATAGGAGAAATCTGTAACGGAGCCACAGAAGAATACTTTTTGGAAAGGGCTTTCCGGTTTGATCCAGGAGTTTATCAGCATTCTGGTACTTCATGTATTTGTCATTTGTGCCTTTAAGTAAATACACATCTTTATGTGTAGTACCCTCAAAACTAACCTATCAGGAGACTTCCTACTGTTAGAGATATTGTAGTTTTTCTCTGATGCCTTAAGGTGTGCCTAGGTGTATCTCAGTTTTGAAGAAGCCTAATACATGCTAATCCCAGTAGTATAAGCTACATAAACTAAGAATTAATGTTATAGGAGGATCCTTCAGTCTATAAAATGCCTTGCCATTGGGTTAATGTAAATAGGTTTTTCCTTTTGCATATAAAGTAATACTTGACTTGCCAAAAAAACCAGTTCCTACTGATTTATTCAGGAATGTTCTGTGGGTAGTGGCCAGTGGAATAGAGAAAGAGAGATAAATCTGATTAAGATATGTTTGAAAAGAGTAATTGACAGGATTTGATGGCTGATTAGAGTTGGCTGAAGAAAGACTGCAAAGTATAAATCTGGAGAACTGAGGGAAGAAAGATGTAACTGACAGGGAAGGAGTAGGAAGAAAACTTGATTGAAACTATTTTCAGTTTCTGATGAGTTAAATTATTATAGTCCTATAGAAAATTATAAATATGAGCCTGTTTTAGAAATTGCTAATTTAGAAACAATGATTAAAACTGTGCAAATGAATAAAGAAGAAGAATGGGGGGTAAGGACTGTGTTTCAGGGCAGGAAAGAGAAAGAGGAGCCAGTGAGTTAAGGAAGCTAAAGAAAGGAGAAAGCTTCCCACAGGATCATGAAAGATGCATGAGAAGAGGGATCAGGAAATGTGAGGACTAAGGAAAGCTATGGCCATGGCTAGCAGAAGATCACTGGAAAACCTGAACGAAGTTTGTGTAATGTGTGGGAAACGAAAGCCTGAAATCATTAAAGAGGGCCTTGATAACAAGGAAATAAAGGCAGCAGACAGAAATCATTCATTATGGAGTTAATTGAACCATTAAAAACTAGCAAATAGTGGTGGTTGGAGGGAGAGACAGGGTCGGGCATTTTTTGGTGTGGAGGTGGTTAAAATAGTGAACTATTTTGCCCCTACTAAAATACAAAGAAAAGGGATCCAGGAAGAGAAATAGAAAAGATTAGAGGAGAAATGGAAGAGGCATACAAGCAAGACTCAGCAGAGGCAGAAACCCAGAAGGGTTATTTCTATCTAAGAGTGTAAGGAAGGACATACAGTCAGAGATTTTCTCAGTAAATGAGTAGATAGTTAGCTGAGACAAGATGAACTAGGGAGTTTCTCCTAGAAAAGGTGGTCGCCGTGTTCTGATTAAAGGAAAAAATAATACCATAAGTTGTAAGTAGCAGCAGAGAGCTGAGGGTATAAGGAAGGAACTATTGTGGACTGAGGAGGGAAGATAGCATCTACAAGTAGTAGCTAATTCAAGCTGTCATTAAGTAGTTTAAGTTTATAGTGGGCCAAAGTAACACTTTCCATGGGTACTGCATTTAATCCAGAAGAAAAAAAAAAAGCAAAGGGGAACAAGTGGTGCTCTCTTTGTTTTTTAATAAGATTTCATTTTTATAAAAGTAACATATGGTAACACACCATATCACAGAATAGCTTAGAAAAGAAAGTAATAACTTGGATATGATCCTACTCCACAAAGCTGACCAGTGTTTCTCTCTTGACAGTTTTAGTACCTTTGTTCTGTAGGTTACCTTGTAATTATGAGAGGAAAATAATGCTTAAAGTCCTCCTTTTTGAGATGTCAACTGGCATGAAATAGGAAGATTTAGCTTATACTATTCCTCATCCCAGTGTTTGCTATTTTATTGTTGATTTTCATTCTTTCCTGATCCATCAACTTTCAGCATCATCTCTTAATGAGGATATTAATACATCTGATTGGAAATACTTATTCATCATATCTTCGGTCGGCTACACTTGTAATTTTTATATGTCATGGTTGTTAGTTAATACAGGTTGAGTATCCCTTTATCCAAACTGCTGGGGTCCAGAAGCGTTTCAGGTTTCAGATTTTTTAATATTTGCATTATACTTACTGGTTGATCATCCCAAATCTGAGAATCCCAAATCTGAAATACTCCAATGAGCATTTCCTTTGAGCACCATGTTCCAGAGCTCAACATTTTGTAGCATTTTGGATTTCAGATTTGAGGATTAGGGATACTCAACCTGTATTTACAGTCAGGCTGTAACCAGAAGCAAATCCTCCATGTATGTTCATAGGTTGTTCCTAAAAAATTGAAAGCCCAATATATGACATTTACATTATTATGACTCTGTAAACGTTCCCTGTCAGGCCACCGTGATACATGCTAAGAATATATTTCTTTTTCTATGGGTCTAATGAAAACAGTTAATGGTGAACTATTTAGAAAGCAAGCTTTCATTTACTTTTCAGGGCTAGCATCTGTGAGCCATTGCATAAGAATCTCTGAGCCATGGAAAAAGAATGTTACTACAGCAAAGCCAAATTGATCCTTTATTATATTCCATCAGTTGCTCAAAAATCATGCCACATCTTAGTTTGCCTTATATTTGCATTATAGCTTTTTAATACAGGTCCCCCCACCCCTGGCATTTATAATTGCCTTTCTTTTTTTTTCTACAGTATTTGGTTTTACGTCACCACTTACTTCCTAACTCTGTATTTACACCTTTCACCTGAAACCTTTTTCCTAGCGCCTACCGGTCTTTCCTCTCCAATCTGAACTAGATTCTGTAAGCCCGCGGTGACATCCTAGAATTTCCTTTCACTGCTCAAGCTTTTATTCTCTCATTTTTCCAAATACACCCCCAAGTTAGTGCCTAAAAGAAGCAGTGTTAGAGTTCCTGCATATCTGAAAATTTTTTTCTGCTTCCATTATGTTGGAAAATTTGAGTAACAATTCTCGGATGAAAGTCATTGCTTCAGCCAGACACGGTGGCTCATACCTGTAATTCCCAGCACTTTGGGAGGTGGAGGTGGGTGGATTGCTTGAGCCCAGGAATTGGAGACCAGCCTGGGCAACATGGTGAGGCTTTGTGTCTACAATCAATACAGAAAATTAGCCAGGCATAGTGGTGCGCACCTGTGGTCCCAGCTACTTGGGAAACTGAAGTATGAGGATCACCTGAGCCCAGGAGGTCGTGGCTACAGCGAGCCATGATTGCACCACTGCACTCCAGCCTGGGCAACAGAGCTGAGATGCTGTTTCAAAAAAAAAAGTAATTGCATTCTTGTCTTCTAGTATTCCATGTTACTACTAAGAAGTCAGATGCCACTGATTATCATTTTTATGAGTAATATACCTGGATTTTTTTCACTTTTAGAACTCATTAGGGTTTTGTTGTTGTTGTCCCCCCCAACCCCCCGAGACAGAGTCTTGCTGTGTCACTCAGGCTGGAGTGCAGTGGTGTGATCTTGGCTCACTGCAACCTCCGCCTCTCGGGTTTAAGCGATTCTCCTGCCTGAGCCTCCCAAGTAGCTGGGATTACAGGCACCTGCCACCACATCGGGCTAACTTTTGTATTTTTAGTAGAGGCGGGGTTTCACCATATTGGCCAGGCTGATCTCGAACTCCTGACCTTGTGATCCACCCGCCTCAGCCACCCAAAGTGCTGGGATTACAGGCGTGAGCCACTGTGCCCAGCCAGGGTTGTGTTTTTATAAGCTTAGTGTTCTAAAATTTGTAGTGAAGTGTGTATTAGGCATCCCTTTTTTCCATTCAAGATGCGAATACTTGCTAGGTCCCTTAGATCTGAAGACTGATGCCCTTCTTCAGCGCTGGAACTCTTTTATTTTCCCCTATCAACTTTGTGGGGGTTTTTTTGTTTTGTTTTGTTTTTCTGGGATGCTTATAATTTAGATGTTGGAAGTGCTATTTTGATAATCTTTCTCTAATTCTTTTCTCAGAGTCTTCATTTCCTGTTTTCTGGATGATTCTGTTGACTTTGTCTTCTGACCCTTTTATTTCAACAATCATACTTTGAGCTCACTTTTGTTCTCTGAAGATTTTTTTTCGTAATGTTCTTTCCTTATTTATGTATATAATAATTCCATGGTAATGTCTTCTAAGCATATTCATTAGCGGTTAGATTTGTCATTGTGCTCTTCTGTTTTCTGAATTACCAGTAATTACCTTGAGACCGGGTTTTCTGTTTATCTTGGTCTTCTTCATGCTCTAATTCTCCTCATTTACCTGGCAAAGCTTGGTTTTCTGTTGACTTTTAAGAAAGAGGCTGTGGATGAGTGGGGAAGATAGGACTGTTTTGGTTTTTGAGAGTCTCACTCTATTCACCTAGTCTGGAGTGCAGTGGCGTGATCACCGCTCACTGCAGCCTTGACCTCCTGGGCTCAAACGATCCTCCTACCTCAGCCTCCTGAGTAGCTGGAACCACAGTCCTGCACCAGCACACCCGGTTAATTTTTCATTTTTTTTTTTTTTTTTTTTAAGAGACGGAGTCTCGCTTGTTGTCCAGGTTGGTCTTGAACTTTTGCTCTCAAGTGATCCTCCTACCTCTGCCACCCAAAGTGCTAGAATTACAGGTGTGAGCCACCGCACCCAGCCTAGGACTGTTTTCTACTATATCTCTTTGTTATGTGAGAATTTTTACTGGGGGCTGTGTGTGGGAAGCAGTGAGTATAGGTATTAACTGGCAGAATTAGTGGTAAGGAGGTTGAGAACCTGCTGTTAGGCTTTCAAATTCAGGAGGAGAATTCGACTATAAGGGACCATAGAAACAGCTTTGCCTAGACAGATCATCCAGTTGCTTTGAAGAAGAGCTGTCTAGATTTTTGCCAGGTAAACGTGGGCTGGCTGCCATAAAGTTATTATGAAGGAAGTGAGATAATTTATCTAAAGCACCTCACCTAGCATGATGCCTAGTAAATGCTCAGTAGATAATAGAGATGTAGACAGATGGTACCTGACAATCTTGAATGAAATGAGACTGAAGAGAAACTTGAGGGAGTGTAGAGGAAAGTGAGAAAGAACTTAGAGATGGAATCAGAAGCTGATAATAAGCACCTGAGGCCAGTCAGATTGGAGAATGCAGACATGGAAAGGAGGTAGAAGTCAGTGGAGATAGGGAAGGAGGGAGAGCCATAGCAGCCCTTGTTTGAACAGGTGAGCGCTGTGAATGACAGGAAGCTCAGAAAGCCCCTTTGTCCTTTCTTAAGAAAATTGAGAATTATAATTGGGAAAATCAGACTTCCTTTTTTGTTGTATTGCTTTTTTCTAGCCTGGCCCCACCCCGCTTTTTGAGATAGGGTCTCACTCTGTTGCCCAGGCTGGATACAGCAGTACCATCACAGCTCACTATAACTTTGACCTGTTGGGCTTGAGTGATTCTCCCACCTCAGCCTCCCGAGTAGCTTAGGACTACAAGCGTGTAGTTGTCTCACTGCAATCCCTGCCTCTTGGGTTCAAGCAATTCTTCTGCCTCAGCCTCTGGAGTAGCTGGAACTACAGGTGCATGCCACCGTCCCCGGCTAATTTTTGTATTTTTAGTAGAGACAGGGTTTTTTCACCATGTTGGCCAGGCTGGTCTCCAACTCCTGACCTCAGGTGATCCACCAGCCTTGGTCTCCCAAAGTTGTGGGATTACAGGCATGAGCCACAGTGCCTGGCCAGAAGTTTAACTTCTAAATGAATGTTGTAAGAAAATGAAAACAGTATTGCCCATCTTTTTTTTTTTTTTGAGACAGAGTCTCGCTCTGTTGCCCAGGCTGGAGTGCAGTGGCACGATCTTGGCTCACTGCAACCTCTGCCTCCCAGGTTCAGGTGATTCTCCTGCCTCAGCCTCCCAAGTAGCTGGGATTACAGGTGTGTGCCACAATGCCTGGCTAATTTTTTTTTATTTTTAGTAGAGACAGGCGTTTCACTGTGTTAGCCAGGATGGTCTCGATCTCCTGACATCGTGATCCGCCTGCCTTGGCCTCCCAAAGTGCTAGGATTACAGGCATGAGCCACCGAGCCCGGCCTATCTTAAACACAGTTAAAGTAAGTCCTCACTTAACATTGTTAATTGGTTCTTGGAAACTTTGTCTTCAATACATATATATATGTGGTTTTTGTTTTTTGTTTTTTGTTTTTGTTTTTGTTTTGGTAGAGATGGGGTTGCTCAGGCTAGTTCAAACTCCTGGTCTAGGCCTTGGAAGTTAAATATTTCCGTATGTATTGGTGGAAAGTAATTCTTAACAGAGATTTCACAAGCTTGCCTTTTAAAAACATAAATATTCCTATTTCCTGAGGTCTCTAAGCTTTTATACTAACAACTGAGAACTCTTCTTTCTAGGGCACATCACAATTTAGGGGCCACAGAGGGTTAATAGTTTCTTGCGATTAAAATCTGGGTAAGAAAGACTGGCTGTTGCATCCAAACCAACAACATGAGAAGATACTTTAGCCAATAAATTCACTGGTTTATGATTAAAAATCAGACAGTTTAACCTTGGAGGCATTTTTGTCATGGGGGACTTAATATTGTGATTAGTTATCTGAACAGCCAAGTGCCTCTGTGGGTTCAGTTAACCAGCCTCCCACTATATATGTATAATTATTTCTAGTGCATACACATACTCTGCCATAAAAGCTTATTTGGCCTTATGCACCCCGTCATTCTGAATTCTCTGTTTCATTACCAGTATCCACCCACAGAGTTTCAGAAAGCCATTCCCAAATAGCAGAACCACAACTCAGAATTTTAAATAAACTACACCTCCATTAGCTCAATAGGACAGGGGAATTAGTTACATGCTATGCATTTCCCACACCCATCCACCCTTTCAAAACTTACTAAAAATGTATACATATATAAGCAAGAAAATAGGGCATTTAACTCAGATTGTGTTAATTTTTCTGTTACTTTAGCAAGGAGTAAAGAAAAAGACTATAGCAGACAATCTTTAAAATTTTTACCTTGAATATGGGTCCCAAGGTATATATGTATTTACTTGAAAAATGTACTGGGTGCTGCTGCTTTTTTTCTAGAGGAAGTCAAACAACTCTCTTCAAAGATAGTGTTATTACATTACAGCTTGAATTATATGTCCAAATATGCAGATGGCTTTTAAAAGAAAGCTGTATGCAGGGAGAGAACTCATGTAGTACCATTTTGAATGAGAGGTGTTAGCTGTAGCAGAATTTGTTTTCCAGCTTGGCATTAACTGATAGTTCCTGTAACTGACAAGATTCAGCTCCACTTTTTCCTTGGCATCCTGTTGATAAACCTATTTCTTTTTTTCTTTTTTTTTTTAAGACGGAGTCTCACTCTGTCGCCAGTCACCAGGCTGGAGTGTAGTGGCATGACCTCGGCTCACTGCAACCTCCGCCTCCCAGGTTCAAGTGATGCTTCTGCCTCAGCCTCCCAAGTAGCTGGGACTACAAGCACACACCACCACGCCAAGCTCGTTTTTGTATTTTTAGTAGAGATGGAGTTTCACCATGTTGGCCAGGATGGTCTCGATCTCTTGACCTCGTGATCCGCCTGCCTCGACCTCCCAAAGTTTTGGGATTACAGGCGTGAGCCACCACGCCCAGCTGATAAACCTATTTCTAGAAGATTAAAATCATATCTTAAGGTCTTGGTCATCATCCTTCCTAGAATAGCCATTGCAGTAATTAATGCAATGAAAAATAGGTTCTTATTGGTGTTGGAGGAAGTAAGGACCAAGAGATGACAAGTGAAAGTCTGTGAGTAATCACTGAAGTGTACCTACAGGTAAGTTTTGACTTCACTGCAAACCCGGAGAAGCATGAGTTCTGACCCTACTGTTGATTACCAGCTACAAACATGTTGTCATGTACTTTCCCATCAGACCTAAGCAGTGTCAGCATTTCTGAGAAAGAATTCAGTAGGCACTCCAGCCACTTATCTCTAAGGATAGCTGCTCTGGAATATAGTTATGGATTTTTCTTTTTTTAACATAATTTCAGACTTCAGAAGTTATAAGAATGTTTCCTAAAATTCTTAGGTACCCCCCTACCCAGCTTTTCCTAATGTTAACATTTTATCACATTGGCCTTATCTCTCGCCCTCTTTGTGTCTGTCTGTATACATGTATGCATGTGTATTATATCCATATCCCTGACCATTTGAGTAAATCGCAGACATGACACCCTTTTATACCAAAACTTCAGTGTGTAATTCTTAAAATCGGAATTATTTTACACAGCTACAGTACAATTGTCAAAATTGCGAACTTAACACTGATATAACATATAGTTGAGTTTTAGTATGGTGGATCACAATGTGGACATCTTGATAAATCTTTTAGTGAAGATGGTTGAATTGAGGTTACAATGTTAGATAGTTGCTCCTCTCATGTTTCAAATACATACTAAAGACAATTTTCATAATAATGATTTTATGCAGAATTCCTTGCTTCCGATTTTTCAGCAGCTCATTTTGCAAATGGAGTTCTCTTTTTTTATATATAAACCATTTTCTTAAAGCAGCTTTCTTCAGCTCTCTTAAACGTTGTACACACTTAGTAGTGCCTACATCAACACTGACACAACCCTGTATAAGGAACACCTAATATACTCATTCAGGGAGAAGAAAAGGTGTAAGGCTTTCTCTGGGCACTCTGTGTCATAATATACCAGAAGAAATCTAACTTTTGGTTCATTTAGCATCACATCACATGAGGTGCAGAAGTTATTTATTTATAAGCTTAAGGATTTGTCTTGAGAGCAGTGAGTCAAAAGACTAAATTTCGAGGCGGGCAGATCACTTGAGGTCAGGAGTTCAAGACCAGCCTGGCCAACATGGTGAAACCCCATCTCTACTAAAAATACAAAAATTACCCGGGCATGGTGGTGGGCACCTGTAATCCCAGCCACTTGGGAGGCTGAGGCAGGAAAATTGTTTGAACCTGGGAGGTGGAGGTTGCGGTGAGCGGAGATCGTGCCACTGTACTCCAGCCTGGCAACAGAGCGAGACTCCCTCTCAAAAAAAAAAAAAAAAAAAAAAAAAAGACTAAATTTTGGGTGGAAGAAACTAAATGATAGGTAGGGAGAGGAACTGAATTAAGCTGATGCTAAACTGGAAACAAAAATAGTTTAAAAACAAATCAGCTATTTAATTTTAGCATCTACTCAGTTATGCATTCAAGCTGATTTTTTTAAACAGCAAAATATAAACGTTCAAACATTTCCCCCTTACATTAAACCTGGAGCATATCCCACAGGATGACAGTCTCTCACTGCTAGATTACCATCATTAGCAACTTGTCCTGTTACAGAAATCATCTTCCTCCTTTCTTCTTTCTTCTTCCTCCTCCTCTTCTTCCTCCTCTTTCTTCTCTTTCTCCTCCTCCTCCTTCATCTTCTTCTTCTTCATCTTCATCTTATTGTTGAGTACCAGTAGAGTACTGAACATAGCTGATTCTGCTCCCACCCTGAAAGCTTGCATTATAAGTCAGACAGGCAAAACATTTGGAAGATGAGAAACACTCACGAGTAGGGTACTTAGGCATCATAGGGGTGGGATAATTTACATGGGAATATCTGACTTTTTGTCTGTATGTGTGTTTTTGATAAAAATTCAGAAAATTTACTTGAATTAGTGTCTCATTCATCTTTACCCATTTCCCCACCTCACCCCTACACTCAGTGTTTCTCCATAAAGGAAATCTATTTTCAGTCTTTTTGGCAAAGGACTCAGGGCCAGATTAGGTTAACCCCTGGGCAAGTCATCTATACTTAGAGACCAAGGTGTTGGGGTACAGCATTATTCGAAGACTTCTAGCTTGTCTCTTCCCTCCAGACCTGTCCAAATATAAGTCAACAGTAGGAGGAAGTGCCCACAGTTGCAGGTACTATCCAGCTGCCCAAAAGTTGTATAATTTTATAAGGCTGAATTTAAATGCCTCTAGGCTTCACGTAACTACAGAGTAGGCAGGAGACTTACTCTGTATTTCTAGAAAGTTTAACTTTTTTGTTTGTTTTTTTGAGGCAGAGTCTTGCTCTGTCCCCCAGGCTGGAATGCAGTGGCGCGATCTCGGCTCACTGCAACCTCCGCCTCCTGGGTTCAAGCAATTCTCCTGCCTCAGCCTCTGGAGTAGCTGGGACTACAGGCGCGTGCCACCATGTCCAACTAATTTTTGTATTTTTAGTAGAGATGGGGTTTCACCATGTTGGCCAGGCTGGTCTTGAACTCCTGACCTCAGGTGATCCACCTGCTGCGGCTTCCCAAAGTGCTGGGATTATAGGCGTGAGCCACCGCGCCTGGCTGGAAGTTTAACTTCTAAATGAATGTTCTAAGAAAATGAAAACAGCATTGCCCATCTTAAACACAGTTACAGTAAGTCCTCACTTAATGTTGTTGATTGATTCTTTCAAACTGCGACTTTAAGGGGAACGACAACAGGTCCTCAGATAACATCATTTGGTTATGACGTTATGAGAAAAAAAGTTGGCTTTGTTATATGTTGTTTTCCTTAAAGTCACAGTTTCTAAGAGCCTGTCAGCAACATTGAGGACTTAACCGTATATGAAAATAAATCTGGGTGTGTGTGTGTGTATGTATATATATATATATATATACACACAATATATATATACACACACACATATATATACACACACACGTATATACACACACATATATATACACGTGTATATATATACACACATATATACACGTGTATATATATACACACATATATACACGTGTATATATATACACGTGTATATATACACATATATATACACACACACATACATACATACACACTTCACGGACTTCTCAAGTTTCTCTCTTTTGGCAGATGAAAAATCTTGGCTGATTTTGCTCTTCTGATAAATACTGCAAAAGATAGTAGAACTGAAGTTCTATCTAGTCTTAACACTGTACGAACACTGTACAAATCTTTGAATTCTTATGGTTATAGACTGACTTGGGGCCAAGGAACAGATTAAAATTAGGGGACTTGGGCATGTGGACTTTGAGAAGTAGATTTTTCTGTTAGGTTTTTCAGTTTTGCTTTTCTGTCTGTTTTGTCTTAACTTAGAGTACTACCTTATTCGGTACTCCACTGATGCTATAAATGTAGTATTTTTAAACATCAATGCATTGTAATGTTGTTGAACTCCAAAATGCCCAAGCATGTTATAAAAAGGAAAGGTTATCTATTGAGGTTCATTTGTCATTTACAATGAGAACTGAAAACTTTATGAGAAAAAAGTAATATAGTTGGGCAGGCAGGAGAGGTCTTGCTGATATGGAGAAGCTAAAACAAGGAAATGGTGCTAGGCTAAGTATCAGCCACAAAGGATGACTGCTGTATTGCTAGCCTGACAGGTTCCACTGACCAGACACCTCTTTGAGGAATTTAGCTCCTGGCAATGCCCTTTCAGTAATTAGTGCAGTGGAAATGGCACTTAACAAACAGGGATGGTGGCTGCAGTTTTTCAATGAACCCATCCTCATCTGTGCCTTTTTGGTAAAGAGACCTCGCGTATGAGCTGTAGGACACTCTCGGGGTGGTTGAGAAGAGGAAGCTTTGACTTCTGCCTGTGAGACCCATATAAAGCTGAGAAGACATGTTTTGCCTTATCTGATAATTAAAAGCAATAAAATTTCAAATGAAAATACCTAGGTTTTCTTGTGCTAATGGGGAGAAGTTTTTTTTGTATCCTACAAGTAATCAGTAAAGAAACTTTTGTGGATGAAGTCTTTAAAAATAACATGCAAGTATCTAAATCCAAGATTAAGCCTAAGATATGACTGGTGGAATGATGTTGTACATCAGAAAAGAAGATAATGAATAAATTAAGTACTATATGACTACAGTCCACAGAAATCCAGAGAGTTAGCAGGAGTGGAAAGAAAATCATGTGAGAAGTCTTATAAATCATATTCTAAGAGCAGAGAACAAGTAGATTTATTCAGCAGAGATATATCCTAGATAAATTAATAATCATATTTGGACAAGATAATTTTATGAAATAGAGGAGCTTGTTTTCATTCCTATATTTGCCCCAGGATCTGTCCCCTGCCCTCATCCCAGAGACAGCTGGGTCTTTGTATACGCAGAAAGTAGCAGAAAGTTGTCTTCGTAATAAGGTACTCTTATGGGAAAGCAGAAGTAGCATCTTTAAGTGTAGCAACTGTTGGAGACAGGATATATAGTAGTTAAGAGCAAGGACTCTAGGCCAGGCTACTCTTCACTTATTTGTTGTGTGACTGTGGGCAGTTCACTTAACCAATGCCTCAGTTTCCTCATGTGTGAAATGCAGGTAGTAGCTACCTCATAGCCTTGTTGTAACACCAAAATGAGTTAATATATGTAAGAGCATTTAGAAGGTGCTGATAAAGAATATGTGCTTTGTGTTAGTGTTCATTATTGCAATTATTAGGAAGCTTAACTTTAAGGAATCTCTTTTGTCATATCCACCTTCCATGATAAGTGGCCTTAAAAATAGGCTTGTACAAGTCCAGGCATGGTGGGTCATGCCTGTAATCCCAGCTACTCCAGAAGCTGAGGGGAGGATCGCTTGAGCCCAGGAGTTTGAGGCTGCCGTGACCTGTGATCATGCCACTGCACTCCAGCTCGGGTAACAGAGCAAGACCCAGTCTATTAAAAAAAATTTTTTTAATGAGTTTGGACACATGGGTTGTGTACACACTGTATGGTTCCATGTATATGTTCACATATGTGACATTCTTGAAATGACAAAATTCTGGAAATGAAGAAGAAATTAGTTTGTCCCAGGTTGCCAGGGATCAGTGGGGAACAGAGGGAAGTGGACATGGCTATAAAAGGGCAATAAGAAGAATCCTTGTGGCGATGGGAATGTTGTATGTCTTGATGGTATCCATATCAGTATCTTGGTTGTGATGTTGTACTAGAGTTCTGTGAGATGTTACCCTTGGGGAAAACTGGATGAAGGGGGCATGGGATCTCTCTGTATTATTTCTTGTAACTACATGGGAACCTACAGTTACCTCAAAATAAAACATTTAATAATAAAAAGAAAATGGGCTCGGAACATTCCTAATAGAGAAAAATTGGCAGTGAAAGCCATGTGTATATCTGAACAGACAGACCAATATTAGGTAAATAAGGCAAATAAATATCACAGAAGGAAAACTGAGCTGACCATTGACATTTTAGTGAGATGTTCATGGGCCCCCAAGAAAAAAATTGAGCCCCGTGGGTTCAGAGGGAGGGAGAAGACAGACAACAGCTTCATTTCCCTGAAAACTCATCAAACTGGCATTCTCCAAGGGCCTTTGCTTCCCAGACTGTGAAATGTTCTATTTAGTGGATGGTTTTTGGTAAAGAGAAGAAGGTAGATGAGTAGCAACTTACATACAAATGACATTCTTTTTTTTTTTTTGGAGACAGAATTTTGCTCTCACTGCCCAGTCTGGAGTGCAATGGTGCAATCTCGGGCTCACTGCAACTTCCACCTCCCAGGTTCAAGCGATTCTCCTGCCTCAGCCTCCCAAGTAGCTGGGATTATAGGCATGCACCACCACGCCCGGTTAACTTTGTATTTTTAGTAGAGATAGGGTCTCCATGTTGGCCAGGCTGGTCTCAAACTCCCAATCTCAGGTGATCTGCCCACCTCGGCCTCCCAAAGTGCCGGGATTACAGGTGTGAGCCACCACTCCCGGCCTACAAATGACATTCTTAACGGCAGGCCTATGAGAAAAGAATGTGGGGATGACAGGTATGAGCTAAAAATCATCTGTCTACATGCCTGGAAATATAGTAATTAAATCCAGGAGATACCTTGTCTGACTTTTCTCTCATCTACTTCTTAAGCACCCCATCCCCCAGAGTTTATCACTTTTACTTTGTGTGTTCATAACACTCCCCTCATACCACTTAGTATGGCGCTAGTTGTTTGTGTGTGTGTGTGTGTGTATATGTGTATGTGTATATCTTTCCTTCTGGATTGGGGCCACCTTGAGGGGACAGCTCACTACTGTACTTAGTTTTGATTTGTTACTTCAAAGCCCAATGTCTGTTGCACAGTAGGCACTTATGAAATAATGAATGAGATATTGGCTGTTGTCATGGCCCTGGACAGAGTAGACATTAATCGAGAAGCCTATATAAATTAAACAGATCAAATAAACTGGGAATATTATTGCACTAAATGAAATTGTGGTTATTTTTACAAATGAACATTCCTGGGCTTTTCTTTATGTTTTTTAGTCTGGTGAATTTTTTCCTTAGGTTTAAAATAAGAATTTTAGAGAATTGAGTAATGCAGCTATGAAGAGATGTCTTACAGCAACTACTAACAGCAGTGTGGTGTCAGTCAGGAGGTAAAGGGCAATCAGAAAAAGACAAGGAGACCATTGGAAAGGAGATAATTGGAAGAATGACTTGTGTGGCCTGCTGGGTTCAATTTCAGTCACAGAGAATGCCATCAGACTAAAACAAATCATGATTGAAAGCACTAGTAGCAAGCTTATCTCTTAATGTTTGTGTAAGCATCTCCTCCTTGCCAAGACACACATGAGCCATATTCTGATGTCCAGTATGTGGAAGAGGTGAAGTGGAGGCACCTAAAGGAACAGCATTCTTCTCCCCAACTGCAAGGTGCAGTAGAAACTGGGTTGATTACACAGTACCTTCCCTTCACCTTCTTTACTTACGCCAGTCCTCCAGCCATGCCATGTGGGCTTGTCAGGTGCCTGCTGGAAGTTTTACATTTCTGGTTCTGAATGTGTAACACAGAAAGTATACAATTAAATATTCCCTTCCTGCCAGGCACAGTGGCTCACACCTGTAATCCCAGCACTTGGGGAGGCCGAGGTGGGCGGATTACCTCAGGCCAGGAGTTTGAGACCAGCCTGGGCAACATGGCAAAACTCTGTCTCTACTAAAAATACAAAAAATTAGCCAGGCGTGGTAGCTCACACCTGTAGTCCCAGCTACTCGAGAGGCTGAGGCAGGAAGATCACTTGAGCCCAGGAGGTTAAGGCTGCAGTGAGCCATGATTGTGCCACTGCACTCTAGCCTGAATGAATAAATAACCACCTGCTTAAAAGTTACAGGATACCATTGATTGCTTGATTGATTGATGAAGGAAAGAATAAATCCAGGTGGTGGTACATTCCACAGGAAAATTAAGAAGGACTGTTAAAAAAAAAAAAAGCTCACGTTATTTGAATGAATGAACAAATAGTTTGAGGGACATACTGTTCTAAATTAAAAGAGATTTAGACATAAGAGCCAAATGTAACACATGAAACTTGATTGGACATGCCTTTAAGAACAATGAGGGTAATTTCACTATAGACTGAATATTAAATATTGTGTGACATTGGGGCATTCTTAATATTCTTAGGTATGATATTTTGGTCATGTAAGGAAATGCCCTTATTATTAGATATCTGTGTATTCCAGGATGAAGTATTTTGATGTATGTAGCTTATTTTCAGATGGTTCTGGGAGAAAAAAAGTATAAATATGGAGGGGCGAGTGTATTAGGATTCTTCAGAGGGACAGAACCAATAGGATATATATATTTATAAAAAGGAGTTTATTAGGGAGAATTGGCTCACATGATTCCAAGGTGAAGTTCCATGATAAGCCTTCCGTAAGCTGGGGAATAGAGAAGCCAATAGTGGCTCAGTCCAAGTCCAAAAGCCCCCAAACAAAGGAAGCTGACAGTACACGCTTTAGCCTGCAGCCGAGCTCGAGTCCCTGGGAAGCCACTGGTGCACCTCCAGAGTCTAAAGGCCGAAGAATCTGGAGTCTGATGTCCAAGGGCAGGAGGAGCAGAAGCAAGCATCTGGCGCAGAAAGAAGAAAGTGGACCAGAAGACCAGCAAACAGACTTATCCCACCTTCTTCCTCCTGCTGTGTTCTGGCCATCCTGGCATCTGATTGGATGGTGCCTACCCACATTGAGGGTGGATCTTCCTCTCCCATTCCACCAACTTAAACGACAGTTTCCTCTGGCAGACACACCCAGACACATGCAGAAACAATACTTTATCAGCCATCTAGGCATCCCTTAGTCCAATCAAGTTGATACTTAGTATTAACCATTATAGTCGAGTTAAAGGAATGTGATAAAACATTAATTGTTGAATCTGAATGGAGTGTACACAGGCGCTTAGTGTATTATTCATTAACCTTTTCTATATGTTTGAAATTTTTAAATTTATTGAAATTTTTAAAATAAAAAGTTGGGTAAAGACTAAATGCATTTTTCCTATGGTTGGCAACAAACCAAGGGTGTCCTCTCTCAACACTCGTATTCAGCATCATACCAGAAGGACTAGCCAGCACAGGCAAACAAAAAAAAATGGAAGGCATACAGATTAGAAAGAAGAGTTAGAGGGAAAACCTTGCCCTCTAAAACTGTTGGACTTGCTGCCATGACTTTTTTTTTTTTTTTTTTTCTTGAGACAGAGTCTTGCTCTGTCGCCGAGGCTGGAGTGCAATGGCGCGATCTTGGCTCACTGCAACCTCCACCTCCTGCGTTCAAGCGATTCTCTTGCCTCAACCTCCTGAGTAGCCAGAACTACAGGTGTGCGCCACTACCAGCTGATTTTTGTATTTTTAGTAGAGACAGAGTTTCACCATGTTGGTTGGCCAGGATGGTCTCAATCCCTTGACTTCGTGATCTGCCCGCCTCAGCGTCCCAAAGTGCTGGGATTACAGGCGTGAGTCACTGCGCCCAGCCTGCCATGACTTTCATTTAAGATTGTTCTATTTGATGGAGAGCTGTTCCCCCATGGCCCATTAGCTTCTCCTGCTTGATCTTTTGATGAGTTCATAGTCACTTGTTTCTGGTATCATGGTGTACCGCCAAAATCAGCTTCCAAGTTCCTGTGCACCAGAAATGGGAAGGGAAGATGGGCTGTGAGGAAGTGAAAAACCTAATCTCAGTCTTTAAAACATACCTTTGGGGTTTTGGGTACTCATCTCCTGAAGGGCATATGATAATTTTATTATGACTCCTGACTTCTGTGTGTTCTGCGGCTCTTTAAACTGTCTTCTAGTCAAAAATGTCTCCGCAGAAGCAGCTTCTGCGTTGCTATCCGGAGGACCAAAATCTGATTGGTAGATGATAAGAGTTGGCCCCAGGAAGATTTCTGATGCCGTATGTTTTTTGAGCATACTAAGGACAAAGACCTCAAAGCTCAGGTGCACTCCCAAGATGGTCAGCCTTCCTGATCAGCCATTCCAGATTTCCCAATCTTGTGTTCCCAGGAGGAGAGGGAGACTAATGCTTAGGAATTATACTGCCTGGCAGTTTGTGAACAACTGACTTTTTAAATGTTTATGATCTAGGACATGGCATCCTAGGAGTATTTCAAGCTAGATTCGTCTCCATATCAAATGAAGATGATGGCATTCTCCACAAAATTTTAATAATCAGCCTCTTGAACCTTGTTCTCTGTCCACACAATGGCTTTTCAACAGATGTGTTACTCCAAAATTATTTTAGGGTCATTGGGAACATTAAGAAAGGAAGGGAAAATTTCAGTCAAATGAGGTGGGAATTTTTTTTTAATGGGTAGCAAGGTGTTTTCTCAAAGTCTTTCATGGCACACAGAGTAAAATGTCAGGAGAAGATGAATCTAATCCCAGCATATACCCCGAAAGCAAAGCATGAGGAGAAACACAGAAAGTACCTGTAAAGCAGGTTTTTTTCAAGTCTCTTTTATCAGTTTTTCCAGTGAGAGTGTGGTATTTTTCGTGGACAAAGGTTTTACCAGCTAAAAGCTCCTTTTAAGTGGTCGAAGGAGAAACAGCAGTGATGTGTGAGGGTTCGTTAATTATTGCTCTTACTGATGTTTGCACAGGCTGTTGGGATCATAAATGTCAATCTGTCAAGAGACTGATAGGTTCTAAAAAAACTGATTGAGTACCTCAAGAGCTGTCATAGAGCCTGAGATTAAACAGATTCATCTTTCGTAGAAGTAAGGGACGGTGTGGGTGAAGGGAATAGCAGAAGGCTTTCTTCTCTTTGTTGCCGCATTGCTTCTCCCACTCTCCTATTCTGTATTGTGAGTGTTGGCTTGTACGGAGGCCTAAAAGCCTGTCTGCCTGAGATGTCAGGAAGCCACAGCCATGGTTAGTGCACGGGGTGTGTGCAGGCTGCCAGCTGCAGGGTGACAGGAGATTAAGAGAGATTGAGATTCAGCTTTGACAGGCATGACACAATTTATTTGGAAATTTTCAGGCGGGAACATGAGTAATAAAGACAAGAATGACAGTAAGGAACAAATGTGAATTTCTGCCAGAGACAAAACAGAATTTTAAAAGAAGTAGCTCTGTTTGTTGTCTCCAGTTAAGCTTTCCAGTTAAACTGTGTTCTTAAATTGAAAGTCTTAACACTACTTTCTGAGACTGGCTAGGAAAGTACAATTAGAAGAATTCCTCTCTTCAGAAGATTCCATGTCTTTAAAATTACTGTACAACCAGCCCACCATATCCATGGGTTCCACATCTGTGGATTCAACCAACCATAGACTGAAAATATTTGGGAAAAAATGGATGATTGTGTCGTACTGAACATGTAGTTTTTTTGTCATTATTCCCTAAATAATACAGTATAACAACTATTTACATAGTGTTTATATTGTATTAGGGATTATAAGTAATCTAGAGAAGATTAAAGTACAGTTGATGCTTGAACAACATGGGTTTCAACTGTGCAGGTCCACTATGCACAGATTTCCTTCTGCCTCTGCCATCCCAGAAACTGCAAGACCAGCCCCCCACTCCTCCTTCGTCTCCTCCTCAGCTAGTCAGCGTGAAGACAACAACGATGAAGACTTCGATGATCCACTTTCACTTAAGGAAGAGAAATTGTGTTTTCTCTTCCATATGGTTTTCTTAATTTTTTTTTCCTGTAGCTTACTTTATTGTAAAAATACAGTATGTAATACATAAAACATGCAAAATATGTGTTAATTGTCTGTGTGTTATCAGTGAGACTTCTGGTCAGCAGGAGGCTATTACTAGCTAAATTTTGAGGGAGTCAGAAGTTATATGAAAATTTTCAGCTGTAACAGGGGTCAGCGCCCCAAACCCCATGTTGTTCAAGGGTCAGCTGTATACGGGAGGATGTATGTAGCTTATATGCAAATACTTTGCCATTTTATATAAGGGACTTGAGCATCTATGGAATTTGGTATCCTTGGGGGGTCCTGGAACCAATCTCCCTTGGATACCGAGAGACGGACTGTGCAGTACTTGTCTCTCTGTCGAAAATTAAGCGCAGTTACTTTCAAACCAAGAAAGCTAAATAGGCAAAATCCTTCTTCTTAAGATTTTCCTTCCTTATTTAATCACATTATGATTCTTGATCAGACTTTCCTTTGACTAGATCTGATGTGATATCTTTCTCATTCTATTAAACATTGGCAGAGAAAGCAGGGGTCTGGTGAGTACCAAGAGTTGTGAACGTGGAATGGGGGAGCGGCAGCTCTGTGTGGGTATATCTACTACACTAGATTATGTTCTCAAGTAAAAGCATACTGGAAAAAAAGAATCTGCTTTGTTGGCCCTTTATGAAGGACCTTAATTAGAAGTCACTGTTAACTCCTGGGGTGGGAATGGTTTCCAGCTTGGCACGGGAGTTCCTCCTGCTACTAATGAGCATGCTCCTTGCAAGGACTCGCTGCTTCTGACAGTTAAAGCTGCATTGTAAGAGTTATTTCTTGTCACCTCTCTCTCCACATTTAACTGTTACTGCCCAAGTTCAGAGTATGTAAGTAGACTGTTAGGTGTTTTCAGGAAATTGGCAATGCTTCACGGTAACAGGGAATGATATTTGTGAGTAAAAGTAAATCATTACAGGTTAATTTATTCAAATATGGGTAGTAGATGGTTGCTTTAATGTCAACCATGTTTGGATTTTTTTTTCCTGGTAGTCTTTTTCTAATTGACATAAAACTTACAAATGAATAGTTGAATTATTTAATTCATTATCATGTCGTTAGAACCCCTGCCCTGGACATCTGTTTCTCTTATTTAAGCAACTCGCCCTGTGGCACAAAGGTTTCATTAACTAATTAGCAGAGGAAATGTAAATTTCTTATGCAAGTGAGGATGATTCTATAGATTACTATTTATTTCATTAGCTTCTCATTAAAACACTAAGTTGACTTGTGAGAAAATGCCGGAGAATGGTTTGCTTCTCGAAGAAATTACACATACACAGTCACCTTCTTGGGCAATAGCTTGTGGAGGATAGTGAGCAGTTTTGGAAGCTTATTTACCCTCGCTCTTGGTGGCAGGGAGCATTAGAGAGCATCTAACAGATCTTCATCTAGGGAAGGGTAAGTGGGCATATTCCAGAGCTTCAAAGGTGTGGATCTCTTGCTATCTGGAATAGTTCTTTGATTCTAAAACATAACACATTCTGTTAGACATTTCTTCTGCCTTGCTTTAGAATCATCTAGCATTGCTTCCTGGGGCCCAGACTTCCTGTACATGGATGCCTTTGGTCATAGACTTGTACGGATGCTGGGACATTGATTGTCAGAGGATCGAGTAGGGCTTAATGGTGTTCTTTTAGGATGATCAGTATATCATACCAGAAGCTGTGGCAGCATCAGAAACCTCCTTTAGGATTCATTGTTCAAGAATATTCCATGCCTACTGCCTACCAGAACAAATAACTCAGTGGTCTTTATATTAATGTGGAATAGATCAAGGAAAATCTCAGCATGGGATCATGTAGACATTCCTTAGTGTTGCTATTGAATGCCCATTGGTCAGGTAAGATGGGGAATTAAGAGAAAAAGAGGTCAAGACTGCACAGGCCTCCTAACTTTGCAGGGCAGGGGTTGGGGGGTCCCATCAAAGTGGGTTGTTTGGTGATGACTAATGATTGTGATTATGTAAATATGAATTCTATTTCTCAGCCATAGGACTCATACATTTAAAAAATTTTTCTTCACATATCTAACTCCCTTACTTATTTGGACATAGTTACCTTATGGATAATATTGCCACACTGAAATTCTTTTTGTCTTTATTTTTTCCCCCGGCTTCATTGACACAGTGAAATTAAATTGTCTTCTCCTTGCAGGAAAGGTTTGTTTTAGAAATGGGTGCTTTGCAGATGAACAGCATGTTTGACGGTTTGGGATAGATTCATGTAGAAAGAGCTCTAAATGTGAACTCTGCATTTTCAGACACAGAGGTGTGAAAGAAAGGGGCTCAGGGTCTGAGCAGTTCTGTGTTAGAGTAGAGGTGTGCTGGCATTGTGCCAAGGCCCTCCAGATTTTAATCATAGTAATAATGAAAAGGCCTCAGCTGCCTCCCCATCTTGTGCTGACACCTGCCTCCCAGTGGGAGTAATTTCCTATAAGGATGCTTTGAATTTAGGACTTTGTCTCAGAAAAAAACATTTTTTGTTACAGTTTTTACCCTAGAATTTTCTTGTTACAAAAAAAAAATTCTAAATAGGGTTATTGATACAAATAGAGCCATTGCTGGTTTGTGTAAAAGGACCCCGCCCGCAGAGAGCAGTGTGGCTCATACAAGGTGAATTTCTTTCAGCTGACTGCTTTGTAATGATTTATATTTAAATTGTTGCTTGTTGCTCTTGTAGAAGAAGGGAGAGCGCCTGCCCTATCTGTAGCCACCTTACTCACCACACTGACTGGGCCTGGACAGCTTTGCTCAGCAGAGCTGGGAAATAGGCTGAACTTGCCTTCAATTGTTTTCATCAGAGTCCTTATTTAGTTGGTTTGTATTGGGGCAAAATGTCATGTAGGACTGGAAGAATTAAATGAGATGAAAAATGAAGTCTGTAGTTGCTAAGAATGGTGCAGGGCCTCCATATGCCAGTACAGCACAGCAGGGCTGGGGGACTATGAGCAAACTACCAGCATCACCATCGGGGTCCACTGGACAATCTTGGGTGAAGTGCAGCATCTTCCTCACACACAGGGAGGCTAGGAAAGGGCATACAGACAGCCTTCACTAAAATACATCCTATAGGCTGTGGCTTCTCACTAGAGCCACTTTAAGTAGAACATTAGGACTGCCTAGGAGACAAATTCATTCATTCAAAAAATATTTATTGAGCCATAGGCATGGAGGGAACATCAGTAAACAAAGCAGGTGAAATTTCCTGCCCTCTTGGAGTTTGCTTTCTTTTAGGGCATAATGTTAAAGATAAGTGCTGTGGAGGAATAAAAGGGAAACAGACGAGGGGAAGTGCTAAGAATAGGGATTCAGTGATCTAGAAGTGATGATCAGGGAAGAAGCCTTCAATGAAAATGTGACTTTGCAAAATAAAATTTAAAAGAAAATGTGACGTTGGAGCAAAGATATCAAAGGGAATGATGCAGGGCCTCCATATGCCAGTACAGTGCAGCAGGGCTGGGGGACTGTGAGCAAACTACCATCATCACCATCAGGGGCCTGGGTGATAAAAGAGATAAGATCCCATGTAGATCTGGGTGAAGAGTGTTTCAGACAGAGGGAATAGAAGGTACAAAGTACCACAGGTAGGAGACAATAAGGAGGCTAGTGTAGAGATAAGCAAAGGAAGGAAAGCAGCAGGAGCTGAGCGTGGGGCAAGTCATGCAGGGTATTTGAGAGTCTAAGTATCTGGACTTTCACTCTGACAAGGGGAGCTATTAGAGGGTTTTGAGCAGGGAAGTAACATGATCTAACTTGATTTTTAACAGAGTCACTTGTCTGCTATGTGGAGAATAGACTGTAGAAACAAGGGGATGAGCAGAGAGACCAGTGAAGAGGCTCTTGTAGTAGGCTTGATGAGTTGGTAATGGCTTAGACCAAGGTGGGGGTGACAGAGGGGTAAGAGGTGTGGCATCTGGATTATTTTGAGGAAGACTGTTTAGGAGACTCCCTTCTGGAAGTAATTTAGCACAAACAATTTGGAACTTGGTAAGAGGTACATCGTGGGTATGCAAGCAGCTGTTTCAGGAATACAGAGCCCCAAAGAGCTGCCCAGTTTATTGAAGGCAAGAGTCGTTTACAGCCTTGCCTGTGATAAGAGCTTTGTTGCGTCTTAATTACTTTTTTGAAGTTGTGCAAGACACAGTTTTCACAGAGTACACCCCCCTCCACCTACCATTTTGGCTCCACCTCAAGGTGGGGTGCCTGGTGCTGCTGCTGCTGCACCACCCCATGGTGGAGTTCATAGGGCAGCTTGCATGTGTACCAGCAGAGGTGCCCCTTCATTCTGAATCAAATTGAACTAATTGTCAGTATTAGAACCTGACTTCTGTGTCTTTAAGAGTAGAAACGTGAGTAATTTTACTATAAAAGATTACAGATCACTCATCAAACGCTGGCTTTGGGAATGGAATTGTGAAAGCATAGTGATACAGAGATACATTAGACATAGTCCCATCTCTAAAGAATTACGGTCTACTTGAGGACAAGCAAATGCCCAAGAAAAGATATCTAACCAATACAGGCAGTAAGCATCTAGGTCCCAGCAAGGGAATACAAAGACAGGACCCCATTTCTAGCTGGAATGGTCTCCTCATAGAATCTCAGCTCTTTTTAAAAACAACAACATAGAACTGGTTTTTGTTGAGCCACCCACACCCTCCTCTCCAGCTCAGGCCTAGCTTGTTAGAAGTCAGCACTAAAGGTACACGTTTGTCATAGTTTGTGCAGTATAAACCAAGCAAGTCAGAACTGGCTCTCACCTGTCTGATTCCTGGACAAGGGCAGTAGCCTGGTCAGGAGAATGCCTGGAAATACATTAATCAACTGTGCTTGCCAGGCCAGGCACTAATCCTGATCCCCAAATATGTTGTTTTGGTCAGATTCACAGTCTGAGAATGAGGCTTCACCAGTAAAACGGCCACGACTACTTGAGAATACGGAACGGTCCGAGGAAACCAGTCGATCTAAACAGAAGAGTCGACGTCGGTGCTTCCAGTGCCAAACCAAACTGGAGCTGGTGCAGCAGGAATTGGGATCGTGTCGCTGCGGTAAGCATCTCCCCCAGTGGCGTGATGGAGACTATATCCTTAACACCTTGGCCCAGCTTTGGAAATTTAAGTGGCTGAAGTCTTTCGTTCTTCTTCTGAGTACTGTAAGTTTGCTACAGTAGTGCATGCGATATAGGTTTGGGGCTTGAGAAATCAGGAGCATAGTATGTTTGCCTCTAAACACCCTTTATTCTCACACATGCAAAAAAGACAAAAACATCCCCATGTTCTTAATGCATATCTCCTTAGAGCTACATCTCACTGCTTAGTGCTTTCAACTTCCCCCCACCACTTACTACTCTGGTTTCTTCTCACGACTTCAGAAGTTTACCAAACAAGCAAAATTCTGGAGTATGTACCATAAAATTCAGATATTAAGTTAATTTTGAATGAGCTTCTTACTATTTATGATAAATGGAAGATTTTTTTTTCTCCATATCCCTGTTAAATTAAGCTTTGATTAGAAAATTACCTTTGAACCTTAGTTCATCTAGTCAGTTAATACCTTGAAATAGCCTTTTTTTTTTTTTTTTTTTTTTCCTGGGCTGAATCCATCCTCCTGCCTCTGCCTCACAAAGTGCTGGGATTACAGGCATGAGCCACCATATACCCAGTCTGAAATAGCTTTACAGTCACCTTTCCTTCTGTATTCTGTAGTGTAATACCTTTTAGAATTGCTGCACAGGGATGCCTACCCACAGTGGAATGAAACTTAAGTCAACCCTTTCTCTCTTCTTGACCACATGTATCATGACACATAGGAACGAAATTGTGTAGCAGCATTATTTTAGGCTGATTTACAGTTTCCTGTACTTGTTTTTATTTCCTGGTTTTAAAACCTAATATTATAAAATTGTTTGAGGACCAGTTCAGCTGTCATCAGGTTGACTTTGAGACCTGTCTGTAGCCTCTGAGAATCCTATTTCTTTCTTTCTGAGAAGTCAGCTTTAGAAGCCCCCTTTCACTTCTGGGACAGCCGAAGATATCCTACAAGTACTATTGCTGACAGTCAGGACTAAATAGTTCACTCAGCAGTTATAAAGTAATGGTCACTGGAAGTTTACTATCTTCTGAAGCGGCAGCCTTTGCTGCTACGGTTCCTCAATTATCTGCCCTATTGGAAATGGGAAGGAAGAGAGAGGTTATTAGCTTTTCATAGAAACTACGTTGGAACTCCTATTCCTGTTTTGACCAGATACCTGTTTGTTACACATTCTGGTGTATGCGGTACTCCACGAGATTAGAAGTGCATATTCAACTGCAGAAACCGGAACCAGCATGGGGAGTCTAAATGTTACCAGATAAGGTTTTTAGGGCATTTTGGTTATAGTGCTAAGCATTTTTGGGAAACCGTAAAGAGGGTTAGGATAGGTGGTGGGAATAGAGGCTGACAGCAGTTTTCAGATGTCCGTGTGTTCATGCACGCAGTATGGCCCAGGTAAGTTCAAAACCTTATTCTTAGGCTATTTCGATCAACCCTGCCAGGCAATTTTAAATTCTTGGTGATGTAGGGCAGGGACACTGTGGATGGCTGAGGAAACTCTGGGCTCTGCTGGCTAACCAGCTTCGCTCCACTCTGCAGAGGCTGTCTCATCTTTTGTGATCTGCAAATTCTTGCTTTGGTCTTCATGTGAACTCTCAGGGAATTTGAGCAGTTCAGTCTGTTACCAGTGTTGTGAGCCTACCTGGTCATTTTAGCTGTTGCTTTTGTAACGTAGGCTTTTGGTTGTTCCTCAGTTAGAATTGTGGGACTTTCCTGAACCTTCTGTTCTTGTTTCTTCCTTGAAAGTAACTGAATCCTGGGTATTACACAGGATTTGCCATAGCGGATCAAGCAATTGGTCTATCAAGTATGCTGTCTTGTCCCCGGCAGTGGCTAATGCTTCTTCTTCTTGTCAGGCAAACAGGAGATTTCACAATTTAGCACTGAGATCTAAAGATGTAACCAGGTCTCCTAGTTTACCCTTCAGCTTTGACGCAGACTACCTAATTTCCTAAGGTCTTAGCATCCACCTGAAAAAAAAGAAAAAAAAAAAAACAGTAATATATGTTAGATGACTTCACATTCACTCAAGTAAAGCCAACTTGTCTAATCTCTGGTAAATATAGATTACTCTGCCATGCTCTTAACCTTTGTGGGCAGGAGGCTGGATTGCTAAATGCATATTGGGTTTGCTTCAGTATGCATCCTTTTTAAATGTTCTAACATGTAGTCTCTTGGCTTGTGCCCAATTCCGAAAGTCTGCTTTTAGGGAGATTTGACTTTTTCTGTTGGAGAAGAAAGCCCTGAGCTTTCTGCAGTCTCAACAGGATGTAACTTTCCTAGAGTCAGCTGGGCATTCAGTTTGACCCACTGAGAGCATTACACTTATGTGCCCAGAAAAATGACTGAGTCGACTGTCACCCTTCAAAAGATGAAGGACAACAATGGGAACATGCCATAAAAAAGTCTGGGACTGTTTTTGACAAAGAGCTCTTGTGTTCCTCCTGCCTGCTTGGATCTCTCTAGGAAAGGGTGAGTTGTACTGTTATTTCCTTGAGGATGCATGGATGTTGGAGAGATGTTTAACTGCCCTGAAAGGTTTTAGAGGGGGGATAACACAGTAATTTACTACTGAAAGTGAAGACTCAGGAAGGTAGTTTGAGCTCAAACAGAACACTTCTTCCCTGCAGAAAATCTTTTTTTAAATATATATTCGCAATCTTTTCTTCCATTTGCCTTCCATTCTGTA
Source organism: Homo sapiens (assembly GCF_000001405.40). Lineage (NCBI taxonomy): Eukaryota > Metazoa > Chordata > Mammalia > Primates > Hominidae > Homo > Homo sapiens. Next base: position 38,119,472 of record NC_000006.12, read on the forward strand.
CAGGTTATTAACTGCTGACAAGAAATTCACATCTCATAAATAATGCTTAAGAGCCATTGCTATATAAATTGAATGTGTTATGAATTGTGATGGGCCTTTTTGTAGCATTCGATGCCTAGAGCAGGAAGAACAGAGGATGTCATTTTCATTAATTTCTAATGAGGTGCCAATTAAAGGCAGGGAAGACGCTCCAAAGGGAAGAGTGGCCAAGCTCCCCTGAATCCTCCGCCCCAGGGCTGTCGTCCAAACACTGCCAGTGAGGCCTTCTCTAAAAATTCCATTAAATTACAGTCTCATCGAGAGCACACACAGACACATTCAGCTTCCCTTTGATCTTCAAAAGAGCAATTTGTAAGGCGAGTTCTGAGCCTTCTTACATAGGGAACAGCTAGAGGTGATAGGAATTGTTAATTGCCAAGACACTTCATGGGCTTTCAGTAAGGAGGAATTTTGAATACGAATTCTCCTCTGCCTCCCTGTGACTAGATAACCTTTAAATCAACAATACCAAAGTAACACCCTTTTCCTGTGAAATCTTTCAGGGTGCCAATTAGAAAAGGCATGTGGTTGCGAGGCTGGGATTATATCCTGCATCTTAGAGCATCTTCAATAGTTTAACTTCTCAAGATAGAAAACAGTTGCCTGAAAATGGATCTATTTGTTTCATTTTCTACTCAGTAAGCAAATTGATCAGCTCATTGTCATTGCAGGAGTCTTGTCTCCTGAATTGACACCTAGAGGATGTTCTTCTGCAATCTGGCCATCTTCATCAAATCTGGGCCACGTCACAGCCACAAGAATGCCGTCTTCTCTGAGCAGATCTTGATTGATACACGTAGCTTGGCTTCCTTTTTTTTTTTTTTTTTTTTTTTTTTTTTTGTGGAGACGGAGTCGCCCAGGCTGGAGTGCAGTGGCACGATCTCAGCTCACTGCAACCTCTGCCTCCCAGGTTCAAGCAATTCTCCTGCCTCAGCCTCCCTAGTAGCTGGGACTACAGGTGCACACCTCCACGCCTGGCTAATTTTTTGTATTTTAGTACAGACAGGGATTCATCATGTTGCCCAGGCTGGTCTTGAACTCCTGAGCTCAGGCAGTCCACCTGCCTCGGCCTCCCAAAGTGTTAGGATTACAGGCATGATCCACCACGCCCGGCCTTCTTGGCTTCTTAATCACTGTGCAATGCTTGCTAGAACTGCAGAACTAATTTTTAAATACCAGTTGAAGAGTGTAAGTTTTAACATATTTTCAATTGATGGTGCATTAACAAACTTAAGTGGATATGCTCCCTTTGGGAACAGTAGTGCTTTTATTAACCTCCTGAGTAATCTGACATCCTTTATTGTTTTCAAAATAAGTTTTCTCTTCACTTTAGAAACCTGAAGTGATGTGTTAGCTGGGGCCTCTGGAGTAGTTGATCATCTCCAAGTGCCTCAGTGGTCATTGCTGCCTTATCATTCACTGTCAAACCAAATTCATCAAGCATTTACTGAAATCTGAATATGCAGAAAGCATTTTCTTAGGTTTTATGGGGAATATAGGAGCTAGAAATACAGAATCTAAGAGCTTACAGTCTAAATCTGTGGCTTCAAGCTTGAGTAGGGGCCTGGTGTGGTGGCTCATGCCTGTAATCCCAACACTTTAGGAGGCCAAGGTGGGGGAATCCCTTGAGGCCAGGAGTTCAAAACCAGCTTGTTGCCCGTCTCTATTTTTTGTAGAGATAGGCAACATAGTAAGACCCTGTCTCTATGAAAAATTATTGCCAGGCAAGATGGTGCAACCCTGTGGTCCCAGCTACTTGGGAGGCCAAGGTGGGAGGATGGCTTTCAGCCCAGGAGTTCGAGGCTACAGTGAGTCTTGGTCACACCACTGCACTGCAGCATGGGCAACAGAGAAAGACCATGTCTCTTAAAAACTAAAAAACAAACAACAAAAAACAAGAACCAAAACTTGAGGGAGCATCACAATTTACCTGGAGGGCATGTTAAAAACAGATTGTTGGGACCCACACCCAGAGGTTCTGATTTGGTAGAACAAGTTCCCATGGAATGTTTTCACAGCCTTTCTGTTTTTTTATGATATTGACATTTTTAAAGAATACAACCCTCTATCCCTCCCCTCACCTATTTTTTAGTAGAACACTCTTTATTTGGGGTTTTAATAGAACACTCCTTATTCTGATATTTCTTCATAATTAGATTCAGGCTACGAATTCTCACCCAGACTACTACATAAATAATCACGCATCCTTCTCAGGGTTTTATGGGAGGCACAGATGTCCATCAGCCCTCATTGTTGATGTTAATTTTGATATACCCACCTAGTCAGGGCATTCCCTGGTTTCTCCACTATGTAGTTACTATTTTTCCCCTTGCACCTATAAACCAATCTGTGGGAAAACACTTTAAGACCAAGTAAATGCTCTGCTCCTCGTGAAAAATTTTCCCTAGATTCATCATCCATTGATGATTCTTGCCTAAGCCAGTCTCTGCTAGGAGGGTTGCAAAATGATGATTTACTAACTCTAGCACTCCCTCAGCATTTACTATTTGGCACTCAGCATTCTTCTATAAGTGAAGCCACCTCCTCTCCCCCATTTATTTATCTGTTACTGGCATGGACTCATGGGCTCTTATCTTTTTTAATGGTTTATGATTTGTTATGGTACAGTTGTCCCCTGGTATCTGCGGGGAATCGGCTCCAGAGCCTCCCATGGATACCAAATTCAAGGATGCCTAAGTCCCTGATATAAAATGGTGTAGCATTGCACATAACCTACGTACATCCTCTCATATACTTTGTCATCTCTAGATTACCTAGAATACCTAATACAATGTAAATGCTATGTAAATTGTTACATGCTGTGTTGTTTAGGGAATAATGACAAAAAGAAAAAACCTGTGTCAGTGCAGACACAACCATCATAGGCCTAACTACATTTTTGATCTGTGGTCGTTGAGTGCGGAACCCATGGATATGGACAACCGACTGAACTTAATTATTTTGGTGCTCAAATTGTCCTGGATTTAGCCAGTGGAAGTTATTTTCTGCTGGCTCCTGTGCTCTTGTGGCATACTTCCCATCTTTCTTCAGTGGTGGGGGGAGGATTTGGGAGCATTCCCTTATTCTTTGGCGTAACAGCATGTGTCCCTAAATTTCCCCAATCCTGGAATCAGCCACTTCTCCAAGGACCCCCAAAGTGATTTTAATATGCACTCAAGTAGGTATTTGCTGGGCCCAAGAGGAAGGCAGACATACATAAAATAACTGGAACAGCCTACCATAAGCATTTATCAAGGTATAGGTATAAGGTATAAGCCTATGTTATAGTGATATGGAGAGGGAGAGATTAATTGCAACTCAAGATTCTGGACAGGCTTTCACAATTGGGGCTTTAAAGGAAGATTGGGACTCAGATATGGGAAATGAGGGGATGCTTGGGCAAAGCTGGTATTTAGGAGATGAACTCTGTTCAGCTGGATGAAGTCTTGGAGTCAAATGAGGACAGACTGTTAGAAAGGGAGGAAAAGGATTCCAGATTCCAGGCTGAGGAGTTTGGATGTTCGTTTATAGTGAGAAGCCATCAATAGTTTTGAATACAGTCAACATGATCTAATCTGACTTTTAGAAACATGAAACATGTTGGAAAGCCATGGAGGTTGTTGAATCTTTTCAAGGGAATGATCTAGAGAGAATGTGAACTGATTGAGTCAAAAGGAATATGCATGTGTCACAACTGTTGCTGCCATTGCAGGGGGCTACACAATGAACAAACAGTGATATCCGTAAGGTCTAGAGTGGGGCAAGGAGCTGCAGTGATTAGGACACATGTTGGGGACATGCATTACCAGGCTGATCCATTTCACCAGCATCAGAAATCAGCCCACGTGTCTGTGCCTTAATTTTAATTCTTATTCAAGTGTAAACCTGTCAGGAACATTTGGCATTCTGTCTTATGTCTGTAAAGGAAAGTGAGGCAGTATGTTCTTATAAAAAGCCTTATTCTGTTCACAGTGTTCTAGCCTAGATCCACCAGAAAACCCTGTTATGCAGAGAAACACCTGAGATCTTTTATTATGACCAAAACTGATTTGACTGGTGAAATGTTATCATTATTGCCATTGTGTGGAGAGTCCATGCTCTACTATGAGTTATAGGGAGAGAGTGTATCCATCTGGGTCACCAAAATGTGTCCGGAATTGGTGGGTTCTTGGTCTCACTGACTTCAAGAATGAAGCTGCGGACCCTTGCGGTGAGTGTTACGGTTCTTAAAGGTGATGTGTCCGGAGTTTGTTCCTTCTGATGTTCGGAGTTTCTTCCTTCTGGTGGGTTCTTGGTCTCGCTGGCTTCAGGAGTGAAGCTGCAGACCTTCGCGGTGAGTGTTACAGGTTATAAAGGCAGTGCAGACCCAAAGAGTGAGCAGCAGCAAGATTTATTGCAAAGAGCGAAAGAACAAAGCTTCCACAGTGTGGAAGGGGACGCGAGTAGGTTGCCACTACTGACACAGGCAGCCTGCTTTTATTCTCTTATCTGGCCCCCACCCACATCCTGCTGATGGGTCCATTTTACAGAGCGCCAGTTGTTTTGACAGGCTGCTGATTGGTGCGTTTACAATCCCTGAGCTAGACACAAAAGCTCTCCACATCCCCACTAGATTAGCTAGATACAGAGTGCTGATTGGTGTATTTACAAACCTTGAACTAGACACAGAGTGCTGACTGGTGTATTTGCAATCCCTTAGCTAGACATAAAGGTTCTCCAAGTCCCCACTAGACTCAGGAGCCCAGCTGGCTTCACCCAGTGGATACCGCACTGGAGCCGCAGGTGGAGCTGCCTGCCAGTCCCGCGCCATGCGCCCGCAATCCTCAGCCCTTGGGCAGTTGATGGGACCGGGCGCCATGGAGCAGGGGGCGGCGCTCCTAGGGGAGGCTCGGGGCTGCGCAGGAGCCCACAGCGGGGGGCCAGGCGGGGAGGCTCAGGCATGGCGGGCTGCAGGTCCTGAGCCCTGCCCTGCCGGGAGGCAGCTAAAGCCCGGTGAGAAATCGAGCGCAGTGCCGGTGGGCCGCACTGCTGGGGGATCTGGTGCACCCTCTGCAGCTACTGGCCTGGGTGCTAAGCCCCTCACTGCCCCGGGCCGCTCCGAGTGTGGGGCCCGCCAAGCCCATGCCCATCTGGAACTCTAGCTGGCCCATAAGCGCCGCGCGCAGCCCAGGTTCCTGCCCGCACCTTTCCCTCCACACCTCCCTGCAAGCTGAGGGAGCTGGCTCTGGCCTCAACCAGCCCAGAGAGGGGCCCCCACAGCGCAGTGGCGGGCTGAAGGGCTCCCTGAGCATGGCCAGAGCGGACGCTGAGGCCGAGGAGGCGCCAAGAGTGAGCGAGGGCTGCGAGGGCTGCCAGCACGCTGTCACCTCTCAAGAGCATGGTTAAGCAAAAGACCCCGGCCTTTAGGAACTCCTGTTTATATGCTGAGTCTGGGTGATGAAAGACTAAAGCTTCTCCAGTACTCCTAAGACAGCAACAATTGGGATGTATGTTACCTGTGACTCAAGAGAAGAAAGTGTCCCATCCATCCCCCCAAAAGGAAAAAAAGTTCCACAACCTTTTGATGGGAGTTATTATATATGTGAGAGCTAAGGGTAACTAGAAATCTTGAGGCAAATTCTGAGAAAATTTTCTTCCTTTGCTATACTCCTCCCTTCACTCTCACTGTACTTTTTACCTAAACATAAGTATGCTATCTGTATTCCCCATTTAATCTTTGATGTGTAAGTGTTCCAGTCTAAAACCAGATAGATTAGTCCCTCTGCTGCTCCTCTGTAAATTGCAACTTGAGATGTTAGAGCAAAACAAATGAAACCTTTTACTGAACACGAACTCCATGTATTTAGCCCATTAGTGCAGGACTGTCCCAGAGACCCAGCCTACCCTATGTTCTTTGACAGGGCTGTAGAGAGATGTCAGAAACATGAAGAGCTCCCTCTCCCTAAGCAAAGGAGTATCAAAGACTGAGCTCTTCTTACAAGACCGAATGTGCAGGGCACATCCGCTGCAGCCTGTGTCACATCCCCACCCATCCCATACTGACAGGTATGGCAGAAGACCCTTATCCCATGGCATGAGATAAATTTCCATCTTTTTAGCATACTTGCAGCTACTTGTATAGTCTAATATTAGTGGCAGTAACAGCACAATAATAGTGTTACCAAAAGGTATTTGGATAGGTTATCCTGCTTAGAATACCTTTTTTTATGGGGAGAAAAATTATTATAAAAGGAAGTGAATTATTAGTGTCTTTTATTTTAGTTCCAGTAGTAAATAGTTTTAGTTAATTCTTTGTTTAATAAAGTTTTTAAAACAGCTTTTTGAGAAATAATTTACGTACCATAAAATTTGCCCATTTTATGGTTGAATGAGTTTTATTACTTTTTTATTTCTTTAATCTTGTTTCAGACCCTGATTTTTTAGTTCTTATTACATTATTCATTTCTTTTTAAAATCTTTATTCAGAAGTTGAATGAGTTTTAGTAGATTTGTGTAAGTTGTACAGCCATCACCAAATTCAGTTGTACAATACTTCCATCATCCCAAAAAGTTCCCTCATGCCCCTTTTCAGTCGATCCATATTCTCTCCCACCCTAGCCCCAGCCAACCACTTAAAGTCTGCTTTCTGTTGCTATAGTTTCACCTTTTCTACAATTTTAATATCAGTGGATTCATACCTACATAGTATGTTGTTTTTGAAATTCATCCATATTATATATCAGTAGTTCATTCCTCTTTAATGCTGAGTATTATTTCATTGTATGGATATACCACATGTGTTTATCCATTTGCCAGTCGACATACACTTGGGTTATTGCCAGTTTGGGGCCATTATGAATAGAGCTGCATTTATGCAGAAGTCTTGTGTGGACATGTGTTTTAATTTCTCTTGGGTATATACATAGGCATGGAGTTGCCAGGTTAAATGGTAAGTGTGTCCTTAACATTGTAAGAAACTTCCAAGATCTTTTCCAAGCTTATATCATTTTATATTCCCATTAGCAATGCATTAGGGTTCCAGTTTCTTCCTGTTCTCGCCAACATTTAATATTGTCAGTCTTTTTAACTTTAGGTATTCTAGTGGCTGTGTAGTAGTATCTCATTATGGTATATTAATTTGTATTTCCCTAATGACCAATGATGTTGAACATATTTTTTATATGTTCTTTGGTCACTCATATATCTTCTTTTATGAAGAGTCTGTTCACACTTTAAAATTTTAACCATGTTTACAAAAAGATTCACAAAATTGCCATCTTAATATTGTAACTCATCAATATGATATGTCTCTCTATTTAGGTGTTTCTCAGCCACATTTTATATTTTCAATGCATAGCTTGTTAAATTTATTCCTAAATATTTTAGTTTGTGATGATATTGTGAGTGGAATTTAAAAGTTTTATTTTTAGATTGTTTTTTTTTTTGCTACCACTTAGAAATATATCATTTTATATCACTTTTTGAATACTGCAGCTTTGCTAAATTTAACTTGTTAGCTCTCGATTCCTTAGGATTTTCTACATCCATGATCATGTCATCTGCAAATACAGTTTTACTCCTTTCCAATCTATATGCCTTTTATTTCTTTTTCTTGCCTTATTGCACCTCCAGCATAATGTTGAATAGAAGTGGAGTCATCCTTGCCTTTTCCTTGATCTTAGGTAGAAAACATTGCATTTCATCACTAAGTATGATTCAGCTATAGATTTTTCATAGCTGCCCCCCACAGGTTGTAGTTGATTAATACATTCTAGGAAAACATGGGAAATGTTCAAATATGTTCACCAAAAACAGATGATTATTTAACCCATGGTAGGCTACCACGTAGCCTGTAACTGGTCAACAAAGCTGTGTTCTAAAGAGTTTTGCCATCCCATAGACTCATTTCTGTTTGCAGATGAAGCATATTCCCTGTGTTGATAGTCATATGTCACGCGTGTGTCTAGCTAGAGTGGTGAAAGCCTGCAACCTGAGCTTAGCCCTCTTATTTTTAAACCAGTATCATAAGAGACACCCAGATAGCTGTCCTGGGCTATACTCACTTGAGGTGATGAAAGCAAGCCACAGTGAGAGATGTTTAGAAATGCTTTGTTTGAATTAAAGGCATGAAAATTTGTGTGTAGATAATAGAATCACGTACCACCAGAATTAGAAGGAGCCTTAGTAATCATTTAGTCTCATCTCTTTTTTTTTTTTTTAAATAAATGAGAAAACCAAGATCGAAAAGGTAGTCCCTCACCTCAGATCACACCTGTGTGCTAAATAGTGGTATTCCATGTAGCCCCTGAACTAAACTTCAAGGCCTGCTGAAGAGTTTCTGTCCAGGGACCCCTCATGGCAGTGCCTGCTCCTCCCTTCCTTCAGCTTAGGTTTCAGCCACACTCACTGTACCTCCCTGTCACTTCTTCCTGCCCTGTAGTCTCTATTGAACCCAGACTATCTCTTCTGAAGTACCCACATTTCTTGGTCTTTCTTCCAAATTCACCAGACTCTCTTAACTTCTTCTTGTTAGTTCAGCCTCTAAAACCTTGCCCAGGACTTGGGACCCTGTGTGGAGCCTTTGCAGCAGAACCACCAAATAAGGCCAGTTATGGCAAACACACGCACACGCATAGTAGTTAGTATTTAGTCAAAATAATCGGATTTTTAAAAATGTTTTCTTTCAGATCAATAATAAATTACAAAGTTTTACTAAAGTTATGTCCTTTCCAAAGCCTTTAATGTGTAGTTAAAACTAATTTATGTTAAGCACATTGTATGCAAATACCTGCTACTAGGTACTCTTAGTCACCCTAATAGATTCTTCCTGTGATTCCCCTCTTTTAAAATTTTTATTTCCATAGGCTATTGGGGAACAGATGTTGTTTGTTTACATGATTAAATTCTTTAGTGGTAATTTGTGAGATTCTGGTGCACCCATCACCCAAGAAGTATACACTGCATCTTATTTGTAGTGTTTTATCCCTCACCCCCTTCCCACCCTTTCCCCCTGAGTCTCCAAAGTCGTTGTGTCATTCCTATCCCTTTGCATCCTCATAGCTTAGCTCCCTCTTAGGAGTGAGAACATACAATGTTTGTTTTTCCATTCCTGAGTTACTTCACTTAGAATAATAGTCTCCAGTGTCATCCAGGTTGCTGCAAATGCCATTAATTCATTCCATTTATGGCTGAGTATTACTCCATCATGTATATATGTATATATATACACCACAGTTTCTTTATGCACTCATTGATTGATGGGCATTTGGGTTGGTTCTACGTTTTTGCAATTGCAAATTGTGCTACCATAAACATCCATGTGCAAGTATCTTTTTTGTATAATGACTTCTTTTCCTCTGGGTAGATACCCAGTAGTGGGATTGCCGGATCAATGGTAGTTTTACTTTTAGTTTTTTAAGGAACCTCCACACTGTTTTCCATAGTAGTTGTACCACCAGCAGTGTAAAAGTATTCCCTGTTTACTGCATGCACAGCAACATCTATTATGTTTTGATTTTTTGATTATGATCATTCTTGCAGGAGTAAGGTAGTATTGCATTGTGGTTTTGATTTGCCCTTCCCTAATCATTAATGATGTTGAGCATTTTTTCATATGTTTGTTTGCCATTTGTATATCTTCTTTTGAGAATTTTCTATTCATGTTCTTAGCCCACTTTTTGATGGGATTTTTTTCTTGTTGATTTGTTTGAGTTCATTGTAGATTCTGGATATTAGTCCTTTGTCAGATGTATAGATTGTAAAGATTTTCTCCCACTCTGTGGGTTGTCTGTTTACTATGGTGACTGTTCCTTTTGCTGTGCAAAAGCTCTTTAGTTTAATTAAGTCCCAGCAGTTTATTTTTGGTTTTATTGCATTTGCTTTTGGGTTATTGGTCATGAAATCCTTGCCTAAGCCAATGTCTAGAAGGGTTTTTCCAATGTTATCTTTTAGAATTTTTAGTTTTAGGTCTTAGATTTAAGTCTTTAACCCATCTTGAGTTGATTTTTGTATAAGGTGAGAGATGGGGATCCAGTTTCATTCTCCTACATGTGGCTAGCCAATTATCCTAGCACCGTTTGTTGAAAAGGGTGTCCTTTCACCACTTTATGTTTTTGTTTTGTCAGAGGTCAGTTGACTCTAAGTATTCGGGTTTATTTGTAGGTTCTCTGTTGTTTTCCGTTCGTCTGTGTGCCTTTTGTTATGCCATTACTATGCCGTTTTGGTGACTACGGCCTTATAGTTTAGTTTGAAGTCAGATAATGTGATGCCTCCAGATTTGTTCTTTTTATTTAGACTTGCTTTGGATATGTGGGCTTTTTTTTTTTTCCATGTGAATTTTAGGATTGTTTTTTCTAGTTCTGTGAAGAATGTTGGTGGTACTTTGATGAGAATTGCACTGAATTTGTAGATTGCTTTTGGCAGTATGGTCATTTTCACAATATTGATTCTACCCATCCATGAGCATGGGATGTGTTTCCATTTGTTTATGTTGTCTATGATTTCTTTCCGCAATGTTTGTAGTTTTCCTTGTAGAGGTCTTTCATCTCCTTGGTTAGGTATATTCCTAAGTTTTCATTTTGATGGTTTTTTTTGTTTGTTTTGTTTTTGCACCTATTGTAAAAGGGGTTGAGTTCTTTATTTGAGAGCTACTGATTTGTGTACATTAATTTTGTATCCAGAAACTTGCCGATTTATTTAATCAGTTCTAGGAGCTTTCTAGAGGAGTCTTTAGAGTTTTCTAGGTGAACGATCATATCATCCATCAGCAAACAGTGAGTTTGACTTCCTCCTTAATGATTTGGATGCCCTTTATTTCTTTCTCTTGTCTGATTGCTCTGGCTAGGACTTCCAGTACTATGTTGAAGAGGAGTGGTGACAGTGGGCATCCTTGTCTAGTTCCAGTTCTCAGAGGGAATGCTTTCAACTTTTCCCCATTCAGTATTTTGTTGGCTGCAGGCTTGTCATAGATGGCTTTTATTATATTGAGGTATATTCCTTGTATGCTGATTTTGGTAAGAGTTTTAATCATAAAGTGATGCTGGATTTTGTTGAATGCTTTTTCTGCATCTACTGAGATGATCATGTGATTTTTGTTTTCAATTATGTTTGTGTGGTATATCCCATTTATTGACTTGAGTATGTTAAACCATCCCTGCATCCTTGGTATGAAACCCATTTGATCATGGTGGATTATCTTTTTGATATGTTGTTGGATTTGGTTAGCTAGTATTTTGTTAAGGATTTTAGCATATATGTTCATCAGGGATATTGGTCTGTAGTTTTCTTTTTTGGTTATGTTCTTTCCTGGTTTTGGTATTAGGGTGATACTGGCTTCATAGAATGATTTGGGGAGGGTTTCCTCTTTATCTTGTGGAATAGTGTCAATAGGATTAGTACCAACTCTTCTTTGAATGTCTGGTAGAATTCTGCTGTGAATCCGTCTGGTCTTGGACTTTTTTTGTTGATATATTTTTAATTAGCATTTCAGTCTTACTGCTTGTTATTGGTCTGTTCAGGGTATCTAATTCTTCCTGATGTAAGCTAGGAGGGTTGTATCTTTCCAGGAATTTATCCATCTCGTCTAGGTTTTTCTAGTTTATGTGCATAATGGTGTTCATAGTAGCCTTGATTGATCCTCTGTATTTCTGTGTTGTCAGTTGTAATCTCTTCCGTTTCATTTCTTATTTAGCTTATTTGGATTTTCTCTCTTCTTAGTTAATCTTGTTAATGGCCTATGAATTTTATTTATCTTTTCAAAAAAAACAGCTTTTTGTTTCATTTATCTTTTGTGATTTTTTTGTTTCATTTAGTTTTACTCTGATATTGGTTCTTTTCTTCTTCTGGGTTTGTGATTCCCCTCTTAAGGAGTACTTCTAAGAAGTGTGGGCCTCAGCCCAGCGCTTTAGAGTCCTTCTTTAGAAGGTAAAAACGCAGTTCTTTAAGTAATTTTAATGTACCCCCAAGTTAGACCATACTGCCTGTACATTTTATAGACTCATTTGTTCATAGGAAACACCAAGATAATTTAGAAACAAAGAGAATTACTGGAAATTGCAAATGAGTAGTACCCACATCAATGAGGTTTCATATTGGTTCCAGTCACTTCCATTCTCTCTCACTTAGAGATTTATACCTTTTGGGTGTGTAACACATACCTTCCTCCCACTGTTGTCCCCTTCCTTGCCAGACTCAAAAAATCTCAGCAGGCAGGAGTACATGATGCTCTGTAACTTCCCACAGCCCCTATTGGAGTATGTGGCCTGTAGTGGCTGCCCAGTCAGTGGTGACTAATAATGTACAAGAAAAAATGGAAAGTCCAAGAAATGTGGTGTCCTCATGAGCCTGCTGCTTATGATTAGGGGAAAGCCCTTTTGGAACAGTGTTTGAAAGCAGGCCCAACCACAGCTGAGTGGGAATATTTCTGGGCCAGTAGCCATGTAAATTCTTGAGGTCCAGGGTACATGTGCAGCCTCAGGATTTCCCAGTGGATTATTTGGCTGAACGAAAAAGATCCAGATAGAGTGTTTCCCCCCCACCAATTTTTATTGGTAGAGGAAGAAAATAATTCAGACTAGACATATATGCTGTCAGATAGGGTAGTGTCCTTGCTTGCTTGAATTAAAATTATTTGGTATGCTTATGAGTTTAATTAAATAACTCAACTTTGGGGAAGGGTGTACTTGCACAAATAAAACCTGTGTTTGTATTAGTACTTGGACATGAATAAGATGGGTTCTGTGGGCTGGGTGCGGTGGCTCACACCTGTAATCCCAACACTTTGAGAGCCAAGGTGGGAGGATCGCTTGAAGCCAGGAGTTCAAGACCAGCCTGGACAATGTAGCAAAAACCCGTCTCTACAAAAAAATAAAATAAGCCTAGTGTGGTGGCATATGCCATAGTCCTAACTACTCAGAGGCTGAGGGAGAGGAATTGCTTGAGCCTAGGAATTTGAGGCTGCATTGAGCTGTGATCATGTCCCTGCACTCCAGCCAGGGTAACAGAGTGAGACCCTGTCTCATAGAAAACAAAATACATGGGTTCTTCGGAGGTCACAGACCTACTGTGTGTAACCGCACTAGTCTCTGATTCCTGCCTAACAAACTTGCGATTCCTTGACATATAATCCAAGTAATTAAGGTATCTTAGAAGCCATCCATCTGGTGCCAGTCCAGACCCCTAAACTGACGCTGCATAAACCCCATCAGCAGTTTCCTGGCAGGTAGTCCCACTGTGTACATCTGCATGGAGGGAGTGTGGCATCTCCTGCATGGAGGATGTATGGCATCTCCTGTTGCTGGGCAACTTAGATTGACTAGGTGCTTCCTCTACCCAGCTTAAACTGGCCTCCCTCTAGAACACATACTCATTCCCCCTCACTCTGCCCTCCGGAGCAGTCTGTCACAAATCCTCTTCTTCAAGCCTGTTCACAGATTTGAGCACTGTGATGTAAGCTTTCCAGCAGCCCAGCTCCCGCAGTAACAAATTCATTCTCAGAGACCACAGAACTGATATTGGAGCATGAAGGACAGGGTCAGAAACAGGACTGGACTCAGTGTTTGTCTCCACAGTTTTTCTCAGTGAGGCCCTCACAAAACCTGGTGTCTTTTTTAACAAAACCCTTCATCTGGTGATCTCCCCTGAGACAGCTCAACAGTCTTCTCTTCTGTGGAGTCCATGGTTGGCCTCTGTTTATGATATATGTCTCAGAGCATATTGAAATTGTCTGTTTACATGTCTGTCCTTTCTCCAGACCATGAGCACTTAACGATATTCTTCTGCAGTTCTCGGCTCTTACTGCAGTGCCTGGCGTGCGGTGACACATTAATAGACACTTGAATACACTGTGAGATCCCTGCGTCTTGCAGTTGTGATCATCTGGGTGAAGGAAAAAGAGGAATAGCTTTATTGAACAGCTAGTATATCCTGGGTACCTGTACTTGAGTTATATCATTTGACTCTTAAGAGCATTGTTGGACAAGGCCGGGCGCGGTGGCTCACGCTTGTAATCCCAGCACTTTGGGAGGCCGAGGCGGGCGGATCATGAGGTCAAGAGATCAAGACCGTCCTGGCTAACATGGTGAAACCCTGTCTCTACTAAAAATACAAAAAAATTAGCCGGGCGTGGTGGCGGGCGCCTGTAGTCCCAGCTACTCGGGAGGCTGAGGCAGGAGAATGGCGTGAACCCGGGAGGCAGAGCTTGCAGTGAGCCGAGATCACGCCACTGCACTCCAGCCTGGGTGACAGAGCAAGACTCTGTCTCAAAAAAAAAAAAAGAGCATCATTGGACAAATGGTACCTCCTTTTTTATAAAGTTGAAACTGAAACTTTGAAGCTTAGAAATATGAAGGTAGCACCTGGGATTTGAGCCCAGGTCTGTTGAGCTCCCAGAACCCCACCACTTTTTCATATCCCCAAGCTGGCCCATGGGGTCCCCAAAACAGTGAGGAGAGGACTACAGCAGTAACTGTCCATATTTTCAACCATACAGAATTTAGTCCATTCCTTAACCACTTCCCCGTTTCAGAGATGCTTTTTATTGAATGGTAAAAATGTATGTACCTGACTGTGAGAACCACTTAAGATGGGGTAATGAGTCATCCAGTGCACTGTGTTTTGTTGTGTCCCGAATGCCACATCTAGATAAGATGCTTCTGGAAAACCGGGTCCACAGCATGGTCACCTTTTGGTCTCCCGCTGTACCTGGGTAATATGAGACACAGTGGCATTTAATTCTGTTGACATGCACATTCCGTTCTCCTGAGTGCTAATTCATATCCTCATATTCCTTGAAAAGTTACCTCCTCCAAGATCCCTTATTGCAGTTGACTTCCCCTTGGTGCTCCCGATTTATTACACATCGGTGAATTATATTGATTTTATTTGCAGTTGATTTCTTGCTTTGCTCTTTGTGACCTTCAGCTATTTTTCTCTGCATGTGTCTCCAGCTATCTTAAAAGGCAGGAACTAGTGACTTCTTTTTTTTCCTTCTCCTCCACTCAGCCCCTAGAATAGAGCTCTGTAAACAGTGCACAGGTGACCAATAAATACTTTTGACTCCTTGAGCTTGATAGCTTCTTTCCCTTGCTGGACTGACAGCCTAACACTGGAGCCTGAATCCTTTATTTATTAGATGAGATTTCTATAGCACCTTTACTCTGAGAAGATCAGTATCAATGAAGTTTGTTTCTGCTTCTGGAAAGTGCTTTTTACCTAAGCAGACCAAAGTCCTGATAAGACCACATGACAGCCCTTACTCCTCAGCTGCTGGGGCCTGGAGACGCAGACTAAGAAAAGCCTCACCACTTCACATTTTGCTGTCTTGTTGCCAGCCACGAGCCTGAATAAGATTCTGTGCCAGCATAAACTCTAATGTTGGTGGATACTGTAGTCAGTGTTACAAAAAGAGCATTTGCATTTGGAGAGCATTGCCATCTTTTGGAAGGGAGACATGGAGAAGACTGCCTTAGAGGTCAGTATATCTGCCAATAACCAGATCCCTGTGAATGGAGCTTTCATGGGTTGTTGGCTTTCACCTAGTGCCTGATGTCAGGGGGCACTAGAACTGTTCAGTCTCTCGAAGTCGTGTTGCTTAGTGAGCTAAGGTTACTGGGACAGGACCCATGAGGGGCGTGACAGGTGATACATTCCCAGAGACTCAAAAGGAACAAGCCCTGGATAAGTTGGGAATAAGCGCTGAGAGGTGACACTCTTAACTGTTGGGAAAAGGGGCTAGCACACTTCAGATCTGGATAGTTGAGACTGACCATGAAATACTACAGCAAAGTTCAGAGGCAAAAAAACTGAAAAAGGTGGATGTGTTAGCCCTATAGTTCATTGGAGAAGTGCCTAAAATAATTGGATTAACTGGCTTCTCTAAGAAATTTCTCACCTTTCTACATCTCCGTGTTTTGTGCAGGCATCCCCATCCATAATTCAGGGTTAGACAGAGCTCAGTTAAGAAATGAACACGTGAGGCCGGCCGTGGTGGCTCACGCCTGTAATCCCAGCACTTTGGGAGGCCAAGGCGGGTGGATCACCTGAGGTCAGGAGTTCGAGACAAACCTGACCAATATGGTGAAACCCTGTCTCTACTAAAAATACAAAAATTAGCCAGGTGTGGTGGCGTGCGCCTGTAATCCCAGCTACTCAGGAGGCTGAGGCAGGAGAATCGCTGGAATCTGGGAGTTGGAGGTTGCAGTGAGCCGAGATCGCGCCACTGCATTCCAGCCTGGGCAACAGAGCAAGACTCCATCTCAATTAAAAAAAAAACAAACAAAAAAAACACGTTTCCGGTGAGCTGTGTAGACAGATGAGAGGTACACACGTAAGAGCTGCTTGGTGTGGACACTTACTAGCATCACCAAGTTTGGCCTGCCCTTGAGCCTGCAGTCCAGAAGGCTCCCTTCTCTGTGGAGCAGGTATTAAGGCAGTCATAGCTGTGGATTTCCTTTTCCTTTTCCTTTTTTGAGAAACAAAAATGGTCACAAGTAAAAAGAAATCCATGTGTTGGAGAGAAAAGAGACACAGTAGAGAAGGACTAGAAATGTCTGGAAATGGAGGCGGGGCAAAAATGGAGGTGTGATGGTGGGTGTGGGAAGTCCACTGGCATTGACCTGAGAGAGGTGTTTGGACACAGCTGCCAGTGCCTGAGGATGCCACCGCTTATTTCCTCCTGAGATGTGAAGGATGTTCCCTTTCTCTGTTGTTGCCTGTGGAAATGAGAGGCAGAGCCACCTGTACTGTCTAGTGTATTGCTATACCCCAGTACAGTGCCTGTGACACAGTCCAAGGAAGATTACAGGGAATGTCCCATGTAGCTTTGGATACTTCCTTGTTCGTGATCACAGGCCACACCAACTGGTGCACATGCTAAAATGTACAGTGCCTGGGTGGGTGACCGGAAGACAGATGACTCTGGCCCGTGGGGAGTACTGCCTGACTGCTGTCTTCCATAGAAGACAGATCTTTGCATGATCCAAGGCAGGCCTGCTTCATTTACTCTGATGGCTCCTCCAGAAAAGTACTTTGGGACGGCAAGGGAGCTAGGGATGAGTGTGTTCCATGCCGATACTAGATTTCTTTGTTAGTATTAAATACTTGCTTTTGCTCTAGGCCACAGGGTGGGAGGTGGCAGGCAGTGGCTACCACAGGTGAAGATGGGTCCTGTGGGTCCAGGAGACAGGCTGGCAGCCACCTGTCTGTGCCTTGAGGACTGTAAGGGTCATCAGGACACGTGCTGTGCACAGCAGGCCACTGTTCTCCACACACCCAGTGCTGTTCTTTCTTGGACCATGGCAGCTGTGAGTCAGCGCACCGTGTAGTTTGTGCATCCTTGTGATGAATGCACAGGATGACATTTGTTTCCCTGAGCTCTGCACCATATGTTCTAGATTCACCCAGGAAGTGGGGGTTCCAGATTTACAAACTAAAGGGCTAGGTTTATGTTAATACTCTTGCATCAATTAAATTGCTCTTCCCTCAAATCCAGGATTAATTTTCCATGGAATCTGGAGTAACTGACCAAAATACCAGGGTGGAATAGGAAATGGATGTCAGTGGGAATTGTGTGGTTACATTCAATTCTGTGTTGTCTGTACTCCGCTTGTTTGTAATTATGAGCAACAGCAAAGCTTCAGTTCCAGGAGAGTATCCAGTGCTATCTTGGACATTTCTGGGTTACCTCTAAGAGTGAGCTCAGCAAGTGTAGGCTCCTATGAATAACGGCAATAGAAAGGCACTGTTAGGAAAGTAAACGTGCTACTGCAAAAAACAGGATACACCACAAGCCAGACAGCAGTAGTTTTTCAGTTGTGCCCAGTGCACTTGTGTTCACCCAGGTAACTGGATGAACTGTGTGGTGATGGTGTTCTCCTGTGAGGGGGAGGGGCACAGTTACTAGCATTAAATATTGCTAGAAGTAATATTTTTCTGTTTTTCTATCTTGTTGCTAGAAGCAATATGTTTCTATTTTTAATGAGTCAAATGCTGACTCTATTTATTTATTCATTCTGTTCATCTTTATTGAGTTGTAGAGGAAGAGCAAGGGGTAAAACTGACAAAAGTCCCTGACCTCTTGGTGCTTTTATTCTTTAGGGGAGAGATGCAGTAAGCAAGGGAACAGATAAACAAGGTAATTTCTGATGGGAGCAGGAGATATGATGTAATAAAATGACAGTGTGATAAGGGAAAGGGGGAGCTGCAAATAGGGAAGGGGGAGGCCAGCACCTGGGAGGACATGAAAGCTGAGCTGAACATAAAAGCTGGGAGAGCCAGCCATTCAGAGAGTTGGGAGAGCAGTGCCCTAGACAGAACAAAGGCCCTGGAGGGAGGAACAAACTTGGTGTATCTGAGGAAGAGAAAGCTGGCCAGCCCGGCCAGAGCACAGTGCGTTGCGGGAGGAGAGTGGAGACGCAGCAGGGATCAGTCGGGGGCTTGCATGTCTTTGCAAAGAATCTGATTATTGTAAACATAGTGAGAAGGCATTGAATGGTTTTAAGCAAAGGAGTGATCTGACTTAAATTTTAAAAATATTCCCCTGGAGAGCCAGGCACGGTAACTCACAGCTGTAATCTTAGCACTGGGGACGCGGAGGTGGGAGTATCAGTTGAGCTCAGGAGTTGGAGACCAACCTGGGCAACATAGTGAGACCTTGTCTCTATTAAAGAAAGAAAAAAAAAAGAAAAATATATTTCTCTGGGAGAGAAACACATGCTTGTGTATGCACAGATGCATGGACTCTCAAGAATACATAAAAATAGACAGTGGTGGTGGTTGCTGGGCTTCTGGAGAGGGTAACAGAATGAGATGGGAGACTTACTTTCTGCTAAATATCATTTTATACAATTTGAATTTTTATTATATTCATGTACTACCTTTAAATAGGCAAAGTAAGAATGAACAAATACAAAACAAGTACATCTCAGGTCAATTTTTTTTTTTTAAATCCAGAAGTTCCCTCCAACTGCTGGGAGGGGGACGGCTTGGAGGGCAGCAAAGGCAGAAGCAGGCAACACGCCTGAGCTCTAGCAGCCTGGTGGAGCCATCGGCCTCACCGCATTCCAGCCCTGCTGGCTGCCTTTCTCTTCCATCAGTATGCTGAGCTTATTCCTGCCACAGGACATTTGCATGAGAAGAGGTGCAGAGCCGATTCAGGACATCATTTAGATCTAACTAGACCTCTAATAAAGTCAGTGTGAGGAGTAAGGAAAAGAGAGGAATCAAGAATTGAGCCCACAGTTTGACTTGAACAGCAGCTGGGTGGATATATTGCCACTCACACTGAGGCAGAGAAGATGAGGAGATAAACTAACAGAGGTCAAGAAGATGAAGAGTTGTTTCAAACATGGTACAGTTGAGATTCCTAGCATTATTCTAGTCAGACGTGTTTGTCAAGTAGGCCATTGGATATCGGGATTTGGATTTGAGGGGAATTCATAGATGGAAATATAAGTTCAAGAGGCATCAGCATGGATACCCTATTTGGATCTGGATGAAATTACCTAAAGGAGAAAATGCAGGAGGACGTGATGCTGGGTGATTTTAGAGGAGAAACCATGAAGGATTCCAAGGAGCAGCAGTTGGTCAGGTGGGAAGAAAGGAGTGTGACATCACAGAAGATGAAAAATAAAAGTATTTTAAGAAACAGAAAAGTGGACAAATGCTGTAGAGGTTGAGGTGAGGATATTGGATTTCGCCCCTTGAATACCTGATTGGCCTTTGCTTGCTCCCTAGGGTTCAGAGAACACAGTCTTTCTATACCTAACCTATCATTCATTTACCTGACCAAAATATTTTGAGTGAACCAAGCAGTATTTTAGGGATAGAGGATATGTGATAAATTACAGAAGCATGGTGCTTGATTTTATGAAATCTAGCCAAGGAGACAAATTAAATGAACAAATTCCACAAATGACGCTAAATTAAAATTGTGACTAGTGATTGAAGGAAAAGTTCAAGATGCCTTGAAAGCATCCAACTGGGCCCTAACCTAGTCTGAGGGTCCAGGAAGATCTTCCTGAGGAAGTCATTGAAGCTAAGGCCTGAGTAAGCAAGAATTTCCTTTGGAAGTCAGTGTGTCTGGGACATAGAATGCAAGGGAGTAAATGGCACAAGGGGAAGCGGCAGCCAGGGTTGAGATCGTGCTTCAGTGGGGAAATTTTTATTGTAATCAGTGGAGCACGGTAATCACAGACAGGGCTGGATCTCATCATCTCATCATGTTGGCTGCCCTGAGGAAGGTGGCTTTGATGTGGGGCGACCACCTAAAGGAAGCTGTTGCAGTAGCCTCGGAAAAAAGTTACTGGTCTCTTTGACTAGGTGGTGGCTTATGACGCTGGCTGCTCTGAGGAAGGTGGATTTGATATGGGGCGACCACCTAAAGGAGGCTATTGCAGTAGCCCTGGAAAAAAAGATTCTGGCGGCTTTGACTAGGTGGTGGCAGTAGAGATGGCAAGAAGTGAATGGATTTGATTTTTGGAAATCGTATCCACAAGACTCGGTAATTGAATGTGAAGAGTAAGTAAGGTATCAGTGATGACTCCAGGTTTGTGTCATGAGCCACTGGCTGCATGGTGGCCCTATTCTCTTAGAATGGGAGACATTGAAGAAGAAGCAGATTTGTGAGGAAGTAGCAAGTGTCCTATGTTAGACATCTCAAGTCTGAAATACCTGAGATGCCAAGTAGATAATTGAATACACAGATATGGAGCTCCAAAGAGAGGTCTGGGGCAGAGAGATAAATTTCAGAATTGTTAGCATACATAGTTAGAATTTTAACCTTGAAGAAGAGTGTGAAGAGTGTAGGATTAAGACAAAAAGAAGGTCCAGCACTGAATAATGCTAATATTTCAAGGATAGCAGATGAAGAGCTATCAGAGAAAGAGAAGGAAAACAAGGTAAGCAGATGTCACAGAGCCCACAGGAGTAGTCAGCTTTCTAGAGGTTCTAAGTGATAATTGAAAAGGGTCATTAGATTTAGTGATTTTCAGGCTCCATTCGTAGGGTGTTTTGTTTTGTTTTGAGACAGGGTCTTGGTCTTTTGCCCAGGCTAGAGTGCAGTGGCTCAATAATGGCTCACTGCAGCCTTGACCTCCTGGTTGCAAGTGATCCTCCTGCCTCAGCCCCACAAAATGCTGGGCTTACAGACATGAGCCACCATGCCCAGCTGTTCATGGGGTGTTTTTTTATACCCAAATTGTAACCATTAGGTGAAGTCATCATATCTGAGCCCCCTCTCCTACACCCCCAAGTGAAATGGAACTGGGCTATGTGGTTATTAATACCTTCCACACAGGAGATTTGTAGAGTCCTTTAGTGGGCTATCCATTCAGTAGGGCTTTCACTATAGTGTGTAGTCTGACTTCAGATTTGAACTCATGTCTGCAGAAAATATTTTTCTATACTGAATAAGCCTCTTCCCCTTCAGGGCAGGTGTTTTTAAATAAACTAACTTTAAACATGGAGAATCAAGAAGCCAGCTTCTCTGCCCGCCCCCACCCCCACCCACACCACACAGTCTTATAACAGTGGACAGCAGACATTGTAGGACTTCTGACCTTGCAGTTCAGATTTTGTGGAAACGGGGCAAAAGCATGCTTGTACTTCTAAGCTCCTCGGAATGACCTTTTTGAGTTATCGTGGTGAAAACAAGAAGCCCTTAGAGAAACTTCATTCTTAAAACAAGCACATAAAACAAGTGCATGTGATGCTGGCACAGTTTGGGTGAAAACATAGATTGTTTGCAGAATGTCTACAGCCCATTCCTTTCTCCTGCTCTTCCTTTCACTACAGCTCCCAGCCTGACAGTCTTGGGGAAATAGACATGAGGCTTTTCAACAAACAATCAGTACGTGACCAAACTTGGCAACACATGCTCTGCCTCTGTTTGTGACAGAGGCTTGCAGAATACTCAGCTGTACCTGTAGAGGAGCTCCTCTCTGATGTCCTTGGAAAGTTTCCGTGTCCCTTTCATGGTGTCCCTAACCACTGAGTACTTTCCAGGCTGCACTATATAGTCTTTGTATATTTAATTCAGATTTCTCTGAAATTTGCATATCTTCAGAAATTTTTACTTAGCTTGTCACTTAGCATGCATTTATAGTCTGTAAAGACAGGCTTGTGGAGGGGGAGAGAGGAAACTTGTACATCATATGTTCAGAGGAAGATTTCCACATTCGTTCTCTTTTGTCGGCAGTGACTTCTCAAAGGAGAATGGAACCAGAATCTAGATGGGGAGGTAAAAGCAAGTGGGGCAGAAAAAATGTTGTGTGAATGGAGGAGGAAGGAACAGACATGATGGGGGAAGGGGGTCAGAGTCATAATGCCAAGCATGTCAGCTGCACCGTGTAGGGCAAAATGGCAAAAGGGATGACCCCACCCCGAAGAATCATCCCAGGACCAACCAGCCTTCCTTGAGCACATGCCGGGTGCTTCACAGGCACGGTTTTCATTTATGCCCGTAACAGCCCCATCTTAGAGCAGACACAGCGGAGGTTCTTCAAGGTTAAATGGCCTGAGCCACATAACTGTCAAAACAGGGCAGCAGGAACCTGAATTCAGTACTTGGGTCTAAAGCTCACACTCCATGCTGTATTATCCTGAAAGAGAATGTGTAGTTCAGCTGTTAAGGGACTTGCTGTGGAAGCAGGGTTGAAACTAAGTTACAGGTCTCTCCCTACCCCAGTTTCTCATCTTCATACTCCCTGTGATCCCAGTGTGTTGATTGAAAGGTCAGTTGGGAAAGATGGGGAAAATGTTCCTTTCTTTTCCAGGTGTTTCTCTGGAGAGAGATGTGTGGCATTTATAGTCTGATGCCCCCTGACCACGTTGCCACTCGGACATTCTGTGACTTGGATGAACTGACTCTTGCCTGCAAAGGTGCCTTCAGGGAGGCTAAACAGGCCACAGCTCCCTGGTGAGCCATGTGTCAGGAGCCTGGCAACTGAGTTACCCCCATGGGCCCAGGCTGTGTCTTCAGCAGCTCCTGGATGGAATGCGTGCCTCCCCTTTTGTCATCTCTACTTTAACTTTGGAGCTGGTTTTGTAGGAGACTGCTCTGTTTGAGAAGATAATCTTTTAAAGGATTGGGAAATGCTGAAAGAGAAAGCCAAACAAATCAGGAGCCTACTGAAAGGAGGATAAGGTCGTTCCCAAAACAGAAGTTTCGTACCAGCACAGCACTCTTCCCCTGAGAGCCGTGTAGAGGCTGGAGGAGGTGGAGGGGCCCGCCAGCAGTGCAGGTGCCTCCTTAGGGGTTTTTGGACCCTAAAGACTGCCCCAGGTACCAAGTGGTTAATGCCATCTGCTTTCAGCTACTGAAATGAAATGATGTTTGAAAGAGCAAGTCATTTCATTATTCTTGTGGCAAAAACTGCCTTGAGCCATTTTCTCTTAGTTTTTAAATATATGTTCATCTCCAGATAAAACAGCCTAGCATATGAGCCTGCAGCCAGCCCCCGTCTCCTTGTGGGCTGGGCATTGAAGGGCTTGCTTGGAGGAGAGTTCTCATAAGTCACAATATCTTTCATGGTGTGGGCCTCCTAACCTTACCCTACCCGCTGGGTTGCAAAAATAGGTTTTCCTATATGGAGGCAAAAGAGTAAGCGATGGAAGGTTTGTTCTCTGGCTGTCAGGTAAAGTGAGGGCTGCTTGAGCTGGGTGATAGAAGGAGACATTACTGGGACGAAGCCGACATTCTCCACAGAGGAGAGGAAAGAGGTAATTAGAGCTTTTGCAAGAATGGGGCTGTCTGGAGAAACAATAATAAAGGACATCAACAGTGGTGAATTTTTTTATACTTTTAAAATGGCATGTGTACAAACTGCATGGGGAGCTTCGTTAGCTGGACTGTGGCACAGTTTTCTTGCCTGCACTGCTGACGGCTCTCTGAGAGCGATGTGACGGCACATGCCAAGGGAGGGCTCTCAATCACCGCTGACTGCACACAGCTGCCTTATGAGTTCTTTGCACAAGGCTTTTGTATCTTTGCCTCTATCATACTGCTTTTGGTTCTAACATTTAGCTGGCATGTAACTGATATTTTAATTTATTTGGGGGAAAGCAGATGATTGCTTCTCTTTTAAAGCTGTCTCGATATGATTTAGTGTTTCTTATGAAATTGTTGAGGAGGAGTGTGGGCTTTTCTAAATTGCAAGTTTTCCTTCTCTTTGAAAAGCAGACAGACTGATGCCCAGCTTGTTGATTCACTGTGGCTTTGGTTCCAGTGCCCTGGGCAGCTGACTTCTGTCCATCCAGTGGTTCTCTTCTCAGCCCAGCAGAGCACTATGTCAGCCAACTCAGCAAGCTGGGATCCAGTTCTGTTTATTGGAGTCTAATGATTTTCCCCCTACCATGCAAAGCCAGGGATGGAGGAGAATGCAAAGCAGATGCCTTCCATTCCCAAAACACCTGCAGCTGCTTTGCCTGTACCCTGGCCTGATGAAATAAAATGCATTTAGATCCTTTAATATAATACATTTCTGTGCTACAAATTCTGCCTTGGGCATTGGGTCACCGGATGTGGTATAATCCAGGGATTGCTGCTGGTGGGAGTATAAATGGCTAATGCTTTACAACAAGCTTCCTTGTAACCACCTGCTGTTCCCAACGTGTACTTACATATGAGCTATGAGGTCAGTGAGCTGTCCTAAGCTTTAAACAATTATTACCTTGCTAGAAAAATGTGATATATATATATAATATATATATATATATATATATATATAATATATAATATATATATATATTTTTTTTTTAATAAGGTTGCTTGATCATTTAAGGAAGATGGGTCGGGGATATTTGTCATTTATTTTTGAAATAGACACTTTAGATGCCAAGTGGTTCATGAGTTGATGTACCACTTGAGATTAATGAGTTGAGATTTGGAGGGTCAACTCAGGATGCTTTGGGAGGTCTTGGATAGCTTCTGTCTGCTGGAGCTCATGTGCATCCACAGGAATAGTCTCTGATTTACCAAAGAACCAGATCTACCTGCCTGGGCCCCATCACTGTGCTGCGCCCAGCACAGGCTAGGGGGTGGTGAGCAGGTGCCTCTGCGCAGACAGCAGCGTGCTGCCACCTCGGGCTGCACACCAGCAGAGGCAGAGTGTGTTACAGTACCACATCCCCAAGGCTCATCAGTATTTTTAGGTCCTCCTTCAACTTTTGACAATTTAAAATTTAAATGAGCAAGAAGTGTAAAACATTTGCAAATGAGGTAAAAACACCTGAGCAGCTGGAGCTGCAGCCCTCCCTGGGCTGTGGCTTTAATAAAACAGCCACTTGAGGGAGCTTCCAAGTGAGGGATCTGCAAGAAAGCAAATGTTTAATTTATTATAGTCCAAAAGTATCCAGAGCTGTCCAGTTTTGCCAACTTGAAATAATTCTTTTTACTTCAAGATAAAGCCAATATTTAACATTTCTGTCTGGCACCGATTGAATCAAAATGTCAGGGGCTCAACTTTTGTGACTTTCAGCATCACCTTCTTTGTCTCCCTCAGGAAATTCTGTGTAAAAGGGCAGTTCAACACCTGCCCAATTCTTAGGGATTGGAGGGAAATGCTGGCCTGTAGGGTCCAAGGGCCTCAGCCAAGGGTAGAGGCCTCACCTCAGGCAGGATGTAAGGTGGGCTCCTTCCCTCTGCCCTCCAGCTCCTGCTCCACCCACCTCTCCAGACCCCTTACAGTAGCCATTCCCTGTGGCCACTGGGGGAAGGGAACCAGCGGACGCTACTTGACTTGGTTCAGCTGCCCTCTGTGCCTAGCCTGCCAGCATTGTCGAGAGGTAAAGAACACAGAACACACACCCAGCCCGACCTTCTAGGTTGAGTTACACCTTGGAGTGTTCCTTTTGGGCAGTGATTGATGTTGATTTTTGTATATAAGTGAGTGAGATGTTGTTACAATTTTCACAGCACTTAGAACAAGGTGTTAGATGTTGTGGCACCTTTGCCTAATTATGGCATTTGTGCAGATTGTTCTCAGTCATGTAGGTTTAGTCTCAAAACATCCACTCCTCCTCCCTGTGTAGACAGAGGTAAGCTGTGGCTGTGGATGAGAGCATCTGAATGAATTGTATCCATTTCAGATGTTAGCTTTAAAAGCTATAGGGTCATGTTAGAAGTTTGGTTCCCGCCAAATGAGTAATTTTAGAGATCTGCACATCAGATCTTTATGGGTCTTGGAAAAATGCTCCTCCTCAGTTCAATTTTCTGCCGGGAATGTGTTTCTAAGGCCCTTTAGGTATTGGGCATCTTCAGGTTTATGTGGCACATGGGTCATTAGGGCCATAGGCCCCATTTCTGCATCAGGAGGGCTGAGTCCAGATGTTCTGGTTTAATATTTATGAGTGGCTTCCATTGAAATACCTGTCCTTCCGAGAGAAGTGCCCCTACCCCCTGCCTCTCTATTCCGGGTGAGTGAGCTGAAAACTGCCTCCTGCTTTTCTCATTCACATGGGATTCTTTCAGAACAGAGTTTTAGATAGGTCTTGAATTGTGTTTTTGCCTTTTGCCATAATCTTGTGTCTTTGGTAGCAACAGTCAGGGAAGTGATTGCTCTACCCCCATCACTGTGCCAAGCCACAGGCTTGGGCGGGGCCCCGGGATGACAGCCTTCGGTGGTTCAGCCACTGTGGCTGTCTGGACAGGCATCCTCTTCTTCCATTCCTGTTCCATGTGCCCCCTCGCGATGCTGTCTGCTCACTTGAAGGAGATCTTCTCAGATGGAGGGTGTAGCTGGTGGAGACCCTGGGGAAACCTTCCCCCCAGATCACAGGGGGTGTCTGGTACTACTTGCTGTGGTTGGGCCTCCTCACTAGTCCTGCTCTCTCTCTTCCCATGCCCAGGGCAGCCTGTCAGAAGCCAGAATGGTAGCAGGCAGAGAGAGGCCTCAGTCCAGAGGGCCATGGAAAGTGGAGTCATGGAGCACAGTGCCTGCAGAGCTGCTGTTTTTCCCTCCCTTTGAAATCGAGGGCTCATCCTAAATTGCTCTTCAGTGCCAACAAGCAAAGGGACGCCCACACAAGTTCTTCAGCATTTTGTACAGATTTACTGAACGCAACTCAGGCATCCTTAAGGAAGCTCTGCAGCTTCCTCCTGGACCAGTATTTCATGAAAATCCAGTAATCTTGGGCTCTAAGGAGCAGGGTAGCCAGTCATGTGACTTGGCAGGGGAAAGGGCTAAGGTTAAACCACATTTAGCAGGCAGATTACATTTTCAGCCACTTTGCCATGACTCTTCCTCTCTCTTTTTGGGGGGTGAGCATCCTTTTAACCATATTCCCCTATCCCTTATCCTCCTTTATCCCTTCAAAGCACCAAATGATATATAGCTGTAGTAAGCAAAAATCTGTTGAAATGTTTTTAAAATTACATGCTGCTGAACGATAGGGCCATAAGGAAAGTGTAGATATGGGAATGTATGTATGTGAATGAGTCAGTGAATTTGATTTTTTTTATTTGTACAAATGTATGGGGTACATGAGAAATTCTGTTACATGTATATAATGCATGTGATCAGGTCAGGGTTAGGGTGTCTGTCACCCGAGTGCAGTACATTTTTGCTAAGTATAGTCATCCTACTCCACTATCTAACATTGAATTTATTCCTTCTATCTTACTATGTGTTTATACCCTTTAATCCACTTCTCTTCATCCTCCTCCCTCTCCACATTCACCCTCCCAGTCTCTCTCTTTTCACTCTCTACCTCCATGTGTTTAAATTATTTAGCTCCTGAATATAAGTGAGAACATGGGATATTTGCCTTTGTGTGCCTGGTGTATTTCACTTAAGATAATGACTTCCAGCTCCATCCATGTTGCTGCAACTGACATGATTTCATTCTTTTTGACTGAAGAGTATTCCTTTGTGTATATATACTACATTTTATTTATCCATTCATCCCTTGATGGACACTGAGGTTGATTTCATATCTTTGCTTTTGTGAATAGTGCCACAATAAACATGCGAATGCAGGCATCCCTTTGATATATTGACTTTTTTTCCTTTGGGTAGATACCCTGTGGTGGGATTGCTGGATCAAATGATAATTCTTAGTTTTTTGAGAAATTTCCATAGCGGTTTCTATAGTGGCTTTCCTAGTTGACATTCCCACCAACAGTGGGAGTCCTTTTCTCTGCATCCTCGCCAGGATCTGTTATTTTTTTGTCTTTTTAACAATAGCCATACTGACTGGGGTAAGATATCTCATTGTGGTTTTGATTTGTATTTCTCTGATGATTAATGATGTTGAGTATTTTTTATTCACCTATTGACTGTACATCTTCTTTTGATAATTGTCTATTCATGTCCTTTGCCAGTTTTTAATAGGATTTTTTTTTTCCTGTTAAGTACCTTATGTACTCTGGATATAGTCCCCTGTCAGATGAGTGATTTGCAGATATTTTTTCCCATTTGGCAGGTTTTCTCTTTACCTGTTTGATTATTTCCTTTGCTGTGCAGAAGCTTTTAATTTAGTTAAGTCTCATTTGTCTATTTTTGTTTTTGTTGCCTGTGCTTTTGAGGTCTTAGTCATAAATTCTTTGCCTAGATCAATGTCCATAAGAGTTTTCCCTAGGTTTTCTTGTAGTATTCTTACAGTTTCAGGTCTTGAGTTGAAGTCTTGAGTCCATTTTGAGTTGATTTTTGTGTGTGGTGAAAGATAGGGGTCCAGTCTCACTCTTCTGCATGTAGCAGGCCAATTCTCTGAGCACCATTTATTGAAGAGGATTTCCTCTTCCCAGTGTAAGTTCTCATTGGCTTTGTCAAAGATCAGCCGGCTGTGAATATATGGCTTTATTTGAATTTGATTTTAATATATAACTTTTTAAAATCTGGGGAAAAAAGAATTACATGCTACCCTGGGTAATAATACCAGAGC
The DNA here is from genome assembly GCF_000001405.40 of Homo sapiens. Taxonomy (NCBI): domain Eukaryota; kingdom Metazoa; phylum Chordata; class Mammalia; order Primates; family Hominidae; genus Homo; species Homo sapiens. The sequence goes on from NC_000006.12 coordinate 38,148,365, forward strand.
TGCTGTCGTAGTTCAGCAGGTCAGTTCTGTGTACTCAGTGTTTTCATCCCTTCTGGATGCCACCGTCCTTGGCCCTCTCTGGAAAGGCCCTTGTTGGTTTCTAAGAAATGAGGTAGAGGAAGTGTTAAGGCTGGCCTAGCTAACATGACTATAAATCCTCTGTGTTTTAAAACTGCTCATATTGAAATTATGGAAAATAATCTTCTGTAGCAGCCTGGACTCATCTCTCTCCTTACCCAGCTTGGATCCCAGAATTCAATCAGAGAGCAACCCAAGGTTCATGACACTTGTAGTGGTTTCTGGAAACAGATCTGTGAGTACCAAGAAAAGAGGATAAAGATTCATCCCATCCACCAGTCATTCCCATGCACCTCTACCCGCCATCCCCTGTATCCAGGACAACCCCCTTCTGACACCAAAATGCATTTCACCATTGGCTGCTGTCGGTAGATAATACCTGCTCAGCATTTGGGACAAGTTCCAGACATAACTTCCTCTTAGTGAATGATCCTGACAGGAGAAAGAATTGAGCTTAATTTATGCCATCTAATAACCTCAGTGCAGCTACTTGGGAAGTTAGCCCTCCAGAGTTTCCCCCAAAGTTTTCTCCAGTGAATTACAGTGCCATATATTCTCATTGCTACCAGCGCTGCTCCCAAAATCTATCTGCTGTTTAATAGTTTTTACCTTTCAAAAATGCAAGCTGGCTGGGCGTGGATTTTTGAAAGCATTCCTCCTGCCTTGGCCTCTCAAAGTGCTGGGATTAGAGGGTGCCTTCTAATCCCAGCAATCCAGCACTTGGAAAGGTCAAGGCGGGAGGAATGCTTGAAGCCAGGAGTGTGAGACCAGCCTGGGCAACATAGTGAGACCTTGTCTCTACAAAAATAAAGTATAAAAAAACAGCTAGGTGTGGTGATGTGTGCTTGTAGTTGCGCTACTGGGGAGGCTGAAGCAGGAAGACCTCTTGAGCCCAGAAGGTTGAGGCTGCAGTGAGCTAGGATCGCACCACAGCGCTCCAGCCTGGTGACAGAGCAAGACCCTGTCTCAAAAAAAAAAAAAAAAAAACCTAAGCCAAGTGTCAAGATGTGTCTAACAGGTACACAGAACCTGGGCAGAGAAATAAGGTGTTTTGGGCTGGTAGAGGGAATGTCAGGGTAGCTACTGTGATAGAGGGTAGAGGGAGTATCAGGTAGCTACTCCTTGGGCGGTAGAGGGAATATCAGGGTAGCTACTGTGGGTGTCACTCCCTGTTCCTTTTTCCAGAGTCCTGGGGCTCTCACATCCACCAAGCTGGCTGCTCACTAGCTGGCGGAAGGCAAGCTAAGCAAACATGGAGAAGGGGGGCCAGATGTAGCATTTCCCTTCCACCCCAGTCCATCTTTGACTAATGAGGTGTTAAGCTGAGCCAGGAGCCAAGTTAATTCCAGCAGTAATCCATTTCCTGCTGCTTTTATTCAGCCAGCACCATTCATCAGAAAGAGAGGAGAGCCCTTGGGACCTTCTGAATCATCCCAATATCTTGAAGAAAGGGAAGGGGCAGCAGGGGTCCACCCACCCCTTATTATAGATGCTGAAAGTACAGAAGTATGTCAGGACTTGGTGACAAAAATGTCTATAGACACATCCTGATGCCATCCTGCTGGTGCCCCTACCCTAAGCCCTGACTGGCAGCAGGTTCTCCCTCACCAGGTAGGCTTTGCTACAAAAAGATGAATTTACTTGTTAGATGGAGGATGCATATTGAGGCCATCCATGCCTCTGCTGCAAAATCCTTTAGGAGAAAGACAACTGGTATCCAATATCTTCGAGTAATGAACTTATCAGTAAATGTAACACATGAGCTCATTAATCTTAACTTTGCTTTTGGACCAAGTGGGAGCTCGGCTTCTCGGGAGACAGAAATTGCATCTCTGTTCTTTTCCTTAAACCCAATCCCAATTTAGAGTCAAACATACTGCCCTGCTCTCCCTGGGAAGCAGTTAATAATGTTTCCTCACACAATGGATGGCCCAAGCTCAGCTGGGTCACTCCAGCCCCCTAGGCTGTGTACATGTCCCTTGCACACAGCCTGGGCTCAAGACTTCCTAGTAGGGTGTGAGTGCCAGCTACATCCTTGAGACTGGTTAGTCCCCAGCCATTGAGTACATCACACACTTTTCTTCCCTCAGGCTGAGGAATATAGGTGAAGTTAATCTTAGAAGTTAAGGCTATTGAATCTTAACCTTAAATCTTAAGGCTGTTGAAACTCTTCATCCTGTGGCCACTTCGTCCTTGCTTGGGCTCTTGCTGTTCTTCTAAAAGCACAGCCTCTACATCTCTGAAAAGAAGTTGAGGATGTGAGGAGGGATGAGTCAGTTTGCAAGGGGTGGCTGCCTGTTCTTTATGGCCTGGATGAGGGCTTAAAAGAAAGAAGTCTGAAAAGAGATGCTGTTGGTTGGAAAACAAGTAAGGAGAGTGTTTGCTTGGGCAGGCTGCTGTGGGATGCCTGCTCCAGACAGGGAGAACAGGTTTAGGAATGGATCTAGATTTACCTGGAAGCTTGCTCCTGTGGACCTGATCCAGGCCCACGGGGCCTGGAGGTGTGGTGAGATAATGCTGATGGGATGAGAAGGTGATGAGGAGCCAGCCAGCACTGGCAGGTGTCTTCCTAGCCCTGATCTTGTTCTCCCCAGCGTTTTGAAAGAGGCGGCCAGCAGACTCTGGGGACCTCAGACGTCTGTGCTCCACATGCGTATCGGCCGCTCTAGAGATTGCCTGGGAAGCTGGAGGGAATGGGAGACACCCCGGTGCAGCTGCGCCCTGAGTTCTCTGAGCCTGGCTCCTGGCTCCCTGCAGCCCTCCCCTCCTTGTTCCTGACCCAGAGTGACTTTACCTGTACCGGCTCCCTGCTCGATAGGCCTCTTGATCTTTCATCACTGGTCTTTTTCTCTTATTTGCCAGACCAGTGTCTCCCTTGGATTTCTCTGCTTCAAAAAGAGCCTTGCAGCATCCTGCGCTTCTGGGAGGGAAAGACAGCTGGAGGCCTGAGTGTGGGCATCTCAACCTCTCTCACCTACCCAGTGGAGTGAAGGACAGCTGGGGGTCCGAGTGTGGGCATCTCAACCTCTCTCACCTACCCAGTGGAGTGAAGGACAGCTGGGGGTCCGAGTGTGGGCATCTCAACCTCTCTCACCTACCCAGTGGAGGGAAGGACAGCTGGGGGCCCGAGTGTGGGCATCTCAACCTCTCTCACCTACCCAGTGCAGTTAGAAGTGTCAGATTCCTTGGAGATGGCGATTGGAGCCCAGCATTGCTGTCTCCTCTGTTTCTATCTAATACTTTTTCTAGCACTAGAAATAATCCACTTTCCTTTGAGAGCTCCCACTCATTTTTGGGTTGTGGTTTGATCACTCCCACCATCCTCTCAAGCCCCGGCTGTACAGGAGGTGGAATGTCATTTAAGACATAATCATTTCTCCTGCCTCCTAGAAATGGTGGGCATCCTGTGGTGGAAATCACAGTTTGCCCGAGCCAAGCAGAGAGCTGAGCTGACAGCCTGTGCTCTTCCGCCTGCATGGTGCTGGAGAGGAGCGCAGAGCCCACTCATTTGCAAGGACAGGGCTGTGTCTCGCAGCCATCAACTTAGGGTTCTACCCTTCAAGGGTCCAGGCAGGGACAGGCTTGAGCAGCTGTGGAATGCAAAGTGCTGACCCTCTTGCTCCAGGGTGCAGGTGTTGGAGTGAGCTCTCTGCTGCATCAGGAACCCCTGCAGTGAGTGTTGTCCACTCACTGGGATGCCCCTCCATCCTCTGGACAAAGGCAATTGTGAGGCTCTGCGCACTTGGAGGCCACCCTAACACACTCTTTCCTCTGCTTCTCCCGCTGCTGCAGGTTATGTGTTCTGTATGTTACATCGCCTCCCCGAGCAGCACGACTGCACATTCGACCACATGGGCCGTGGCCGGGAGGAAGCCATCATGAAAATGGTGAAGCTGGACCGGAAAGTGGGGCGCTCCTGCCAGCGCATCGGGGAGGGGTGCTCCTGAAGGCCAGGCATGGCCACCACGTGACGCTGTTCTTAGTTCACTAATGTTAGCCTTATTTAGGACAAAGTCAGCCAGACACCTTGTACTGGGCACGCGTCAGACTGCAGCCAGTCCGTTTCCTTTCTTTAGCCAGCCATCCTGGTACTGTAGTTTAGGGGTTGATGGTGGTTGAAATTGATTTCTGGCTGGTTACTAAGGTGCCTGCTAGCCATTGTATAAAATTAAAACATGAAGAATATTTTTTTTTTGAGCATGGCTAGTGGATTTAAAACAACACATACCTGTCACTGCTGGAGTCAAACTTATAAAAAGCCTTAAGTGGAAAGTGTTCCAGACGGAGACTCTGAGTTAATAGAGGAGTAGAAGCTGGTGTTAAAGTTCCCACGACGCACATGGCTTTGCCAGAAACTCTGTTTAATGATCGGCCTTTCACCTCTTCACTTATCCTTAGTCCCAGTAGCCAGGATACCTGATGGCCACGTGTGCCTTGGCCACGGGAGGCTGCTGAGATTGGCCACGTGGCTGGGCTGGGTGGTGGCCTCACTCTCCCACAGAGCTGGAAATGGGGGGTGGGGGACAGATTCTTACGGAAATTTTTTTACCTGACTTGCTATGAAAAAACTCATCACACAAGAAGAGAAACAGTAACCTCACTTTGAAAATTAGCTCCACTCAAGACTAGTCCACGAACGAGACCCGCCTTTTCTACACAGGATCCAAGGTCACGAGAAGCAGCCAGAGTGCCCCGCCTCCGCCGGCTCTGGTCTGCCATTCGCCAGTGCAGGGATCTGGCACGGACCAGATGTGGCGAATGGCAGCACAGCGCGGTGGCTGGGTCTGCACACTGGCCTCTGCAGCCAGATTTCTATATTGGGAGTTTTTTAAAAAGACATTTCATAGCCAACAAGAATCAGTAGAAGTGCTGGGAGCAGCAGCTGGGGAAGCTGCCGCCCACGGGCTCTGCCCCTTCCAGCTGGAGCCGCCCGTGCCTCCAGGGGCCAAGAGGATGATGTCGTGGCCTCCATTCTCGTTTCTATGCAGCCCCATAGTCCAAGGACACCCAGTCCACATCTACCATATAGCAAGTTTAGTAAGGGAAGGCAGCATACGTCCCAGGGACAGTGGGTTTGGATCTGTCTAGAACAGCGGTTTGTGGCTGTGGCCCAGCTCCGAGAGTGATATTTGCTCTGGTAGGTGAGGGCCTGAGGGTACATTTCTCCACCTGTGCCCCCTCATGTTCACAGAGGATTTCAGCAGCTGCAACTGCGCACGCCAGGTGGGGAAGGGTGGGGGTGGGCCTGGTTGCCCCATGTTAGGAAATCACTACCAGTCAGGTGGGGCTGGGGCTGGGTGGACAGGATCAGGATTCCCTTGAAAGCCCAGGCAGGGTGAGCAGTCCCAGTGGTCCTAGTGCCGCATCAGATCCAGGTGGGTGAGGGCAGGAGGCCCCTGCGGAGGCAGCGTGGATCTGCCCACACATAGGCTACTGGAATAGTTTAACCCAGCAACTTTCCTTTTTATAAAACAACAAATGGTTCAACTCTGTCTGCAAATTAACAGCTGAACACCTGCAACTGCAAATGTTTTTTGATCCGACGTACTGAAATAGGAAGTCATGCTCTTCCCACCCTCCACCCACCAGAGTGGAACCCGCTGCAAAATCCCCAGCCTTAATTCTTGCTTCAGGACCCAGACCGGTGTCTTGCTCTAGGGCAACCCAGGGCAGAGGGGCCAGGTCTGCCCAGCGTTTACCACTGCTGTCAAGCCACAGCCCTTGGCCACCATACGGGCCATCCTCAGTGAGGCAGCCCCCCATAGGCTTCCGCCAAGCTCTGGTCCCGAAGAGGCTGTGCGAGCCCTTCCCGGCCCTCCCCAGGGCCCCCCGCCCCCTCCTCTGCCTGCTGCGTGGAGGCAGCCATGGGAAGGAGCCCAGGGGAGCTGGCCTGGGGGAGCGAAGCCCATGTTCGCTTCCTGACTTAGAGCTGGGGGGGGTGGGGGGTGGGGCTTGTTCCCCTGCAGTATCTGTTCTGTGAAGTTTGTTAAATGTAAGGAAAGCTTAAATTCTTGTATCTTTAAAAGAGAAAATCTTATTTAACCCTTTTGTGTTCTAGATTTACTTACACACATAGCCTAGAGCTCAGTTTTAGTTTTAACATTGTGAAAATATTAAAAGAATCTTGTAACTTTATTCTTTTTTCTCCTGCTGAAAAAAAAAATTAAACCAATCGTATGAAAGTTTGGTTTTCTTGTTTCACCCCTTCTCCTAAGTGCCCCCTGGGTTGCTGGGAAAACTGACCCATCTCCCTGGCCAGGGCTGGAAAGAGATGGGGGCCTGTGTGCAGAGACCGTCTGCAGTACTTGGAGGCACTCGTCCAGTTAGTGTCCAGGCTAAACAGCCGCTTCCTTGCTTTCTGTTGGGAGCCTCTGCCCTGGGAAGCTGCGGGACTGGCCTTGGGGTAAAGGTGGGTCTGCAGGGCCAAGCCTGTGCCAGCAGCCAGGAGGTTACACACTGGGGGGGATCAGAAAACGAGCCCCAGCCCTGAGGGCCCCAGGCGTGGGTGGGGTGGGTGCTGGGTCCTGAGGGAAGGCAGCATGCCCTAGACCCGAACCCCACCCTAGGAAGGGCCTCCAGGATGGATGACGAAGGCTCCCAAAGGCTGGCTTGGAGGAGGTGTGTGCTGTGGCACTCTTTGGTGTATAGGATGAACTTAACTACATTTTTAAATGTTCAAAAAACATTTGGCAGGGCAGGGGCGAGGCACAGGAGTGGGACCTGTCCCCACTTCTTTTAGGACAGAGATATTGACCGCATAGTTGTCATGAGCGTGATGAAAATCCTCAGAGGAAATCAGAGGCCCAGTGGCGATGAACAAGCACGGGGGCAAAGGGCAAGAGAGGGCCTTGGTGGCCTGGGTGTGAGGCGGGCCTGCAGGGAGCAGTGGGCTGTGCTCTGCCCACTGGTCCACAGGAACTGGGTCTGCGTCAGCTCCTTCCTGATTGCTTCACAGAGCAACAGTCCACAGCAACAACATAACTGTTGTTATGCCAACAACAGTCCACAGCAAGAAGAGGGGATGGTGGGAAGACAAGCAGAAACCTTCCTGCTGGGTGGCGTGAGAAACAGGAAACCATGGGTGGGAGTGGGCCGTGGTCTTCAAGGGAGCCATCAGCAGCACATTCAGGGAGCTGTGAGCAGCCCCTCTAGCCCCAAGAAGGGGGTCTCCAAGAGAGAGGGCCCCAGATGGGCACAACAGTAACACAGATACCCAAGAGAAGTCTGCAGGAGTCTCAAAACCTGATTTCCTCAGCAGCCATTCTCGCAACTACATGGGGGAAGGCTGCAGTGAGGGAGGAGTGATCGGAGAAAGACATGGAGACTTGGGACCTGGGGCGGGCTCTGGGGGAACTCAGCACACAGCTCGAGGCCTGCGAGGTGGCCCCATATCTTGTCAGCACTGGGTCCTGTCAGAGGGCTTGGAGAAGGTCTAAGAATCAGAGACAGATACAGACAATTAAGCAAGTAATAACAGTGTATTAATGCCTAAGCAGAAATACACAGGAAGAGGAGCTGCAGACCCTGTGTGACTCAGCTGTGAATAATATTTACGTACAAATAATGTAAACACAAATACTAGTGAATATTGCTCTGGTAAAAATATATGCTGGATCTCAGTAGGAGACTGGGAGAGGGAAAGAATGTGCCTGTGTATTGGTGGCAGAGGATAAGAGAGCCAAGTTCTTGTTCTTAGCAGGAAATCAACAAAGGATGTCCAAAGCTGAAAACTTGAGAGTAGTATGTTATTTAGAAATATGGAGGTAAAAGAGGAGGAAAAAGCTTAGAAGTTAAAATTGGTTTTCTTTGGGGTAGGAGATAGGAATGCAGTAGGCCTTATATTTACGACTACAGTTAAACATATAACATTGATTGAAAAATTGAAATGCTTTAATAAGGGAATGATGGAAGCCCTTCCTGGGAACTGAGGGGCCAAGTCCTCAGAAACCTGCCTTACTGTTCTCTGAAAGTGGGTTTCAGGGAGTTCAGGTCTCTGAGATGCAACATAGAGTGTTGGTTTTGATCAGAGCTGCTTTGGAAGATGCAGGCAGCTGGCACATCACAACACAGCACATGTTTAAAACCCTGAAGGCTGAGGGCGGTGGCTTGAGCTTATAATGCCAGCACTTTGGGAGGCCAAGGTGGGAAGATCCCTTGAGTCCAGGAGTTCGAGACCAGGCAACATGGTGAGACCTCATCTCTACGAAAAAATATTTTTTTTTTCTTTTCAAACCCTGCATGTGGCATGTGATGCAAAAAAAAAAAAAAAAATTTAATTGCTGCGGGGAGCGGGTGGTGGTACACGCCTGATAGTCCCAGCTACTCAGGAGGTGGAGGCGGGAGGATCACTTGAGCCCAGAGTTGGAGGCTGCAGTGAGCTAGGATTGCACCACTGCACTCCAGCATGGGCAACAGCCTGAGAGCCCATATCTAAACATATATATGTATTTTTTTTTTTAATTTAAAAACCCTGGGAAAGGTGGCTGTGGCAACACCAAGCTTATTTGTTACCAAAAAAACTTTTCTTAATCAGCACACCTTGGGAAAAGTTGCCCTGGTTCATTGAGCACCTACTGTGCGCCAAACACCTGAAAAACTCTCCCTTGATCCTGTGTGATTCCACTTGGAGGTACCTAGAGTAGTCAAATTCACTCCCTTCAGGTCAGCCTGGAAGTTCCTATCTCCGGGCTTCTGTGGTATGCCATCCAGCAACCCAGATGTTTGGCTGGGCAGACAGATGGAATGTCACCTTTCCTTTGGCTTAAATGCTGTGCCCAAATTCACACAGAAACACAGAAGGGTGTTTCCTGCCCGTCACTGGAGAGCCTGGGATGGAAAAAGTGCCTGGAGCAGGAAGATGGCAACACCGAGTGCGTGCTGGGCCCAGGCCTGGCCCTCCCGCTGCACACCCTCTGGAGCGTCCCACAGGGTTAGGTGATTGAATTGTTGGCAGATGAGAGCACCCCAGACCCGGGACCTAATAAAAGGCCTTTTGAGTTTTCGACCTGGAAGGACCCCACACCTCAGGCTCCCCTCCTGGCCACCTCTTCCAGGCAGCTCTATCAATCCTAGCAGTGAGGAGTGCAGTTGAAGGGGCCTGGGGCACACATCACAGGGTTCGATGGGAGAACTTGCTGACAGGGAGCTGGAGTGTCTCTGGAGTCCTCAGGCCCACATCCACCAAACACCAGGAGGAGCTGAAGAGGAGGGACTCCCAGACTAGGAGGAGAGGGATCTGCTGTGTATGACAAGGTGCCCAAGTTCGGGGTGGGGGTGGGGACCAAGACATAGACCCCAGAGGTAAAGCTCTGGGTCTGCACCGTGGCAGCCCCATTAGGGGCATCTTCCAGCCCACAGCCCTGGCTAGGGTGACCTTCATTCAACACCTGCTATATGCCAGGCAGCATCCCAGACACTGGGGATATGATGGTGACCCAAACTACAGCTATAGGGAACAAAATAAGGGCAGTGCAAAGAATATTAGAGGGGTGACAGGCATACACGATACGCAGGGGGAAGGGAGCAGGGGGAGAAGCATAGGGTCTGAGGGTCTTTGTCTGCGATGGGCATGGAGGGCCCTGCCTGCCGCTTGGGGGTTCGGTCAGGCTGCCACTGTGCGAGGAACAGCCTGCAGGGAGTGAGGGAGGTACACAGACCAGAGGACCGGCTGGCTGGTCCGGGAGGCCAGCAGGAAGGCTCAGTGCTCCAAGGTGGCAGGGAGGTGGTGAGAAGAGCAAGATCCTGGACTGATTTTTGAGGATGGAGATAGCAGGAGTCGCCGATAGGCTGGGTGTGGGTGAGAGAAGAGAGGAACTATAGACAATTTCTAGTTTGGAGTGTGAGCCGCTGGAAAGATAGAGATGCCGTTAATGAACGACAGGCAGGAGCGTGAAGGGGGTGGGATGAGAGCAGACGGCTGAGGTGTAGACGAGACACCCAGCTAGAATGTGTGTGTGTGTGTGTGTGTGTGTGTGTGTGTGGCGGGGCTGGGGGGTTGGGGAGGTGGTGCCTGGATACACAGTTCCAGGGCTCAGTGGAGAGGTCCTGGCTGGAGATGGGCATTTTTCCCCAATAATTTTTATGGTAGTAAAATATGCAGAACACGCAGTTTCCCTTCTGAACCATCTTTAAGTGTACAGTTTAGTATTATTCAATCTATTCATAATGTGGTGCAACCATTGCCACCGTCCATCTCCAGAACTGGAAGTGGAATCATACAGTACTCGTCTGTTTGTGTCTGGCCGATTTCACCCAGCACGATGTCCTCCGGGCTCATCCACATGGTAGATATGTCTGTGTCCTTCTTAAGGTGGATGCTACTGCACCGTATGATGAAACACACGTGCTTGCCCACCCCTTTGTCAGTGGGCACTGGGGTTGCTTCCATGTTGTAGTTACTGTGAATGAGGCTGCTGTGGATGTCGGTGTACAAATGAGATACACAGTTTCGAGTCACCTGCATAGAGCTAGTATTTAAAGCCACAAGCTGGGCCAAGGACACCAAAGAAGGGAGTGTAAATGTAGAAGAGACGGATGGAGGCTGTGCCTGGGGATGCCATCCAGAGGGACGGAGGAACCTGCAGAGGAGACCTAGAAGAAGCTGCCAGCAAAGCAGGAAGAGACAGAAAGATGGGAGTCCCAGAAGCCAGGCGGGGAAAGGAGCATTTCGAGGAGCAGGGAGTGGCCACTTCTGTGAGCTGCTGCCCAGGCACCAACCGTCCCGGCGCTGGGGACCAATTCCTGGGGAGGGAGACTGGAAAGGTTGCCCAGCTGGACCTCTTCTTCAAGCAGTTTTGCTACAATGGAAGCAAATGGGCAGGAGAGTGGATGTGGGGGCGAGGGAGTTTACTTTTGAATAAGGAGAAGTTGCTGCATGTTTTTATGCTGTTGGAATGATCCCGTAGCGAGGGAGAAATTTGGGATCGATGCCCATGATGGGGTGTAGAGCGCAGGGTGGCAGGTGTGGGCACAGGGCAGGCAAGCGGGGGTGGTATCCTTCTGCTCTGTGTTCTCACGGACATATGGAACAGGGTCGTGAGGAGTGAGTGAGGTTGGGTGAGGGGGTAGCAACAGTTTGGTGGGGCACTGGCATGGATTTACCGGGAGACAAAGCCTTAGCTTGAGGCCCCTCACTCGTGATTGGGCCTCGGCAATGTGTTTGCATGTTCCCAAGATTTTATAAAATTTGCAAAAGTGAGATACTTTAACTGCAGTTGGTTAAAACCATTCCCTCCTTCCATTCTAACTTCCCTTCCTTCACACTTCCTGTTCTGTTGGGTGATGTTGAGGCCACATGGTACTTTTGGGTTCTGGCTAAGGGTAAGCAGAGTTAGGGACACGATTCGTTTGAGGTTAGTGGGATATATTTGTGCGTTCACAGTCACTTCTGCATTTAGTAGGTCATTGCCAGTCATCCTGGGGTAGGGCTGGCTTCAAGAACATGCTTCTTGTCCATTGCCTGACACCTGGTGTCGTAACCAGAAGGAGCAAGGCCACGGTTGTACTGTGATAGGAACGTGTCCTACGGGACCTGGAACAGGGAGTACCGGTTGTGGAGGAGAGATGAGGCTTGATATATGTGGAGCCGGAAGTCTGTGGAAAATTCTTCCCACCAGCAGGTGTGTGAATATAAACCAGGAAGACTTGATTCTCATCAATACCTGCTCGATACAGACATTCGCTCTTAGGAACACGCTCGACAGTGCCGCACAATCAGAAGCGCACCACACTCCTGTCAGAGCATTAAAGATGAGTTTAGGAATGCTGGGGGTGTTCTAGAATCTTACAGCTCAGATATGAAAGAAACTTGGTAACAGTTGCCCCACATTTGATGACAGTTCTAAAAATTTACATGACTATGCCAATAAGAGTTGTGAAGATGACAGAAACTTTTCTAAAGTATCAATAATTCAAAACAGAGATCGACCATGCTCAAGGAAAGATTGAGGAATCTTTCTATTCCTACATGATATTACAAGATCATTATCATGGGAAAGGGTGATGAAAGAGGACACAGCCAAGCAAAGTAGGAACAAAATGTGACAGATGTGTCACCACCAGTGAGGGTGAACTGCAGACATCTGGGTGTTTGTTGACTTTAAAACGTGTAATTTGTTGGGAATTCTTTTCCCATGTTGTACCTAATTTGGGAGTCAGAATTTTTACTCTTTTTCTTAAAGGGGGGCTCCCAAACTGTATAAACTTCCGGCCCTGCGTAACCTGGGGGAGGCTCAGAGTACCTGGGGTCTTCCGCTGTGTCCCAGGACCCTGAGAGGCAGCGCAGTTGGGTCAGCTGACAAGACTGTCCTGACGAAGGGGCAGCATGCTGATGTCTCTTCTGGTATAAGCTCCTTGTCTTGTGACGAGATGACACGTTGAGTGGCACTGGTCAGAGAGCGAATGAGAAATGTTGTGGAGATGTCGTGATTGTTAAACATGTTCTTTCCCTCAATTCTGGCGCTCCTCCCGTGGAAAAGCGGAGCCTCTCCCCTTGGACACGGGCAGGAGCGCGTGTGGTGGAGGTGACCTTCCCGTCCATGAGGCCACATCTGAAAGTCGCGTGAGAAGACCCATCTGGCGCTCTCAGGCGACATGAGCCTTAACACGGGCTGGCGCGCAAGAAGTCTGGCTATTCACATCAGAAGGCTGGCGATAATCGAAGAGTGGAAAGTGCCAGCGAGGATGTGGAGAGGCTGGAACGCTTGCGTGTCGCTGGCGGGAATGTGAAACGGCACAGCCGCTGTGGTAGACCCTCTGCTGGCTTGTCAAAAACTCCAAAAGGAATCACCACGTGACCCAGCAATGCCACTGCTAGGCATACACGAGAGAGAGCTGAAAGCTGGGACTCACACAAGTCCTCCCATGTTCCAGGCAGCCCTGTTCATGACAACCCAAAGTAGAAACAACCCAAGTGTCCGTCAGGGGGCCGAAGGATACACAAAGCCTGATGCAGCCCCGCAGTTCAGCCATAAACGAAGGAAAGTGCTGACCCGAGCGGCAGCCCAGGTGAACCTCGGAAACATTCTGCAAAGTGAAAGGAGCCAGCCACGAAGGTGAACGTGTGGTTCCGTGTACATGCAACAGCAGGGTGGGGAGCGCGGCAGAGACAGACAGCAGGTGGGCTGGCACCAGGAGCTGGGGGAGGAGAGGATAAGAGCAACTGCCCAATGGGTGTGGGGATCCCTTCTGGGAAGTGGTGGTTGCACAACACCATGATGTGCCGAATGCCACCGAATTGTTCATTTTAAATGGTGAATTTTACGTTCTGTGAATTTCACCTCAATTAAAGAAAAAAAATATTGCTCCTTTGAAGCCTCCATGCTGAAGAGACCATGTGGCAAGACCAGACGGAGACAGTGGTGCCCAGGTGCCCAGCTGTGCACCAGCAGCACCCATGGCCAGTGAGCAAGGCTTCAGATGGCCCACCCCAACCTTTGGGCTGACCTGGTGGTGCCAAGCGGAGCAGATAGGAGCCGTCCCTGCCAAGCCCTGGCCAAACTACAGGTTCCCCAGCAAAACAAACGTTTAGGCCACCAAGTCCTGCAGGGATGGTTCTGCGATGTCAGAGGGCTTGCAGGGAGCTGTCGGCCCCACAGCAGTCATGGGTTGAGAGTGGGCTCAGTCAGCCAGGTTCCAGAGGGTGTTGCTGGGCCCCCCAGGTGGCTGTGCCAGGTGAGGATGGGACTAGAGAGCTGTGTGGGGACCAGATAGGGGAGAGGGCCCTCCTGGGGGGCCTGTCATGAGCAGGGACAAAGGGTGTGACATCAGCAGTCCTGGTAGACTCAAGGCAGGAAGTGCGGGTAGGGCAGTGGACGGCAGGAGGAGGGAGAGTTCTGGCACCTTCCATGAGGCACTCAAAGGAAGACCTGCCCCTTCCAGGCCCCGCGGTTCCTCCTCCACTTGGTCAGCTCTGGCAGCAGGGAAGGGAGCCCCGGGCCTGGAGTCAGGATGCGGTTCTGGGCCAGATCAGCCTCTCCTAGGCTGGGAGAGCTCTAACGGGGCCCCGGCCTCTCGTTCCCTAGCTGGAGAATGTGGAAGGTTCCACAATCTCAGACCCTTGCCTGGTGGCTCTCAGCCATGACTGCCTTTAGAATCACCCGCGGAGTTTTTAAAGATTTCCGTGTCTGAATCCGCCCAAGACCAAAACCAAGTCAGTCTCTGGGGTGGCCGGTCAGGGGTGGTTCCTCACAAAGCTCTGCAGGCAATTCCAGGGTGCAGCCAGATCAAAGCCACCACCCTAATGCAGCCTTGCTGCTGCCCTGCCGCGCGAAGGCACGAAAGCCTGAATCTGGAACCTGCGACACCCTCATTCTCCAACTGGAGCGCCCCAGTGTGCAGACGGAGCGAGTCCTGGGTGGATTTTCTCAGAAATGGCTTCCCATTTTTTTTCCCCTTAAACTTGCAAGGCCCATGGAAGCTGGGCAATAGTGTGTGATGGAGGACATCGGACTTGGCCCCACATGATGTCATTGTCTTCCGTGGGTGCTAGGTGCTTTTCATAGGCCCCTGGGCACCTCCACCTCCAAGCAGGGCCCTGGGGCACACCTCCCTCCAGGCAGGGCCCTGGGGCACACCTCCCTCCAGGCAGGGCCCTGGGGCACACCTCTGGCCTCCAGCAGCTCTGAGGGGAAGCTCGGGTTTGCCAGGAGCAGCAGCCACTTTCTTGCATCCTTGTCTCTTAGTGATCTGCTGCCCCAAGAGGGCTGTGGTGACAGGTGGGCATCAGGGCATCACCGGGAATGGCACAAATACAGCAGACGTCTTACCACGTCCGTGCCTCGCTCCCACTGGCCCAGTGGTCAGGAGTGGCCAGGCTGCCACTTCCCTCTTGCGTTTCTGTCCCCCTCAACCCCTGCAGGCTCCTGAGCTGCCCCTGCCCACTTCAGGGCATCTGAGCAGTGTCCTTGGCCCTCGGTCACATCTGCAGTGTCGTCAATCGGGGTGGGCGCTTGTGGTCCCATGGAAGGGCCTCCCGGCTCGGGCCTGTTGCCCTGTACCCAGCGCTGCTGCCCCTCAGACTTCCCTCGTATCTCCCCAACAGCTTCTGGAGGCCAGCAGGGTGCCCCAGGGCCCTGCCCACTCCCAAAGGACCAGGCCCCTAGAGGTGGAGGTGTTGGGGGGAAGGTGGCTCCAAATACTCTGAGGAGCCCACATTTCCAAAAGGGACCCAAAAAAGACAGGAGACACAGCCGGGAGGAGTGCGCAGGAGTGGAGTGGACGGAGGTGCCTGACAGTGAAATGCAGTGTTAGGACTATGTTGTAATAAAAATGCAGGCAGAAAGGGCCACTGGTGTAGACCCAGAGAATGTTAACATCATCACAACGGCTGGCGTCTCTCTCGCTCGCTCTCTTACACACACACACACACACTCACCACCTCCCCCAACCCCTGCCCCAGGCTCATTTAACCCTCACAGTCCCAAAAGGTGCTACTGTTAGCTCCACTGGACAGATGAGAAAACCAAGGCTGCTGAGCAGGTGCGGGGAAGGAAGGAAGCCCCATGGCGTTCTTTGCCTTGGAGCAGATAGGGCCTGCCCTGGCGGAGGCGCGGCCACTCTGAATTGCTCGTGGGTCCAAGGACTGGGTTCAACATGGAAACGTCCAGTCCAGCCTGCCCGGGGCTTTGGGTCATCCTGTTTCTTGGCTTCCGCCATTTCCTGAGCTGCTGGCACCTTCTTGTTTTCCATTCTGGTTTTGTTTTTTTGTTGTTGTTGTTGTTTTTAAACGATTGGTCTTTTTGGTCATTGCTTATGATGGGGTGAAGGGGTGTAACGTGCTTATCTTACCTTTTGCACACATTCCATTTTAGTCAAGACTGTCAACTTGCCCTCCAAACTGGCAGTCTGCCACCTGGAATTCAAAGTCCAAGATCTTTAAAATTAAACTAGGTGAAACAAGTAGAATGTTCTGGAATTTTTGAGGTCTCAGCTAGGTGAGGAGACAATGAAATGTGGAGCCACTTCAGAAGAGTCTGTCCTTCCACGTCCTGGGCCAGTGAATCCTGGTATGGAATACGCAGGGTGGCTACGGGGCGCTGGTGGGAAATCCCGTCAATGGAAGAAATGCTAAGACTCTAGAGGTGGGCAAAGGGTGTCTTTAGAGTCTGTCGTCAGTCCCCACCAAAATGAAAGACCATCAGAAAAGGAAAATGGGGTCCCAGACCCCACACAGGAGCTTATAATGAGCCTCAGGGACTGTCCCAAACTCCAAAAACTACGTGAGCACCTACCAGAGCCCGATGCTGCCCGTGGGCCTGGCCGGCCCTCAGCCTCCTCTTGCTTGAGCCCGCCCTGCCTTGGGCTGCATTGCCAGCTGTGGGGACAGCCTCGGAGCCCTCAGCCTCCCTCACTGTCCCCTTTTGCCTCCGTAGGCTCCAGCTGCTTGGCTACCCAGGGCTCAACGTGGGACCAGCCCCTCTGCCTGGTCCCCTCCTCTAGGCTCTTGGTTCTAAACACCGGAGATGCCAGTGACCCCAACCCCTCCCTCTAGCTGGGACCTCACCCGTCCCCGGGCTCAGGGTCCTCGCCGCTGACTGCACATCTAGTCCAGCTGTCCTCTGAAGCGCTGGGTGGGTTGTCAGAATCAGAACCAAGGAGAGCACTTAAGAATGCCAACCCCTGGGTCCACAGCAGCCCCCCAATCAGAGCCTGTAGGGGCGGGTGGTGTAGACATGTCACTTGGTCAAGTTCCCAGGTGATTCTTACCCACCACACAGTTTGAGAACTGTTCTAGTAGTCATCGAGCAAAACAGAAACACATTACAACCTGAGCCAAACCAAAATTATCAGGTCATCCTCACTCGTTCTGGAGCTCAAATAATAAAATCTTAATGATTTCCTACAAACTGGGACTCCCAGTGTTTTTGGTTTTTTGTTTTGTTTTGTTTTGTTTTGAGACGGAGTCTCACTCTGTCGCTAGGCGGGAGTGCAGTGGCGTGCTCTCGGCTCACTGCAACCTCCGACTCCCTGGTTCAAGGGATTTTCCTGCCTCAGACTCCGTAGTAGCTGGGATTTACAGGCACGCACCACCACGCCCAGCTAAATTTTTGTAATTTTAGTAGAGACGGGGTTTCACCATGTTGGCCAGGATGGTCTCGATCTCCTGACTTCGTGATCCGCCCGCCTCGGCCTCCCAAAGTGCTGGGATTACAGGCCTGAGCCACCGCACCCGGCCCCACTCCTGGTGTTAAAACGGTTTTACTCTGCTGACGTCTGAAGACAAGGCATGATCCTCTGGCTTGGGATAATGTGAGGAAGTTGCTGTTTTTCCATCACAGACTAGTGTGAACTTTAATTTGTGTCATTTTCTTTACTTGTTGGGGTTTGTGTTTGCGGTTTCTAAGTCTGGCTCCCTGACCTCCTCTCTCTCTGGTAAACCCAGCATGTCCAAAACTGACCACCTCCAAGCGGCTCCTCCGCAGCCTTGCAAGTCCGGAAACGGCAATCCCATCTGGGGGTCAGCCTTGCCTCTGCTTCTTCTCTCAGGCCGTGCGTGCAGCAATCCTGCGGGGGGGCCCCCCGGGATAGCAGAGCCCTCCACCTCCCCCCTCTGCACAGCAGAGCCCTCCACCTCCCCCTCTACCCGCACAGCAGAGCCCTCCACCTCCCCCCACCCGCACAGCAGAGCCCTCCACCTCCCCCCACCCGCACAGCAGAGCCCTCCACCTCCCCCCACCCGCACAGCAGAGCCCTCCACCTCCCCCAGCACAGCAGAACCCTCCACCTCCCCCACGCACAGCAGAGCCCTCCACCTCCCCCACGCACAGCAGAGCCCTCCACCTCCCCCACGTACAGCAGAACCCTCCACCTCCCCCCTGCGCACAGCAGAGCCCTCCACCTCCCCCACCACCGGCACAGCAGAGCCCTCCACCTCCCCCACCACCGGCACAGCAGAGCCCTCCACCTCCCCCCTCCGCACAGCAGAGCCCTCCACCTCCCCCTCTACCCACACAGCAGAGACCTCCACCTCCCCCCACCCGCACAGCAGAGCCCTCCACCTCCCCCCACCCGCACAGCAGAGCCCTCCACCTCCCCCACGCACAGCAGAGCCCTCCACCTCCCCCACGTACAGCAGAACCCTCCACCTCGCCGCTGCGCACAGCAGAGCCCTCCACCTTCCCCCTCCGCACAGCAGAGCCCTCCACCTCCCCCACCACCGGCACAGCAGAGCCCTCCACCTCCCCGCCGCCCTCACAGCAGAGCCCTCCACCTCCCCCGCACTCCCATAGCAGAGCCCTCCACCCAGCACAGCCTCCACCTCCCCGTGCACAGCAGAGCCCTCCACCTCCCCTCTCCGCACAGAAGAGCCTCCACCTCCCCGTGCACAGCAAAGCCCTCCACCGCCCCTGCTCACCCCCCACCGTCGCCATCCTCAATCCTTCCCAGCCCCATCGGCCCCCAGTGCACTCTCCAGGCAGCGGCCTGGTGAGCCTGTCCCAGTGTGAAACCGACCAGGGCCTCCTGTGCTCAGAACTTTCCACTGGCTCCCACCTCAGAGACAAGCCCGATTTTCCATAGGGATCCATGAAGCCTCCTCACCGCCTCACACCGGCCCGCCACCCCTCCCCCTCCTCCGCCACACCAGCCAGGAGGCATCGAGCCTTCTTCCCCTGGCCCCCTCCTCCTGGAAGTCTCCCCCAGAGGGCCACGACTCTTGTTCCCCACCCCTCAGGGCTTTACTCAGCTGTCACCTTCTCTGGAAGCCTCTCTGGGCCACGGACTTCAACATGCACGCCCAGCCCGGCATCCTCTCCCTCTGCACATGGGCTGGGCCACATTCACACTGACGCTGGTGTCTGCTCCCTGGAAGGTGAGGGAGGGCAAGAGGGGCAGCCTCCCTGCTCCATCCCCAGCACTTGGGAGGCAGGCGGCATGGGGGGGTGGTGGGGGGGTACAGTGGCCTGGGCGGGGCGGTGGCAGGACAAAGCCCAGTGCTCTCTGGATTGGGTTTTGTCTTGTTCAACACTCACGTCAGCCAATTATTGGCAACAAGTTGTCAGTTCTGGAAGATCGAAGCTAGGTGGGTGTGCTCCCGAAAGGATGCCTGCATGGTTTGGAAATGGAGCACCTGACTTGGAGCCCCAGTGCTCGGCCAAAGCCACCAGGTGGAAGTTAACCAAAAACATGGAGAGTCCCTAGTGCAGGTTCCAAGAAAAAATTCCACTGAGAGGAGCAGACCCCTGCCTGGTTTCCACGTGACAACAGCTCAGGAGGAGGCCAAGGCTCCAGGTGGCCGGGGTCCCTCATGTTCAGCGCATGGAGCCTTGGGCCCCACATGCACCAGCGGAGTTGCTGGAGACTCAGGCCCAGTTGTGGGGTCACAGGAGAGGGCACTGGATCCCAGACGGCAGGGCCTGCAACACTGAGTTCACACACCCAGGACTCGAGATTGGGGCCAGGGAGAGCGGCAGCGCCTGCAAGGGGCCGCCTCCTGGCTCACTGGTTCCCTTCCCCGCATCTCCCCTGGGAAGCAAGATAAATGGGGGAAGTTGCTACCAAATACTCACGGGCTCATCAGGTAGAAGAAGCAAGACATGAGGAAGAAAGCAGCTGGGGCTAAGCTCAGAGGAGGAGAAATGACAAGGGAAGGGGACTGGGTTCAAGGTGGTGTTTCCTAACCCCCCAAAAATGGCATCGAATAGGCCATGGGGTGGGGTGGAGAGAGTGCCACAGGAGGTGGGAGGGAGCTGGACAGCCCCTCCACCCTGAGGGAAGGCCCTCAGAGCCGGTGACAGTGCTGGCCCAAATCCGCTGGATCTGCCCACGCCGCCGCCCTGGAGCAAGCCGGCCTCTCTGTGCCTGCTTTGCTCCAGGGCTGTCTGCCTCCCTCCACAAGGCAGAGGAAGCGAGCGGGGGCCTGGGTGGACACCCCTGAGTGCCTGGGCCTGCAGAGAGGGCCGGATGGCAGTGTCCATATGAGGGCACTGGGGCAGAGGGGCTGACCCTGGCCTGGGCCCCCTGCTTGTCCCTGGGCATCGAGAGGGGTTGCTGCAGAGAGTGACGACTCGAATACAGCACAAGTCACCACTTTATTTCTAAGAGAAAACCTGCATTTTCACACACATGGACTCAGGGGTTTCGAACACACGGTTTGTACATCTGCCCGCTTAGGTTGCTCTGCAAAATGAGGAAGAAGCCGCATCGTGCTCACAAATAATACACATTCCACATAGCAGCACAGCCTTTTGGGCATCTTTGGAGTTTTAGACGGAGCTTCTGGAGTCACAGAGCCATTCCCAACCCAGGCCTGGCATGGTCCCTGCCCTTGCATCAGAGTGGCCTGGGAGGTACACACATCTTTACAGGCCCAGAAACGCCAAAGGCTGGGAGGCTCTTGTTCTCTGGTGAATCCGGATTCAAGACAGGCTTCGCAAAAGCAGCTCTTGGGCCGAGCTCCAGGCCTAGCCCTGAGGACCCCTGGCCTCCTGGCGCCCCTCCAGAGTCTCACGCTTCTCCAGGCACTGGGGGGTGGGGAAGGGTGGCCTCAGGGACATAAGGACCAGGGAGCGTGTGATGGAGAGATTTCTCACTGTTCTTCTGAGGGGGTGCAGCCTCTCTGAAGGTCACTGTGGAGGGCGCACCAAGGCCTGGAGAGCCTTGGGGAGAGATCAGGCCCCACAGACCTGGAAGCTCTGCCCCAGTATCCCCCAGCCTGGGCGGCCGGGCTGTGCTCCCTGAGGACCTTACTGGCAGCACCCTGCCCTGCTGACCCTGGAAGCAGCTGATTGAGGGGCCTGGGAAGACCCCATGGCCTCCAGCAGGTCTCAGAATGACTCCTGTAGTGGCTAGGACTAGGGCACTGGCCGCACCCTCAGGCCCAGGTGGGAAGTGTGGGCTGGGGGTAAACCCAGCAACTCAGGACTAGCAGCAGCCATCAGGGGCTGTGGTGCAGGAGCAGCCACCAGGGCAGCACCAGGAGGCAAAGGCCCTGAGGGAGATGAGCTGGTGCCGTCCCCTCCCAATTCCGCTCAGATGGGCACCCTCGCCTTCCTGGGACATAAACCCCTGGGGCTCATGTGGTGGGGAGCAATTTGGCAGCAGACGGACTAATATCAACGTCTCCAGTGACCCAGGGCCCAGTCCCTGCCCTGAAGGCTGCTCAGCCCCTCCAGCCCCCGTCCCGCCTCGCAACGCCTCCTCTGCGCCAGGGCCAGGGCCTCTCCCCCTAGTGGAGCGACTGTCCACTGGCTTTCAAAGGCGGCACTCCTCAGCTGTCACAGCCGCAGTGACAGCCTTGGGGAGGCTGAGGGGGCTCTGTCAACCAGGGGACACTAGTGGGGACAGGTGTGTAGCTCCTGGCTGCAGGGCCTCCTCCACCCCCCCTCCCCCCCGCCCATTCAGGGCTATAAATACTCACGGACGCAAATGGTAAATGCTCCCAGACATTTATCATAAATTACAGGTGGATGATTGTGAGTCTTCAGGCCATGAGGCCTCTTGGGGACTATTTCAGTTCTTTAAAAAAAAGAAGACACGAAGCTGATGGGGCAGGAGGGCCGTTCAGCCTGGCTTCTGACTGGAAGCTCGCTGGGTGCAGCAGACTGGCCTGGGAGATGCCAGGGTGCTGGGTGGGTTGGAGGCTGGGCCAGGGAGCACCGTGACCAGTGGTGGTCACAGAGGACGTGAACGATGACGTGGGCCCAGGTCGGAAGCAGCCAGAGCCAGATGAAGGGCACCTGGCCCCTTCCGCGAGGTTGGAGCATTATGCCAGGAACAGGTGTTCCCTGTACACTTTTTTAAGTGAGTAAAGAGAACAGTGATTTTCAAACAATGGTGTGTCGGGTGGGGCGGCTCTTCCATGCACCTGTCCCCTGCCTCTGCATGAGCCCAGCAGAAAATCCTAGCTGGAAGGCCGTGGGGCTTGGGGCCAGCACTGTGCAAAGGATGGGTGAGCACGCTGTCCCTCGGAGCGTCCTCAGTGGTGCAGCCAAGAGCCAGGAAGGGCACAGCCTCTTTCCTCCTCCCTGATGGAAGCCAGAGACCTACCACAAACAAAGACCTGCTGCCTCCGCCCCTCCTCCCTCCGCCTCGCCTCTGCAACCGGTCTTTCCTCCAAGCAAACCTTTTCCGCGCCCTTCACCATTCACTCTGCAAATGACCAGGGCCTCCAAATCCCGTCCAGCCCCAGGTATGACTGGATCCGTGTCAGCGAGAGAGATGGGGGCATTCCAGTTGTCCTGCATGCCATTTAAACCTTGCCCTTCCCTCTCTTCTGGAAACTCTGAGCAAACACCAGGCACTAGGACAACTTCTAATTTAATATTATAATAATAAAAGCCACGGTGGCACAGAACCATGAACTGCACTTTAAATTCCTAACTGAACTCCTGCCGGGGCTGTTGTCAGGAAAAATATGCAGAATCAATGGCTGCAGCTGCCAAAACAAATGGAGTATGCCCACCTCTGCCACGGCATCGCTGCAGACCTGCCCTGCCCGGGCCGTGCCCGACCTGGGCATCGCTCGGAGGAGCTGGTCACCACATAGAAGGTAAGATTAAAATAATAACACCGACAAGCAAGCACTAATGAGGAAAAACTCCTGGAAGGAAGCAAATTTAATTTTCTTTTCCTCTTTGACACCTTTCTTCCCTGTCCAAAGGGAGGTTCTTAATTGAAGTCTGTGAGGGGAGCGCTCCATCTCTTTATCACCAAGTGGCCTCAGTACACAGAACGCTCGCTTTTTATTGTAGATTATACCTTCCTTTTCCCCCTTGGCTCTGGAAAGGATAAGTGATTACAATTTTGTTATCTTCTAAATTAAAAAGAAGGTGAAGTTGACTGGGCTGGAGCCATCTGCACAGCAGTTTGACAACTGGGGCGACAGCATAATACTGGGCAATTTTTTGCACAATTCAAAAGCTTTTTTTCTCTTTTTTGCCAAGGAATCAGTTTAACAAACATCCTACTCTTGCTGAAAATAATTTCTTTTCCCAACTCTTCTAGGAATAAAACACTTTTAATGTATTTGTCAGGAATCGACACTTCATTTAATAGGATTTAAAAAGTGACAATTTAAAGAGCAATTGAGAAGAGTCCCACATCCATCATGGCTTGTGCTTCTAACTAAAATCAAAGGAATGAAAGCAGAAAAAGCACTGAGAAAATGGTAAAACGGGTGTGTGTGTGTGTGTGTGTGTGTGTGTGTGTGTGTGTGTGTGTGTGTGAGAGGGAGAGACGGTGGGGGCGGGGGGTGGTTCATAGCTGCTTCAAGTCCAAAGTGCTCACAACGGCTCCTGTGAGACTGCCCTGCTGGGTGCTGGCTGCATGGACACAGCTGCTGCCCAGCACACACCCTACCTGCCCTACACTCTCAGTCCACCCCAAATGACCCTCCCCAGAGCTGCCAGAAGGTGACTTTGAAGGCTTTTTTCCCCAAAAGCTCCAATGAAGTTGCCTTTCTACTCTCAAAAAAAAAAAAAAAAAAAAAAAAAAAAAAAAAAAATAATAATAATAATAATAATAATAATAATGAAAAGTGAAGGGTGGGGGTGCTGGCCACCTCCCATTTCTTTGCCTGGGTGGTGGTGACCATGGCGCCCTTGTGTCCTTTCCATTGGTTACTGAGGACCATTGCCCTCATGGGCCCAGGCCACAGGCACCCACCTGTCAGCCTCACCTGCCACCTCTCTCCATGTTGGCTTGTTGCCCCTGGGGCTGGCCTGGGCATGGGGGAGCTTATCTCCCCGACCAGGGGCTTGGCCATGTCTCCTTCACAACCCCCGCTCCCCACGGACTGAGCCTCCACTCTCTGCTGGGCTGAGGGCTCTGTGGTGCCCAGGAGCCCTCCCAGCCACGTGCCAGCCCATCCCATCATCAGCACTTGCTTTTAGCTTCAAGTGTTTAGGTCGCTTTGGTCCTGGTGGCCCAGGGGAGAAGTGCTCTGTAGGACCAGCCAGGCTCTGGGGAACTCCAGGCTGCCCGGGGACTTTCTGGTAGCCACTCACTTGTCCCTGTTCCCTGGAGATGAGGTCCTTGCCCTGGTGTGTGGTGTGACACACCTTGACTTGGCCTCCAGGCCCAGCTGGACACACGAAAAGAGTTCCTGCCCCAGTCAGAAGGCCCCTCAGGGAAGGGCAGTACCCCTCCAGCCTGGGAAAGGAGGTGAACCCGTGTCCTTTTGGAGTCCAGGGCAGGCTCCCAGCAAAGCGAGGGGGAGGCGAGCTGGCAGCGCGGCTGTGAGGGAATGAGACTTTGCCATCAGTCCTCACCAATGACATCTACTGTTAGTGCCACCCCATCGTCCCCATACTTCTCTTTATCTGATGATAAGGGGCATCTTTAAAGTGCTAGAAGACAGGAGGGACAGAGATCTGGAAGGGCATGCCCCGAAGGAAAGAACCGCCACAGGCCAGGGAGCTGCAGATGTGGGTCTAGGGCCGAGGCTTTGCAGCGTATTCCTTTTCAGATGCGAGGCCGAGCTGCCAAGCTGCTATCTCGTTCCCGGAGCACAGGAGGGCTCTGCGTGCTCTGTGGGCAGGGGACTGGAGGGTTGCAGATGCAGGGCCGGGCAGCTCCTCCAGCACCCCCACCAGCCCACCCTCTCTTCCCAAGGTCAGCAGCATGCTGCTTCAGGCCAAGGGCCTCTGGGCAGGTGATGCCCATGTTTAAAAAGAAGCATGTGAATGGCTCATTTCAAAATGTTTGAACTCTGCCCTTGATATGACTGTCTGGCTCCTTTGTCCCCATCTGGGTAGAAAACACACTGGGGAAGGAAGTGCTGTGTGTGCAGGAGCTCTCTGGCTAATTGGCAACCCGGGGCTGGGGGCTGACAGAGTCAGCAACCATGCTGGAGGGCCCCCCACTGTGAGCGGGCGCCCACCGTTCCTTACAGGAGCCTCCTCCCATTATGAAATGCCTGGCATCCCAGGAGTGTTCCACTCTCCCACACAACAGGGAAGTGGCAGAGATCAGAGCTGAGGGGATAGGAAGCAGCTCAGCCCTGCAGCTGGAGCTACCGGGGAGGATGGAGAGCTGCAGACCCTGGCTTCTCCTCAGGAACGTGTCCACCCTGCCCCGGTAGCCCTCTGATGTCTGCCATCCTGTGTTCACACGGAAAGACAGTCTTCCAATTTAATCACGCAGTTTGATGCTACCCTACTATTTCCATATGGACAAATCACTCAAAATCAAGTTAAACTAGGAGGAAGCGGCTGACCCGTTGGCTCTTTCTAGAGCGCAGCTGATATGTCTTTGACACACCTGAAAGGAAACTCCCACGCCCTCACCCTCCTTTGATCAGGGTTGCAGGTTGGCGCCGAAGACCCAAGGACTGCAGTGCTGCTCACGTGCCATGCCGTCCTGGGGAGACTCCCAGGCTGATGCTGATGGCGACAGAGGCCGGAGCTCTGGGGACAGCGGAGGGGCAGGCAATGTTGTGCGCAGTTACCCAGGGCAGGCAGCACTGGAATGGAAATCACTAAGTAGGAGACGGAGCCACATCAAGCCACCATCGTCAAATGAGGTCCTTTTGATGAGGATTAGGAGAAAAGCTTCTTGGAACTGCTATTTTTCAGTCCCCAGTTGAGTACTGTGGTGTGGGGGAAGCACGGAGTCCCAGTTCTGCGTTCCTGACGCTGATGGGCAGGTGGCTGCCTCTCCAATGCTTCGATAAACACAACTGGAGGGGCAGCTAAGCCACGGCAGTCCCCGGCAGGTTTGGCCACGCCAGAACTCGGTATATGTTTATCTACATGGACTTCGGAACAGTGAATTAGCAGCGGGCATAGTAACTATTTCCTTGTCAGCCTCCCAAGCTTAAAGGCTGGATCCATGTCAGGAATGACAGGTGAGTAACTCAGCCACACGAGTGACTATTAACTCCAGTGTCCACAGGTTGATTTGCTTGTGTGCATTTGTGGCACTTCCTCTGTGGCCCAAGTGCCAGGATGAGCTGCATCCGTGTCTCATTTAGGAGACATGCACGATGGGTCTCTGTCCCCGCAAGCTGAACCGTTCAAAACCAAGGAAGGAAAATTATAGCATCAAAAGGGATTAAAACTAGTGATTTGCTGTTTGAGCATTTCAAATAGATCCGGAACACCTATGATTCACTGAGTGGAGAATAACTAAAACAAATAAAAAATCATTTAGTTGCCAGGGCAATGTATTCCAGCAGAATGAACACTCTATGGAGGCCCATTCCTAAAGGGTGCCTCCAGGTAGCAAAGGCCCAATGGCTTTCTCCTCCGCCTGAGTGTTTGCGTGCCATTTTTGTATTCCAACACAGGCCTGTCTATGACTTCCTCCTGTTCCCTGCGCCTGGGCTAGATTAGAGAGGTAGGGTGTTAATGGTGGACTTGATGAAGATTGAAGACCCATTTTCTCCCCCTTGAGACCTGCCTGATTTGGATAAATTGAGAAGAACAAAGCAGCCCCTTTCTGTCCTTGGGAGAAAACCTGTTCGGTGTCTGCTTTTGCAGCTAGGTCGGCTCCTCCCTGGAAAGGGGCAGAGGTGGGGGCAGTCAACAGAGACCCCTGCTCAGGGAGGAGACCGTTTCCTGCCGTTGCCCGAGCCCACCAAGTCACACCAGGCCCGCTGCCTCCTTTATTGGTGCTGCCGGTTGGGGGAGCGTGAGTTGGAGCCTGGGCTGGAGGGTAGTGAGCTGCCACTAGGCGCCCGCAGCGCATGGGAGTCGAGCTGCTGACCGGCCAGGCTGGTGTCCCCTGTCCCCGATTCCTCACTATTTTCCTCCTTCTGGCTGCTCTGCTGCTCTGGACACTCAAAGTGGACACAGTGGAACACCTGGGAGAGAAAAGGAAAAGACCCCATGAGTGAAGGGTCAGCATGCGGCCCTGGAGTTGCCGCAAGTTGGGATACTGCCCTGCCCAGCTTTGGGGGCCACCACGAGGGAGTTAGAGGAGGTCCTTCCCACTGCCCACGCCTGCCCCGGCGCAGACACCTGATGGCAACTAGCATGCTGTAAACACATTTTGATCAGTCAAGAGGAAAGGAAATGAGCCAGTGGCCCAAAAGTTAGAGACACCATGACACGGATTCCCACAAAATCTTCACACTGGATTACTCCGTTTTTGCCAACCTTTGTCTAATGGGCTCTTTTTTCTTTTTTAATTAATTTTTGTATTTGGCAGTTGGGTTAAAAGTCAACAGGAGTTGACTGGTGGTGGTGGTGGTGGTGGTTCGATTCTGTGAGGTTGTGGAAAGCAGGTCCACAGATAACGTCCACCATCTGTGTGGCATCTGCGTGGGTTGTCTCTGGGTATTCTGGTTTTCTCCCGCGTCCCAAAGCTGTGCACTTGAGGTTCATTGGTGTGTCTGCAGGGTCCCAGTCTGAGTGCATGTGAATGTGTGTGAGCGTGCCCTGCAATGGCATGGTGTCCTGTCCTGAGCTGGTTCCTGATGCATAGTTCTCCTGGCCCTGCAATGGTTGAGCACAGACCCTGCTAAGCAGCCGTGCTGGGGAGTGGACTTCAACCTCATGTGGCTCCAGCCAGCCTGGAACAAACGCCCCCAATGTGTAGAAGCCAGCCACCTGGCCGACAGTCACCCTCTAGGAGCTAAGAAGAGTTTGCATACCTGACAGCAGGTCAGCCTGGAAGCACCATGAACTCTGTGCCAACACCGTGCCAGCACTGTGCAGACAGGGCACAGCACCGAGCTCAGCGCCCCGCAAGCAAGGGTAAGCCATGGCCCTGACCTGGAGAGTAGACAACGTGCTTCGGGGGGTCCTGACATGCATGTGTGAGCTGTGGGGTGCAGGAGAGAAGGGCGGGGTGGGGGCTGTCGTTGCCACTGCACGAGCATGTGTGCACATACATACACACGGCCTTCTACCGTAGAATCAAGTTCACAGAGACAAATGTAGTATCAACTGCAGAATTATATTGAAAATATAAATTCCACGCTTACCTCCCTGCATCACTGTTTTTTCCATATTCCCACTTCAATTCATTTATTGACCACTGTTTTAAATTTCACATTTTCTCATATGAAGACTGAGACCGTGTCTTCCTGGTGTGTCCACTCTGTTTTGGGAGCTGCCATTTTCTCTTAGAGGGAGCTGATTTCTCTCCTTATAGGGCAGGGGCTCAGGCACGGTCCTCGCCTCCTGCAGACCCCTCACTGCCTCACGGCTGAAGCTGTCCCCACTTAGCCTATGTCTCCCTCCTTTTCCTTTCTTTCCTTCCTTCCTTTTTTATAAAATCTCCTTCTGTGGGTCCATCTGCAGGGCTTACCAGTCAACAACTGGAGGGGCTAGGTCCTAGGGGAAGGCCTTATGTGGAGATCTGAACACTATTTGGGCCATCAGCTCTGCCCTGGGCTAGGCCAGGGGAATCTGAGAATCATCCTCTAGGTGACAACCATTAATCCACTCCTTCATCAGCTTCACAATCTTGCAGCTCTTCAGTAACAACACCGCCCTGGGCATGTCGGCCACTCATGGGTCACTTGCCTTATAAGTGTTCCTTCTTCCACACCCAGGGATAGGTGAGGTCAGGCTCTGCGGGGCCAGGACACGCCTTGAGAGTGCAGTCCCGGTCCTCAACACCCCCCCCACTAAAGCTTCTCATAACCCAGCAAATACGCCTTCTCTTTTGCAGTATGACCCAGAGCCATATTCTGTTCCCACGCCCACACGCAGGACTTTTCAGGACAGGCTGTGTTTTACTGCTCCTTCCCCCTGCTGACACAGGAGCTCTTTATCCGGCCCCACCATGTTCTTTAATTGGTTATTTGTGTAATCCCTGCTCTCCCTGCTCGGTCAATATCTCCGGAGGCCGCTCCCCAGAGCCTCAGGCTGACACTAATCCTGGAATTGACTTACGTTTGTCCTACTCCTTATTACCTTTTCTCAAGCTCACTCCTCTGGTATTGAATGGTTTTTCTCTCCTTTTGCTCTTGCAACGTTCTCTACAGTCCTGTTAATTTCCAGGCCAGCTCTTCCCCCACCGGCCCCGCAAGCCTTCAGGGTGCCTCCCGCTCCGTGGCCCACCCCGCTGCCTGCCTCCTTCTACTGATCTGTCAGCTCCGATCTGACTCAAGGACCAAGGCTTAGTCGTCCTTCTACCTGCTCGGGTTCTTGCACAAGAATAAACAAATCGATAAAAACCCTGGATTGAGAGATAAAGTTAAAAAAGACCTCAGAGTGGCCTGGTGCTGCGGCTTGCTCTTCACAGCCGGCCTCTCACTGGAGGAGGGATCAGGGCGGGTCTCTGCTCCGCACTGCGCTGGTAAGAGCCTGGGAAGAGATGCTGTCTGTGGTGAGCACGTGATAGACATTCCACGACCCGACCTGTCGGTGCCCTGGTTCTCATTGTTTCTTCTCATTTCCAGCTGCATTTATCTCTTGTCTAACTTGGGCAGTGTTAAGGGCACAACTGTGTTTAGCCCATTAGCCAATTTGTTTTCAGATAATAATGCAAATGGCTGTTACTCCCAACACACCTAACAAGACTGACAGCCAATCTCAACTGCTTCTGTGTTTTCCTATGGATATTTCTTCTAAAGAACTCCTAACTATCTCTCTCCCTGATGCCACAGAGCTCACGGCAGGCCCTGCCATCAAGTTAGGGGACCCTGGAAGCCCCTGGAAGCCCTAGGCCGTAACTGCCTGACTGAGCTCCCTGTGGCTCTGCAAGGAACTGGGGCCATCTCAGAGCTGCGTCCCAGTCTGTGGCCCCAGAATCCCAACTAAATGAAGTGCAGTCTCCCTGAGCATCTCCACCAAGCCACGCAGGTGCTGCCAGATTCAAAGGCAATACACAGGCAGGAGTGAGTTACCTGTATTAAATCACAAACTGTGTGGCGAAGATTCTAAGTGGAAAAGAGTGTTTTTACAAATGGATAGGCGGGTGAAGACACAGAACCTGCCATGGGTGGGGGTGGGCAAGCTACAGGTGACAGGTGGGGAGGGAACAGCCTCTGCACACCAACAGAGACAGGATGAACATCACATATGCAGCAGACACGGCCAGAGGATGACGCTGCACACGTGAGCAGGGTCAGGAGGTACACACGTACCACAAGCATGAAGCACCTCCTACGTGCCTGACTGGGCGAGGTCCCAGCTGCCCTCAGAGGGTGTACGGTCCAGTGAGGCCAGCAGACACATAAGCCAGGGAGAAGGAGCCCCAGGGCATAGAGGAGTGGGACCCAGCCAGGCAGGCGGTCAGGGAAGGCTTCCTGGGGGAGGAGACATCTGAGGTGAGTCTGGAAGGAAGAGGCAGCCAAGCTAGAGAGGATGGAGGAGGGGGGGACTTGGTGTGGAAGAAAAACAGGAAGAACTACACAGGTTCTCAAGCCAAAGGGTGGCAACAGAGCAAGGAGGGCCTGGGAGCAGCAGGGTGTGGGGGGGAGGGGTGGGGCAGAGGCCACACCCAATGGGACAGGGCGAGGGCCTGGCCTTAAGCTGGGCAGGGATCCTGATACTCTTGGACAAAGGAGGCTATTTATTTATTTATTTATTTATTTATGAGACAGAGTCTCGCTCTGTCGCCAGGCTGGGGTGCAGGGGGGCTATCTCAGCTCACTGCAACCTCCGCCTCCCAGGTTCAAGCGATTCTCCTGCCTCAGCCTCCTAAGTAGCTGAGACTACAGGCACGTGCCACCACACCCAGCTAATTTTTGTGTTTTTAGTAGAGATGGGGTTTCACCATGTTGGCCAGGATGGTCTTGATCTCTTGACCTCATGATCCGCCCACCTCAGCCTCCCAAAGAGCTGGGATTACAGGCGTGAGCTACCATGCCCAGCCTACGAGACTCTTTAAAAACTAATATTTCTTAAACTAAAAAAGTTATTTAAAAAGGAATATACATTTGTGGTGACAAATTCAAATAACAAGTATTTTAAAAATCTAGATGACAACAAACCTTTAAACCTTGGAATCCCCTGATTTAGCAATTTGGAATCAATAGGCAGGAGTCATTTTCAAATCAAGAAAGATCAGAATTTGGTAACAGACTGGATGAGACTGATAAAGGAGAGCGCCCACAATGACTCTCAGGGTTCCCTGGAAGGGACGGGGGCGGGCATACTGCGGTGCTACAGAAGGTGGCAGCAGCAGGTCCCAGGGCTCCAGTTACAGCAGCTCAGACCTGCACTCATGCCAAGGACTCTCACAGACCCTTTCCCTGCAATGATTTCACTGAGTGCAGACTCCAGCAGGTGCGCCCACAGCGCAGCTCCTGCCCTCAGGACCTCTCAGGCAGTTGGGGGCAGAGGCACCTCTGTGCAGGGGCCTGTGTTCACTCTTCTGCAAATGGCGAGTGGCAGGCTGGGAATGAACCTCAGGGCTGTGCCTTCCTTAAGCCTGGACTGTTCCACTGTATCAACATACCTGCCTCACACAAACAATTCTACCAGCACGGGATCAGTAATATTTCATACATCAGAGGTGTGTGAGAAACTAATTTTGCCTGGAAGAGGGGTCAGGGCAGGCTACAGAGAGGAAGGTGTGCACAGGTGAGGCCTTGAGGGGTTGGGAGGCAGGGAGGGGAGCTGCTTTCCAGGCAAAGGGAACGAGGAGAAGATTTCCACATAAAGATCTGGGCCTTGGCACCTCACTCCTGGCAGCCTGTCTGTAATTCACTCTGGTCACCCCTCTGTGGAGCAGTGTGCCTGCCTCAGTCATCTCTGTTGATGATTTAAGCCTAGCAGCCTTCAGCCAAATGTGGCAACTGTGTAAGCCAATACCCAGCTAGCTCCTGGACCACTCGGATGCCCATCAACATGTACGAGGCTGGGGTTACTTCTCCTGGGATCCCAGAAATCCTCAGATTTGCACGCAATGCAAATGGGCATTCGGGGGGGCCTGTGGGTGGTCCCGATTCTGTTCTTGGGAGCGGGAGTGAAAAGCAAGCCTGTCGTGGGGAAACTGGCACCTTCACTGGTGGCCACGCTGCTGGGGCTGGGCGTGAAGCTGCCTCCGGCCCTTGGAGAGGAGTGTGAGGGAAGGGAGGCGGCAGTGCTTTTTATACACAGGAGCTGGAGGAGGGTGATGGCAGCTTGGAGGAAGTCATCACTGCCATGGTAGGGGGGAAATCTGGAAATATTGGGCATGTGGCCCTCCCCTTCCCACCGTAACCCCAAGCTCCTCAGCCCACTTCTTTCCACCAGGCACCTTTGGGCTTCCCTCTAGGTGGAACAGCCAAGTCCTGAGTCTCTTTGCTCAGAAGCTCAAGTGATTCAATTTCTTTTCTCCAAACTTTCCCAAGACTGCAATACCTCTTGGAAAGGACGTGACCAAATGTGGCTGAGACACACTGGGCAGAGCCGCACTACTCATTTATGCAAAACCATTACTCTGGCCGCCGCATCAGTCTCCCTTCCCCTTTTCAGCAATCATGTATCCCATTAGCCTGTTTGATTGCCGCTGCTCACAAAGGGGCGCCTTCGCTGAACCGTCTTCAATGGCCTCTGGATCTCTCCCCTGAGAGAAGCCGGCTAATTTGGAATGTGGTCGTGTGTATGAATCCGACACAGCCTCAGTCACAATCGGGTGTCCTTTTCTGTAGCTGCTGTTTATGATCACTTTGCCTTGCCTCTCTGGGAGCCATAATTCACCACATACTGGAGATAGGCTGGGTGTTCTTTTCCCCGTGAATCCTGGACAGGATGTACACAAATGTGCTAGCCCCTTCTTGGTGACCAGGCTAATTCCTCAGTGGCTTGGTGGCTGCTGCCTCTCATTAGAGGGATTCCCTAAGCACTATTTGCTTGACAAATTTTCAAGGTTTTTAAAAGCAGAAGCCTTTGCTAATTTTCCCAAGTTGGCCTAAGAGTCCACTGTGAACTGCAGCAGAAATTGGGGAAATTTAATAAATGTTGATCAATGACTCTGCCTTGCTTTCCTGGTTCCTCCTGAATAATTTCCACAGACTGCTTTCATGCCAACCAATACAAATAGGATTTCTGATCCAAGTTTTCAACTTACAAATACAAGTTGACAAATCTTTATAAAATAGATATCTACCTCTTGATGTCTGTCCATAAGTCAGATGCAAAGCCATGACTTCTAACTTACACTCCCCTAAAGATCCCCTATTTCCCTTTCACAGTGGCTGATGTGGTGGCATCACACACCCACCCAGCGTTCAGTGACATAACAGATCCTGACGATGGTCACCATTAACATCTCTCTTATGCTCGCCTCAGAGCAGAAGGTAACAGTCCATCTACAGACTGCAGAGATGTTTTGTTTTTGTTCTTTAAAAATGAAGACGAGTGCCTCCAACAAAATATCCCTTTTGATAAACCTTGGTTTTTTATGTGCATCTGAACAGCCCAACACATTGTTTTCAGTTAGGGGCCGGGCATGGTGGCTCACACCTTATAATCACAGCACTTTGGGAGGCTGAGAGAGGCGGATCACTTGAGGTCAAGAGTTCGAGACCAGCCCGGCCGACGTGTCAAAACCTGGTCTCTACTAAAAATACAAAAATTAGCCAGGTGTGGTGGCAGATGCCTGTAATCCCAGCTGCTCGGGAGGCTAAGACAGGAGAATTGCTTGAACGTGGGAGGCGGAAGTTGCAGTGAGCCGAGATCGCGCCACTGCACTCCAGCCGGGAGACAGAGCGAGACTCTGTCTCAAAGACAAACAAACAAACAAACACAACAAAAAACAAAACTAGGAATTACTTCATAGGGAGACATTTCCAAATTGCGAGCAACAAATTTTCAGTATTGCTTAGGGTGATAGGATACCCAAATATTTTTGCACTAAGTATGGAGGTAAGTTTCTGGGTGACAATGCTTATGTACGGCAACAGCTTTTAAAAAAACTTTACAATATCATTTTCTCATATTCACATAGGCCAGGATATCCACAGATAATTGGAACTCTGATGCTTGGAAGGTTCTGGAAGAAGAGGCTTTCCAATCCCTATCACCCCAGGCAGCCCTGGAATTCCTGCCCTGTTTTTTATGTGTGTACACTCCAGAGTTCCAGGGAGAGAGTTACTTTCTTGTCTTAATGGATTCGGCTATAGAGTGGTAGAGGTATCTTTTAGTTATTTTTTTGAAAAACTAAGAAACAAAAAAAGGGAAGTGTTCTTGTTCGCAGGCTTCTGGGATGCCTGAATCTCCCCACCTGATAGATGTGGCCTCACCAGGGCCCCCTTCCCACACCAGACAGGCACCAAGAGAGCCTAGCCATGGCCCTGCTCTCCCCACAGGGCTGGCCCATGTGTCTCCAGCTGCCTGGGCGGTTCTTCACTTTGTGTGACCAGGCTCCGCATGTACCTTCTGTCTCAAAGGGCTCCAGCTGCGTCGAGGCTTCCAGCATCACCCCTCACTGCTGGCACAGCAATGGGACACATCTGAGGGGACCCTCACAAGCTGCTGTCTCCATGCGTCTCACTGCTGGGAGGCTCCTGGGTACTCATCTGCCCAGGTCTGGGGTCACTTTCTCCCAGGCCAGTTGAGGATGGAGAATTATTGTTGCTCCAATATGACAGGTCTAAGGATTGTGCAGTGTCTGAAACAACCATATGTGCTCAATGTTGTCCTGCTTTTCCTCTCTTTTTTTCCAATAAAATCTTTCATAACAAACATTTAAATATAAAGAAGCCCACAAAAGGTCTTCTTTTTTTTTTTTTTCTGAGACAGAGTCTTGCTCTGTCGCCCAGGCTGGAGTGCAGTGGCACGATCTCGGCTCACTGCAAGCTCCGCCTCCCGGGTTCATGCCATTCTCCTGCCTCAGCCTCCTGAGTAGCTGGGACTACAGGCGCCCGCCACCACACCTGGCTAATTTTTTAATTCTTTTAGTAGAGATGGGGTTTCACCGTGTTAGCCAGGATGGTCTCGATCTGACCTCGTGATCTGCCCGCCTCGGCCTCCCAAAGTGCTGGGATTACAGGTGTGAGCCACCGCGCCCGGCCTAAAAGGTCTTCTTTTATAATTATGAAACAAACTAAATATTTTTCTGCCTTTTTTCCTGTCTCACTGGGAAGGAAGCTTTAAGATCTAGTTCACTCTCCTTATTTCAAAGGCAAGTGTCCTGAGAGGCAGGGAGGTAAAATGACACTGGGGCCACACAGCTGGCTGGAGGTGAAGCTGGCACCAGTGCCGAGGCCCCCTCCCTTCCTTCCACTCACTGCTCGCTCCCCTCAGTGCATCCTCTGCCTCCCTGCCTGCCCAGTGCTGGTTCATGGAACCAGCTTCTAGAGCCTCCACACCCCTTTCTTCTTAGCCTGGCTCTTCTGAGGCACCTGGCTTTGATCATTATCTGCAGGTATAATCCTTAAATCCAAGTTTTTGTTTGGATGGCTCAGCTTTCACTGCCTCTCCCCCAGCCTATATTTTTGTGCAACCGAATGCTTCCAGACTCTCTCATAACCATCAGAGCTCTGCCATTCTCCAAGGGCATGGCAGTCACAGCCTTGATGCCATCTTCAGTTATTCCTTCATCTGGCTTCAGGCTGTCACAAGTGATTCCTGAGAGCTCATTCCCTTTGGAATCCCACACCAACGCTCTGGCCCATGGTCTGATTTATGGAGGGGTTACTGTGTGCCAGGCACTGGGCTGGGTGCTGAGGACACAAAGATGCTACAACACAGTCTCTGCTCTCAAGAACTGCAGTGTGGTGGGGAGCCAGTCAGAACCTCCTGCTTTTGAAGTTTCCATGAATGTAATCCTAGTATACGTATTCTTTGGTGTCTGGCTTCTGTCCTTCAACACGCCGTTATGTTCATCCACCCACAGTCCCTGCAGCCTGTTGTATGAGATGCTGTGTTTGCTTACCCATCCTCTGTGGATGGACGCTCGTGGTATCCCGTTGGGTTCAGGATGAACAAGGCTGCGGTGACAGCATCCTCACTCTTGCCTCCTAAACTGGTACAATGCAGATTCACAGGTACCAGGCTGCCCGCTGGGCTTGACTATCCCGGCTGTCCCTGCACTGCCTCCTCTCTGGCCCAGTACCTCGCATGCACCATACAGGGCCTCCGTGCTGCCATCTGAAACCTAAGTTTGTTTCCATTATTTCTATTCCCAAGCAGGTTTTCTTTGTGGGCATCCATTTCCAGTTGCTGGAACATGAAGCCCCTGGAGGGCCAGGTTCCCTCCCACACAGAAGTGGAGTCTGAAGGCTGGAACTGGTGCTCTCTGCAGACCAGGAGCTTTTGCAAGGAGAGGGCTGCCTCTCCATTTGCTCTCTCTGTGCTCTGCCACAGAGCACAGAGAGCGCCCACTGGGGGTTCTGGCCCTGGGGCCAGCATGTGACTGCTTTGAGGTGCTTCTGGGCTGAGACGATGGTCCTCTGGAGGATGCTGCCGGGGAAATCCTCGGGGGGCCAGAGAGAGTGGAATCAGACCTGGGGCAGGGGGACCTCGGAAATAATTATCACCATGCCAGGAAGGAGCACTTGTTTCATTTTTTTCTTTAAGAGTCTGTTTCCCTGTTTTGTTTTTTTCCATTAGAGCCACATGTTGCTATGGGAACGAGGGTGGCATGGGAGCCCAGAGCCACTCACTGGTCTGACCGAAGCCAGTAAATAAATTCTGCCTCACTCCAGGCCCTGAGCCGAGTGGTCCTGGAGGGCAGCTCAAGTAGCCACTTGCAGACTTTCTGTCCTGCTGCTGTCGGCCCATGCAGATGCTCCTCTGACACGCTCGTGGGCTGATCACTCTCCTTGGAATAAGGAGCGGTGAGCCTGCAGAGTGCTCTGCACCCTCCCACCCTCCCAGGTCCTCTAAGACATAAACTCATTCATGGCTCCCAAACTCCAAGGGCCAGGATCACTCGATCCGTTTTACAGATCAGGACTCACCCTCCTCCTTCAGGGCTGGCTGCTGTTTTCATTCACTGATGTCTCTACCATCAATCAGGTACAGCCATTTGAAATCTCACCCAGAGTTAAGGGGCTTTTTAATGGGGATTCATTTCTACCAGGTGGTGAAGCTGCCATCCCCTTAAGGAAGGGTCCTGCCTCAGTTTCTCCCCAAGATCTAGCACAAACTGGTGTACACAGCATGCTCAGAGCCACCTGCTTATCAATGCCTGACTCATAGAGTTCTGGGCCAGGGTGCAGCTGGGCTCATTTTGCACATTGCCGTCTATTATGCCTTTGTGGGAGACGCAGTGGCCTCGATGTTACAGCCAGACTGCCTGGATTCACATTCTGATTCTGCCACTCAAGACTGGGTTGATCTCGTACAAATTAGTTAACGTCTCTCAGCCTCGGTTGCCTCTAAACTTTTTACTGCCAAAACTGTATGCTATAAGGCACAGTTTTCCCATAGAAATACCATGTGGGACAAGAAACAGTGGTGCCTCCCCCTCACTGAGGAAACCCCAATTCTGGCTCAGATAAGATTTGTCCCCTTGCTTTCTTTTTCTTAGCAGTTTTACCACTTGTGTATGCATGAATGTTGTAGTAAAGCTTTGCCTGCTTTTGAAGTTTCCATGAATGTAATCCTAGTATACGTATTCTTTGGTGTCTCGCTTCTGTCCTTCAACACGCTGTTATGTTCATCCACCTACAGTCCCTGCAGCCCGTTGTATGAGATGCTGTGCTTTGCTTACCCATCCTCTGTGGATGGACGCTCATGGTGTCCCGTTGGGTACAGGATGAACAAGGCTGCGGTGACAGCATCCTCACTCCTGCCTCCTAAACTGGTACAAGAGCTTCGTTGGAGAATACAGATAGGAGTGGAAGTGAATGCTCAGCCATAGGGTGAATGTGTGCATATGCTCCTTTAGGACAAAACACCAAACTCTTCTCCAGAGTGACAGGGTCAGTCCATCTGCCCACAGCACTGGAGGAGAACTGCCCACTGCTCCACAATTTTGCCAACACTTAGTATTGAGTTTCCTCATCTTTAAAATGAGGATGAGAGTGGAACCTACTTCATATATGAGGATTAAATCATGTAATAAATATAAAGGGCTGGAAGATAACCTGGCACACAGTAAGTGCTCAGCAAATACTAGCTACTATTATTGTAATTAATAATAATGATGATTATTATAAGGGTCCTAAGCTAGGAGATGCTGAGATATCTGGTGCACATACTTTTCCATTTACAAATGTTTCTGGTTTAAGAAAATCCTCCATATGACTATAGAAACTCTGTATTGGAATGCCACGGCCTCTTGATAATGAAAAGTTGGTTTACTACATCTTTTCCTTTATTGCTTTCTTTGACTGACTGACTGGGAGAGGGAGAGATGGGTGTACAGATGAGATCACTCACCCATTCATTCAGTTAACAGGTCCTCTATGCTTACACATGCCAGGCACCACGCTAGGTGCCAGGGATACAAAGATGAATATGACACAGCCTCTCTCCTCACTATATAAATTCAGTAAGTAAAATGGAACCTGAGAGCTGCCTAAAGCCTGTCAATACCATCCTCAGTTTCTGCTATTGACTTGGTAAAAGCTTTCATGTAGGTTCTTGTGAGCAGAAACCCTGTCTTTCTGAATACATTGCAGAGAATTTCCTTTTCCTACAGTCCTTTTTAACCCTCAAGACTGCTTGTGGGCCCCTGAGCTCCCAGCGTACTGAAAAAAATCACTCCAGAACTTTCAAACCCACGTTTTTATAAAAGCCATAAAAAGAAACAGGCGTAGCTTCTGTTTCTTGAACATCACTGCCTGATTTTCATGGGTGCACAGACTTGATCTTATTTACTCCCAGCCGGGTTTATTTAAGGATGTAGGCATGTGCCTTTGCTATTTGCTCAGATAATTAGTAACATGAAATGGAAGGGTTTCTGGGAGACCCCGCACATCAGAACCAGTGTGGCTCTGAGCACAGTCTTGGGGGCTGAAACTAAAGACTCCCTCGACGTTTGTTAACGTTGTTGACAAGGCCCAGTTTATTTTAGACGTGAGAAACTTAGAAGAGGAGCAGTGTCTGTCTCCCCAGTGGCTCAGAGTTGATTAGCATTGAAGGCAGGTGAACGACCACACAGGAATGACCATGAACTTGCTAAGCTGGCAGCCGAGACCACCTTAAAGTGACTGAGGAAATGGTCAAGAAGGACCTCCTTGGCCACAGGCAGTGGGGACAATCAGATGCATGGAAACAATGGAAGCGGAGGGTGGATGTGCTGAAAGACACACCGACATCTGTCTGCCATCTAGTGCTGAGCATGGGAGGAAGACAAAGGAGTCGGGGGAAGCGTTTGAGGGTAAAGAAAAAGCCACACGTGAGCACTGGGCCAAGCACAGGGGAGCTTCCAGAGCCAGGCGAGCAGGGAGCAGAGGACGACAGAAGCACACAGTGGGGGGGAGTGAAAGTGGAGTGTGCTGAGGAGTTCAGATAAATGATAAGGATGATGCTGAGTACACAAGGAACAGGGGTCACAGAAGGAAGTGGTGGAGTCTTTAACAGGTAAGCATTGGGGGAATTTACTGACAGAAGTCATAAACATAGCTAAAAAATTAAATGAATTCGTTGCTGCGGTGCTCACAAAGGAAGATGAGAGACAGATGCCAGCAGCAGACGTACACTTCCCAGAGGAGAGGGATGGAATGCCGCAGGAAATCAGAAGCGTGCCAGAGCAGGTGATCAAGAAATCTACACTCTCAGACTGCCGAGGCCACTGTCACCTGAGAGCTGGACGGATCGGAGGGAAGCGGGGAAAATTAGCATGCAGCAGACGGAGACTGAGCCTTTGGATGCAGGAAGACCTGGCCGACTGGAGCAAGACAGATGCACACCTACAGCAGGCAAGAAATCCCAGTCCGCCTTAGCTCAGTCAGGCCAGCCTGGGGGGCCTGCTTCCACGCACTGCCTGCTGTCCGCCTTCTCCTATTCCAGCAGCTGCCGGGGGTGTTTGGAGTTCGGGGCAGTTTCCATGGTCCCTGTTGCAGAGCTATCAACCCACTGAGCTCCTGCCTCCAAGAATGACTTCAGGTCTCTCTAAACAGCCAGCTGCTCTGCTAGCTGCTACTTACACACTGTCCAGGCCACTTCCCAACTTTTGCCAAACTGCCCAGCCACCATCTTCTCTTGAATGCTCTTCCATAGGAGCCTCCATGCTGCGCTTCCCCACCAGTCCCTGCTCTGCCCGCCTCTCTCTTGATGGGGAAGCACCTGCAGAAGACAGGCCTACCTGGGCCATTCGGCAAAGCGTGTGTTCACGCAGATTTCCCTTTATTGTACACACACAGACAGACCTTTCCATGCCATAGACCAAATCCATCGATAGTTTTTGAAGCTAGCACAAAGTCTCTGGGTTCACAAACACTGAGTAGCTAAAGGGAAACAGAGTGTTTCTCTGGCTCTGACTAAAACGAAGGCCACTGTTATGGACTGATGCTTGTGTCCCTCCCAAATTCCTCTTTGGAAGCCCTAATCCCTAATGGAATGGGATTAGAAGTG
The DNA here is from genome assembly GCF_000001405.40 of Homo sapiens. Lineage (NCBI taxonomy): Eukaryota > Metazoa > Chordata > Mammalia > Primates > Hominidae > Homo > Homo sapiens. The sequence goes on from NC_000006.12 coordinate 38,188,732, forward strand.
GGGTCTTTGGGAAATGATCAGGTTCAGCGGAGGTCATGAAGGTGAAACCCCCGTGATGGGATTGGTGTCCTTATAGGAAATGAGACTGAGCGCTCATGCCTGCGCCCTCTGTCACTGTCTCTCGCGAAGTGCACACACCAAAGAAGGCCGTCTGAGGACAGAACCCAGAAGACGGCCCTCACCAAGAACCAGAGCCTGCTGGCACCCTGACCTCAGACTCCCAGCCTCTGGGACTGTGAGAAATCAATGTGTTACTTTAGCCAACAGAATAGCCAGCTGAGACAGCTGCTGATGTTACTTAGCAAACAAGCAGGGACAGACAGAGGAAACCCTGCATCCTCTGCCCTCCAGGCCACGCTCCATAGTGAGAGAGGTACCCTGACCCCTGTTTTTGATGGCACAGTTCTGGCTCCCATGGGACTGTGAATCAGGGTGGTGCTGCACTCTCATCTCCAGCCTCCTGTCCTATGCTGCGGCCCTCCCCAGCTCCACGAAGTGCTCTTGTCCATGCGGTCATATCCTCTAGAGCTGTCTCTCCCAGGAATCCTGCCTGACCCAAGTCATCCTCCTTCCCTGATGTGACCCCGTCCCTCACGCCTCTGAACTCTGCCATACTGGCTTACACATATTTCCATTGTTCTCTAAGATAGGTGTTACAACATTTTTCAAATAATGTCCCAGAACCCAGTATGCTGCAGTAAAGAACATTCTCTGAGGGTTTGCTGTATTCTTGATGCCCAATAAAGTTCAGCTTTATTGTACATTTTTTGTTTTTTGAGTCAGGGTCTCACTCTGCTGCCCAGGGCTGGAGTGCAGTGGCATAATCATAGCTCACTGCAGCCTCGAACTCCTAGGCCCAAGCGATCCTCCTGCCTCAGCCTCCTGGGTAACTGGGACTATAGGTGCACACCACCGTGTCTGCTAATTGGTTTTCTTTCTTTCTTTTTTTTTTTTCTTATTGAGATGGAGCCTTGTTCTGTTGCCGAGGCTGGAGTGCAGTGGCACAATCTTGGCTCACTGCAACCTCGGCCTCCTGGGTTTAAGCAATCGTCTTGCCTCAGCCTCCCATGTAGCTGGGATTACAGGCACATACCACCATGTCCAGCTAATTTTTGTATTTTTAGCACAGACGGGGTTTTACCATGTTAGCCAGGCTGGTCCCAAACTTCTGACCTCAAGTGATCCACCTGCCTTGGCCTTCCAAAGTGCTGGAATTACAGGCGTGAGCCACCAGGCCCAGCCTTTTTTTTTTTTTTTTTAAGTAGAGACAAGGTCTCACTATGTTTCCCATGTTGGTCTTGAACTCCTGGGCTCAAGCGAACCTGTGGCCTCAGCCTCCCAAAGTGTTGGGATTACAGGCGTGAGCCAATGCACCTGGCTTATTGTGCCTTTTTTTGTTCTCTGAGAATGAGATCCTGTTCATTATTTATTTTATGACTTAAGATGATTCCTGGCCCAGCGTGGTGGCTCATGCCTGTAATCCTAGCACTCTGGAAGGCTGAGGCAGGTGGATCACCTGAGGTCAGGAGTTCGAGACCAGGCTGGCCAACATGGTGAAACCTGTCTCTACAAAAAAAAATTACAAAAATTGGCTGGGCTTGGTGGCAGGCACCTATAATCCCAGCTAACTGGGAGGCTGAGGCAGAAGAATCACTTGGACGCAGGCGGCAGAAGTTGCAGTGAGCTGAGATTGTGCCACTGCACTCCAGCTTGGGTGACAGAGTGAAACTCTGTCTAAAAAAAAAAAAAAAAAAAAAAAGATGTTTCCCAGTTGACAACACTACTTTGAGGCTTTTTTTCCCCTGATCAATAACTGATTCAAAAAGACAACTGAGCAAGTTATTCACTAGCCAAATGGGATGGATCACAAGTTAACTAGTGACCTACTATCCAACCCATTTAAAATGGCTGGTCCAATCTCCACCAAAGTGGTTGGGGCCCCTTGCACAGAGATTTTTGGGAAACTCATCATCAAAGAGAGGTCTCACACTCCAACTTCCGAGCTCTGTAATGGGAAATCATTCTTCATCTAGAATAGCTTTGAAAAAAAAGTCCAAGATTCTCTTCTTCTTCCTTGGTCACTGAGGTAACAGGGTTGGGACCTAGGGCAGCCCTAGAAGAAGGCCCTGGGCAGACTTGCCTTGCTGCTTCTTAGCCTTTTCTGACTTGAGAATTCCTTCTGTTATAATACAAAATTTCAGGGTTCCATTTGGGAATTAAAAAACTAGTCTAAAATTTTTGGGGGGATGCAGTGTATAAAAAGCAAGAACTGCAAATGAAAAACAGTTAATTCGATTTCAATATGTTACTATGTAAAAATTTCAATTGTTTATGACCTGGTGTTTATAATTCTTGAATTTTTCTTTAGAAAAAATCGGTTGGTTTACTTTTATAGTTTTCAGATTTGTTTTGAAATAAAGAGGCAAGAGGAAAAGTTCCAGGTTTCTGTTTACAAGTTCCTCTCTGCAAGAAACACATTGTAGATGTGGACCACTTTTATTCTAAATAAATAAAAAGCCAAAATGAATTTAAATTATCACAATATTTTCACGTTTAAAAATGCTTTTTGAAGTACCAGAAACACCTTGATGTGTTCTGGGGAAATTTTAATTCCATAAAGACAATGCATGAATCCCAAGCACAGGGCCCATTTGCTGGATGGAAACGAGAAGCCCTGTGTTCATAAAGCAGTAGAAAACCTTTCTGCTTTCATCTAGGGTCTCTCTCTCAAGCTGTCACGCTGGTTATTATTTGCTACTTAATGTTGTGCTCCCTCGGGCACAGGGACACCCCACTGCCACCGCCCTGCCGGCCAGTGTAGCCCCTCACAGGCACCCAGGGCACTATCCTGTGACTTGAGCTCAGGACTCACACCAGACTCGGGCTCCGCCCATCCCTGTGCCAGGGCCCCTGTTGGGAGTAGAGAGGGCAGTGATCATGGGTGAGATGAGGATGGGCAGGCCAAGCAGAACCCAGGCATCCTGGCTCAGGGAGCGGGTGGCTGAGAGCTCATGGCAGGAAGGTGGGAAGGGGCAGGAGGCGGGATTGCGTGTGGGCTGAGGCTCCAAGGTCCTGGTGTGTGTTCCGCTGTGCCGTGGAGCTTCATTTATAAAACACAATTCAAAGGTAAAAAGACCCTAAGCATTTCAAGATGGTGCCACAGAGCATTAAACCTCAAGCACTGGGTCCCATGCGACTGTCCTGGTGGCACACCATAGAGCCAATCCTGCATAAATCTGAGAAAGATCACAGAAAGGTAAAATTGCAGAAATGTTGCTACTTTTATGTTTCTCATCTACCTGTTGCATTTCGACCCATCATTTCCTATGCTGCCTCTCTTAAACCAGAGGTTCCTCGGAGGCACACGCTTGACACAGTGTGACTACGAAACAGCAGGGGAGTGATAAGTCTGCAGCACGGCCGCCTGCTAGACGCCACGCTCAGAGGGGCAAGAAACCTCATACAACTGCTGTCACTTGGGAGGGCTGAGGACTCAGAGACAAGGGATGGGGTGTTTGACCTCTCAAGCCCTCTGTGGTTGGCCGATTCCACAGAGAGCTGTAGGAATTAGCAAAGCAATAGGGGCTGGCTTTCATTTGCTAATGAAGAGATATCCAAAAATGATAATGATAACCCCACTGTGCAACTGCAGGACTTTCTCCACACCAAGCTGTCTGAATAGCAGGCCATTAGCAGGCAGAACAAACAATTCCACTTAACTCAGGATGTAGCATTTACCTGTACATCATGAAATCTCATGGCACCTCTCATGAAAAGAGACCCTTACCTCATTTGCTGTGTTGTGTGTCCCAACGATACGGATGAAGGAGGCAGGCTGCCTTTCAAAAGTTACTGACTGCCAGGACCTGTGAGAGGAAACAACCATTTGCCTGATTAGATGGTGCAGTTGACTCTCTGGTAGTGTGGCCGATGGAGTCATGTCCACTGAGGAGGGAGGGCTTCCTGTCCTCGGAGACCTGCACTATAGGAGGGGCAGGCAGCTGGGCTGCACCTAACGTATGGCTGAGAGAGGCAGGACATACACAGTGTCCCTATTCAGGAGCTTACAATCCCATCACAGAAGGCACTCCTCCCCATCTGTGAATGTCACTTAGGCTTCTTACAAAGCCCTCCATAAACAAGCACAAAGGGCAGACCAAGCTCATTACAACAAGGGGTGGGGGGAGGGGGGAGGGATGGCACTGGGAGATATACCTAATGTTAGGTGACAAGTTGATGGGTGCAGCACACCAGCATGGCACATGTATGCATATGTGACAGGCCTGCACGTTGTGCACATGTATCCTAGAACTTGGAGTATAATAATAATAAAAAAAAAAGTGCGGACAAATAGATGTAATCATGGTGGCAGGAGTTCATAAATACATTTCCCCATCTATAAAATGGGGCCATGATGGGGCCTACCCCAGGGCTGTTGGCAGAATGACCTCAGTCGTTCATCAGATGCGCATCTGAGCGGGAGCAGCTACTCAGCTCGGCAGGCTTCTGGGAGGAGGAGAGTTTTGAAGAGGGCAGGCATGCAGGAGGGCTGCAGAGGTCAGCACTTGGGCTGGGGCAGTGGGGGTCCTGCACCACCCTCTGACCCCACCATGTGAGTGATGGCACATGGGGGTTGTGGCAAGTTCTCCACAGGCCTCTACCCCCTTCTTTCCTGCTTCCAAAACGCTGCCCCCGACACTGTCTATTCTTAAGACTGGCCTGACTCTGTCTGGGTGGTTTCGAAAGCATCCCCGATATTTTCAAGGCAATTCCTCATTGATCAGCATGGGCCAGGCCAGCTCATTTAAGACTCAGCAGAGCAGGCCCTGAGCAGATCCTGAGAGGAGGAGTTCTGCTCTTGGTTGAACGCTCAGCAGCTCATCAGAATGCACTGGAGGAGTGCATGGCACCCACGACTGTAAACTCCAATAATATTTTCTGTAATAAATGTGAGGAGTTCACAGTTGCTGCCATCCCTCCTCCGCTCTCACAGTGGAAATGCCAGCTGCTGGAAGCTGTTTCCTGTAATTGTCTAATTACCAAGTAATGTTAGCAAAGAAAATATATATGTATTTGCAGTTTGTTTTTCCCCCTTTGGTTTCAGGTGTTCCATCTTCCCTCTCACTATGAACCTCCCACTGAGATTGATTCACTGCTGCCTGGACACCAGTCCCCTTAAGGTCATTAAAAAGTCATTACCATCTTGTGTGTAAAGTCTGTGCCCCTGAAACCAGTGTTCTGGAAACAAAGAAAAATCACTGTCTCCATAAAAATGCTCTTATTCACACATGAAGGTGACGCCATCTGACCATGCCCAGGGCTTGTGCTGGTGGCCTATTTTCTCGGTGGGCGACTGCTGTCCTCCCAGACCCCCAGCTCTCTTGGGGAGTTTGCTAGATGGGATGCAGCCCATGGGCCGGCAGGGGAGCCTGCAAGGCCCTGTGGGGTTTCCACAGGCCTAGCTGTCTCTTGCGAGCCAAGCAGTGGAACTGACCACACACTCATGTCCTTCCTCCAGCAGGTGAGGGGAAGTGAAGGGAGCAGCCCCTGGCCAAGGTTCACACTGTTTGGGACATCAGAGTCCCATCCCTGTCCCTAAAGGAAGCTAAGAGTACACTAAAGCTGGCCCACTGGCTGCTTCTCAGGCCACGCCTCCAGAAAGAGAAAAAGAAGTAGGATGAGTGACAGTAGCTGGTGACAGCTATTAGGTTCAAGTCAGTTTCACAAAAAGGACTGGCTTGGGGAGGCGGTGGGAGTGGAAGAAACTGAGCAAAGATTTTGTTCTTTTCAGCCTTTTAGCTCAATGCCTGTCAAATATCCAAGTGATTCTGGACAGTTGGAAGCTCTTAGTCCTCAACAACATGCGTGTGGCTCTGAGAGTGAAGGCAGGCCCAGAATCACGGCCCTGTGGTCCCACGCACTCCTCCCTCCAAGATGTAGAGGAGGTTTGAGGAGCCCAGGCAGTGAGGTCTCGCTGGGAGCCGTCCTGGGCAGAGCTGGCCTGAACCTGGGTCTCCCTCCCCTATCTCCCTTGCTGCTCCTCTTGCCTCCACTCTCCTCTCCCTACGTCAGTCTGGGCTCTGGGCTCTGGCCCCACTGCCCTTGCTTCTGCATGGGGAGGCAGGAGAGGCAGGGGAGGCAGGGCTGGCAGGGCAGCAGTCTGAGCGGGAGGGAACTTTGAGGAGTAAGAAGATCAGAAGGTCTCAATTTAATACCAATCTTCCATTACACTGCATTAATGTCTAATCACACTGGACTTCAGCCTGAGAGTTGAATATATGATTTCATTTTCAGCAGAGCCGGATAGCAATTCTAAACCAAAGTATCAGTAGTAAGGGAAGTTGGTTAGGACAAGGAAATGAGCATCTGTCTCCCCCCATCAGATTCCATTTCCCCTGAACTTTTTCAGAATAACTTGCCATGTTGCTTGAAGGGGAAATGACAAGGTGGCACCAGAGTGGTCACCACATTTGCAATCACTATGAAACCTCAAAGGAGCTGCCTTGGCTGAGATTTCACAGGGCCAGAAAACCACCTGCATTGTTTAGTCAATGCAAAACCTTGACTGCCATGTTTATTGGGCTTTATTGATAGCTGCATAAATATTCCAACTCACCAGGTACCCAGAATCTCTTCTCTAGTAGGCAAAACCTCCAGGAAAGACAACAGACTGCTAGAGGCATGGCAGCCCGCCCAGTTCAGAGCCAGGGCTGGGCGCTGAGAGGAGGGTGTTTGAACAGGAGCAGTGAATTGTTAAAAAATAAATATGGTCTTAATAAAAACAAAAAAGCTTAATAAGAACAAAAAAACCCACGCAGGATTGATGTCCCAACCCCATACTGGCTCTGACTGGATGAACCGTTACCCTCTCCGGAATGCTGACAGAAATAACACCAGTCACCTGCTCACAGAAACGCATCTAGAATGAGGTCCCAATTATGTCCAATTTAAATATGTATCTATACACATACGTATTATTTTTAAATTTTTAATTATTTTTTATTTAATAAAAATTTTAAACTTATTTACTTTTTAAATTATTTTTTATTCTTTCCCATGCACACATGTGCAGAACTATACACGTATGTATTAAAACATAGATGTCTATAAGAATGTTTGCCAAAATGTTGGTCCAGATTTTAGCTTTGGACGGAAGAATTTCAAGAGCCATTTAGTTTACTTTGGTGCTTTTCTGTACTGTTTGAACTTGGTAGAATGTCTAATACACATAAGCATTAAACAGAGTACCTATCTTGCCTATTGTCCAAGGATTTAACAATACAGATCACACGGCCTGGAGCCAGTGAGAATGCCAGCACTGTATTATTACGCCAAGTATTCCAGTGGAGAGGGTCATGGGTGACGGTCAAGACAGCAGGCTTTACTCCTGGTCTTTCGGGACTAGGGGCAATGTGGCACAGGGGTGGAGAGCATGGGCTCTGTACCCTGGCTGCCAGTGTTTGAATCTTTATTTTGTGCTTTTAACAGCTCTAGGACCTTAAGCAAGTTGCTTAGCCTCTCTAGGCTGCAGTCTCTTCATCTGTAAAATGGGAATAATAGGAATAACTACCTAAATTATTTTGGTAAAGATTAAATACATTAACAAATATAAAACATCTAGAAAAGTATTGGCATATATTAAATACTACAAAAATTAGTTGATAGTGTTATTACCACTATAATTACATTCAGCCAGTGAGATACAGTGTTCCTGGGCCTCATCTGTGAGCTGTCAAGTTTGACAGTATATGATTCAATGATTACCACAGAGGTTCTTGGGACACCCAAGGTGACTCCCATCAGCACCCATGTCTTGGAGGCAGACAAGCAGCTGGGCTTTGGAAGAATTAAATAAGTATGTTTTGAATACATTCTTGTGCATGGCACCGGCTGGGTGTTATGGAGGACATGTGCAAGATGTAGTGCCCCTTCCTTAAGAAGTGTGTAATCTCACCAGGGAGATGAGCTCTCCTTCCACAAACTCATTAGACAACAATGCAAACAGTACAGTGGTCCCAACTTATAAACAGGTGATGTTCCAAAACTTGCCTTGTAGTTGGTTGTTTGATGCTTGGAAACAATTTTTCCATAGAAATAAAGCTATAAATTTTGAGAGGGTGCCCAGACCCACCCACAAAACTCAATTTAACCCATAATGAAGCTAAAATACTATGTATATGTGAAAGAGGCAAAAAAGAGATATTGTTGTCAGAGTAGTAATTAAGCAAGCCAGAAAAACAAGGGATTTAAAACAATCTTTCTAAAGCTGCTGCTTGAGGAATGAGGATTAAATTCTGTAATGCAAATGAAATCATGGGGATGTAGCTGGAACATGGTAGGCGGTCTGTTAATAAGGAAAGTTAAAATAACGGGCCAGGTTTGTCATCCTAAAAGACTTCCCCATCCACAGACCACTGTCTGGTTTACAAAGTGTCTTAGAGTCGTGATCTATCTCATTTGGTTCCCAACACAATCTTTTGGGTAGGCAGCCAGGCAATCTGAATCCCATTTCAGAGGCGAGGAAACTGAGGCAAAGAGAAGAGAAGTAATCTGTGCGACATCCTAGAGCTGTCAGGATAGAGTCAGCAATAGAAGCCAGATTTAATGACTGTGAGCTTAGTTTCTTTCCACCAAAGGGCAAGATGAAGACCTTTCAAATAATTTAGAGGCCAAGGCACTGACTAGTCACTGTCCCCTGGGTTTTATTTTCCTGGCTCCCAGAATATTATTGACACCTCATTTACGTGTCTGTGTCATGCCTCCGGGGCCAGAACCATATGGATCATACACACGAGTGGATCATAAGGTGGCCTCAGGTAAGTGACCATCCGCTAAAGTCTCCGTTTCCCGTGTGAAGTAGGGGTGATAACAGTACTTACCATTTGGGGTTGTGAGGACTCAAGGAGAAAACACAAAGAGCATGGCATGTGGTGAAAGCAAATTAACTGTTGGCTATTACTCTCACATCTTTACATTCACACATATGGCAAACTGGAAAGAAAAGAGGCTCAGCAGGTGCTCTATGAAAAGATCAGTATGGAAAAAGATCTAAAACAGAAGCCTTGCTCAAAAGCAAGTTAGAGGACAATATGTACAATATGGGATTACACACACTAAACTGTATGCATGACTCAGGAAAACGTACAGGTCTGTAAAATAGTGTGAAATATTCTGGAAGGATAGATGCTAAATTCTTGACAGTGATTGTTCGCTGAGGAGAGGGCGAGGACTGGGACTGCTGATGGGGAACAAAGGAGATTTCAGCATTAACTAGAATGTTTCATTTCTTTGATTAAAATAAAAAAGACTTGAAGTATATGCAAAAAATATTAAATAGGGTCAATTCTGGGGATAAGTATGTGAGCAAATGTTTTATTATTTTTATTCTCTTATGGATTTTAAACAGTTCTTGAAATAAATAAAAAGAAAGAGACAGAGGAGGAGAAAGGGATTAAAACAATGTCTGTGTTCAGGTGGGCAGGAATTTGCTGGAGATGGAATTAGCTAAACTATAAATATAAAAATTAGTGGGGGAAGTGGAGTTGGTCCTGCAGTAGCAGTGTGGATCTCGCAGGTGGTGCTGCTGGCTCCAGCCAGCTGTGTCACCATCGGAAAGAAGCAGAGGACAGGAGAGCCACCGGATGGGAGGAATGTACGGTCGCCATCAGCAAGGGAGGGTTTGCGTGAGTGGCTCTGGATGATAAGGACACTGCACAGGCCCATAAGTGACGAGAGAAAGGGTGACCGTAGTGCTCAGCAGAGAGCAGCTCTCTGTCCTGAGCCTTGTTTTGCCTTCTCTGAGGATTCAGGATCCTGTGGCAAGGGTGAGGGTGCCTAGTCTTCTTGAATCTGGAAAACTATGTGACTCTACTGCACATACTATAAAGAGAAAGCACATATCAGAACTTTTCTGCAGCAGACCTGTTGAACACTGGGGAGACAGAGACAGGAAAGTATTTGGCTAGGGCCAGACTGGCAAGTAAACACAGCAAACTCAACACATGGCACAGAATGCATTCTTTCCACTAAAATGGCACTAAAGAAATATTTGTTTCCCATCAAATATATGTGTTATATATTAATTAATTAATACATGCAGACACATGCATGACCACAAAACAAAGAGGAAGAATGAGGAGGTATGACTGTCTCTCTGCATCGGCACCTCAGAGAGGAAGGCACACAGAAAGCAAGTGGAATCACACCACAGAACCCTAGAAAGGCTCAGATCCTCAAGTCACCAGCTACCTTTGAAGGTGGAGGTGTGCAGGGGGCTGAACCAGGAAGACTGGTTGAAAGAAGGAAAAAGGAGCAGGTGCACTCCTCAAATCCCTTCCCCTCCTTCCTGCATAGTGGGGACAACCATCCCTTCACCTTGACAGGAGACACACATTTCCCTCTGGAGACCATGAACAGAGAAGATCTGAACTCCGGGGACCTAGGCACAGCAGAGGGTAGAATCCTGTAGCAGCTGAGAGCAAAGGAGTTACATGGAAGTCATATCCCGGATGGTGAGACCCCCCCAGTTCCCTTCCCTCAATTGGCTTTCAGGCCCCCGTGATACAGTCTTAAACCCCAGGCAGGAGACTGGAGAGTCCCTTTCGGGAGCCGCTGACTGGCCCAAGAGGAAAGAGCTACAGATACTGAACGACCTTCCCTCTCTCTGTCCCTCTCTCCTTTCTTCCATAAATATTGATCAAGTCCTTACTATGGAATAAGCCCATTTTTAGACCCTGAGGATATAGCATACAACAAAGTTCCTGCCCTCCAAGAGCTTATGTTCTAATGGGAAGGAGACAGAAAAAAAACAAATTTATCAGCGTTAAAAAGGGGCTATGGAGAAACACAAAACAGTGTTAAGTAGACTTGGAGGAACACATTGCTTTAGTTAACATATTTAGGGAAGGTCTCTTGGGTAAGGTGACAAATGAGCTAACACCTACACAACTGGAGGACACAGCCATGCAGATCTGAAAGGGCATCCCAGTGAGAAGGCACAGAAAGCACTAGTGTGCTGGGCAGGGGTATCCTAGTGAAACATCTAATCCCTGCCTGATAACCCTCAGTGAAGCCCACAAACCCATCCATATACTAGAAGCTTCCAGCCAGCTTTCACAATGCCTAACATTTAAAGGGGAATGGGGGCAAGAAAAGCCTGGGCTGCTGCCCCTAAACTGTAGGCAGGGGTGACCATGGGCTACCATCCTCGAGGCTTGGGGTGGAGGCACAAACAAAGCTCTATTTTAGGACCTGCCTCTACAGACTGCACACTGTCCTGGATCCCAGTGAAGCCAGACCTGAGGTCAGGAGAAGCATGGCCTGCTGTCCTCAGGGCTTAGATGTGCACAGGCTATGCACTCAGGGCTGAGGGGCAACCAAGGTGCTGGCTACCACAGCAGGGGCTGAGGTATGAGCACCACGGGCATTTCCCACCTGCAGGCCTAGGCTACTGTCACTGAAGGTGGCACTGCCCTCTCCAGGGAAACAAATGAAAATGAAAACAAAATAGACCAAAACCTGTGGGACACTGCAAAAGCAGTACTCAGAGGGAAGTTTACAGATTTAAGCCCCTATATACAAAAGTAGAAAGGTTTCAAATCAACAATATAATAATGTACCTCAAGAAACTAGAAAAGGAGGAACAAATCAAACTCCTAAATTAGCAGGAGGAAAGAAACAATAAAGATTAGAGCAGAATTAAATGAAATAGAGACTACATAAAAATACAAAGGATCAATGAAATGGAAAATTGGTTCTTAGAAAAGATAAACAAAATTGATAAACTGCTAGCTAGACTAACCAAGAAGACAGAAGACCCAAATTAACAAAATTAGAAGTGAAAAAGGAAACATTACAACTGATGCCACCGAAATACAAAAGATCATCAAAGACTATTCTGAACAACTATATGCTAACAAACTAGAAAACCTAGAAGAAATGGATAAACTCCTGGAAACATGCAATCTATCAAGATTGAATCAGGAAGAAATAGAAAACGTGAACAGATCAATAATGAGTAGTGAAATGGAATCCATAACAAAAAGTCTCCCAACAAAGAAAAGCTCAGGACCTGATGGATTCACTGACAAATTCTACCAAACATATAAAGAGGAACTAATACCAATCCTCTTCAAACTATTCTAAAAAATTAGGTGGCACATGCCTGTAATACCAGCTACTTGGGAGGCTGAGGCAGGAGAACTGCTTGAGTCTGGGAGTTTGCGATTGCAGTGAGCATTGATTGTGCCATGACATGCCAGCCTGGGCAACAGAGCAAGACCCTGTCTATAAAAAAAATAAAGTAAAAATAAAAAAAAAATCCCAAAACCAAAGAGGAGGGAATACTCCTTAACTCATTCTGCAAGACCAGCATTACCCTGACACCAAAACCTGACAAGAACAAAACAACAAAAGAAAACTACAGGCCAATATCCTCAATGAACACAGACACAAAACTTCTCAAAAAAATACTAGCAAACCAAATTTAACAGAGCATCAAAAAGATAATACACCATGATCAAGTGGGATCTAACCCAGGGATGCAAGGATGGTTTAACAGACACAAATCAATAAACGTGATACATTAGATCAACAAAATCGAGGACAAAAACCATATGATCATTTCAATAGACACAGAAAAAGCATTTAATAGAATTCAACATCCCTTCATAATAAGAAGTCTCAACAAACTAGCCATATAAGGATATACCTCAAAATAATAAAAGCCATCTATGACAAACCCATAGCTAACATCGTACTGAATGGGGAAAAGTTGAAATTCTTTTCTGTAAGAACTGGAACAAGACATGGATGCCCACTCTCACCACTCGTATTCAACATAGTACTAGAAGTCATAGGCAGGGCAATCAAGCAAGAGAAAGAAATAAAAGGCATCCGAATTGGAAAAGAGGATGTCAAATTGTTCCTTTTTGCAGATGACATCTTATATTCAGAAAGACCAAAGGATTCCACCCAAAAACTCTTAAGGGTTGATAAGCAGATTCAGTAAAGCTGCAGGATACAAAACCATCATACAAAATTCAGTAGCATTTCTATACACCAATAATGAACTAGCTAAGAAAGAAGTCAAGAAGGCAATCCCATTTACAATAGCTGCCATGGAAAAAAATTCCTAGGAATAAATTTAACCAAGGAGGTGGAAAATCTCTACAACGAAAACCACAAAATACTGATGAAAGAAACTGAAGAGAATACAAACAAATGGAAACTCATCTTATGCTCATGGATTAGAATAATTAATACCATTAAAATGACTGTACTGCCCAAAACAATATACAGATTCAATACAATCTCCATCAAAAATACCAAAAATCCAAAAATGTCGTTTTTTTTGTTTTTTTTTTTTTTTTTTGAGATGGAATCTCGCTCTGTTGCCAGGCTGGAGTGCAGTGACACAATCTCAGCTCACTGCAACCTCCACCCCACAAGCTCAAGCGATTCTCCTGCCTCAGCCTCCCGAGTAGCTGGGACTATGAGTGTGCGGCACCACACCCAGCTAATTTTTTTGTATTTTTAGTAGAAATGGGGTTTCACCATGTTGGCCAGGATGGTCTCCATCTCTTGACCTAATGAACCACCTCGGCCTCCCAAAGTGCTGGGATTACACACGTGAGCCACTGCACCCAGCCCAAAAATGTCATTTTTTACAGAAACAGAAAAAAAAAATCCTAAAATTCATGTAGAACCAAAAAAGAGCCAGTATAGCTAAAGCAATCCTAAGAAAAAAGAACAAAGCTAGAGGCTTTGCAGTCACTACCTGACTTCAAAATATAGTACAAGGCTATAGTAATCAAAACAGATGGTATGAGTATAAAAACAGCCCAACAGAGTATACTGGAACACCCAGAAATAAATCCACATATCTACAGCCAACTGATACTCAACAAAGGAACCAAGAACTTACACCAGGGAAAGGATACCCTCTTCAATAAATGGTGCTGGGAAAATTGGATATCCATATGCAAACTGGACCCCTATCTCTCATCATATACAAAAATCAACTCAAGATTGATTAAGGACTTAAATGTAAGACCTGAAACTATAAAAATAATAGAAGAAAACATAGGGAAACCAGTTCAGGATATTGGTCTAGCCAAATGGGACTGTATTAAATTTAAAAATTTATGCACAGCAAAGTAAATAATCAATAGAGTGATAAGGTAATCTGTTGAATAGGAGAAAATACCCGCAAACTATTCATCTAACAAGGGACTAATATCCAGAATGTACAAATAAAAATTTCATTAAAAAATGGGCAAAGGACATGAATAGACACTTTTCAAAAGAAGACATACAAATAGCCAAAGGGTATATGAAAAAATGCTCAACATCACTAAGCATTGGGAAAATGTAAATCAAAACCACAATGAGATATCATCTTACCTCAGTTAGAATGCTATTATTAAAAAGACAAAAATAATAGATGTTGGTAAGAATGAAGAGAAAAAGGAACTCTTATACACTGTTGGTGGGAATGTAAATTAGTACAGAAACCATGGAAAACAGTATAGAGATTTCTCAATAAACTACTACTATTTTTCAAGCTGAGAAATAAATTTTTAAAAATCTAAAAGTACAACTATAGGAAATGGATAAATTTCTGGAAACATGCAATCTACCAAATGATCCAGCAATTTCACTTCTGGCTATCTATCCAAAAAAAAAGAAATCAGTATTTCAAAGGGATATCTGCACTCACATGTTAATGTGGCACTATTCACAATAGCAAAGAGATGGAATCAACCTAAGTGTCCATCAATGGACGTAAGGGTAAAGAAAATGTGGTATATTTACATAATGCAATACTGTTTGGCCATAAAAAAGAATGAAATCATGTCATTTGCAGCAACACGGATGAAACTGAAGGTCATTATGTTAAGTGATATCATTCAGGCCCAGAAAGACAAACCCCACATGTTTTCTCTCATATGTAGGAGCTAAAAAACTTGATCATATGAAGATAGAGAACAGAATGATAGATGCCAAAGGGTGGGAAGGGTGTGAAGGTGGAAGGGGGAAATGAAGAAAGGGGGGTGAATAGGTAGGAATTTACAGTTAGTTAGAAGAAATAAGTTCTAATGTTCCATAGCAGACTAGGGTGACTATAGTTAGCAACAATGTATTGTATATTTCAAAGTAGCTAAAAGGACTTGAAATGCTACCAACACATAGAAATGATAAATACTCAAGATGATGAATACTCCAAATAACCTGACTTGGTCATTACACATTCTATGCATGTAAAAAGCATTCACATGTAGCCCATAAATATGTAAAACACTATGTATCAATAAAATTAAAAATTAAAAAAAGATAACAGCAACTGTTGATGAAAATGTGAAGAAACTGGAACCCCTATATACTGCTTGTGGGAATGTTCAAAGGTGTGGCCACTTTGGAAAACAACCTGGCAGTTCCTCAGGTGGTTAAATAGAGAGGTGTGATATGATCCAAAAATTCTACTTCAAGATACATACCCAAGAAAAATGAAAACACATGTCCACACAAAAACTTGTTCATGAATCTTCACAGCTGCATTATTCATAATAAAAAGTGGAAACAACCCAAATGTCCATCAACTGATGAATGGATAGATAAAATGTAGTATATCCATACACTGGAATACTGTTCAGCAATAATAAGATTTTGATACACGCTATTAATATAATATGATGAACCCGCTAAGTGAAAGAAGCCAATAACAAAGGATCATGTATTGTATGATTCCATTTATATGAAATGTATAGAATATACAGACAGAAAGTAGATTAGTGGTTGCCTAGGGCTGGGGAATTAACTGGGGGGATTGGGAGGTGATGGCTATTGGGTATGTGGTTTCTTTCTGGAGTAATGAAAATGTTCAAAAATTGATTATGGTGATGGATGCAAACTCTGTGAATATACTAAAGCCATGGAATTGTGCACTTTCAGTGGGTGAATTGTATGGTATATGAATTGTATCTCAATAAAGCTGTTTAAAATGTTCAAAAAAAGACTGTAACATGAAAGATGACCAACAGCAAATAGAGAAAAGTAATGACTCAGAGGACATGGATACAGTTCAGTAAGCAGAATACAGCTTCAGGAAAAAAAAACCCTAAATTATCCTCAGAAAGATAAAAGGAAGCATTATTACATCTTTGAAATAGGAATAAATAAAATGATATGAAAAAATAACATTTAGTGAACAAGAAAGTGCTCTTGTAAATTAAAACTATGAGCGACATAAATAATTCAACAAATGGGTTAGAAAGTTAAGTTGAGGAAATTTCCCAGAATGTCAAATCAAATGACAAAGATAAAAAATAGAAGAGAAAGTATAAGAGAATAGAAGAATCAAATGAGGAATTCCACCATCTAATTTAGATGTTCCAGTAAGAAATATGATGTTCCAGAGAAAATATGAGCTAGGAAAGTGCCAAAGTCACACAACAAATTTTCCCACATATGAAGGACATAAGATTCCAGGTTAAAGATCCTACTAAGTAGCCATTACAAGAAATGAGAAAAGATCCGCACCAAAGTATATTATTAAGAAACTTTGGAAGATCTTAAAAGTTCTGGAGGGGGAAAAAGCAGGTCATCACAAAGACCTGGGAATCAGGTTCACATAAATTTTTCAAAAGCAACACTGGGGGTGAGAAGATAATAGATCACTTCCTTCTAAATGCTGAGGGAAAAATTAGTGACCATTCCCAGACAAAGTAAATGAAGTATGAGAACAGAATAAAGAAATTGTCATTCAGGCATAAAAAAAATTCACCTTCATCCTCTCTTTGTATTTATGCGAAGAAAAATAAAAATAATAAAATAAAAACTTCACCTCCAATGCATTCACAAGGAACTACCAGAAAATGTGTTCCACCAAAACAAAGGACCAACTTAAGATAAAGAAAGTTATGGGATACTATCACTTGAGGCCAGGAGTTCGAGACCAGCCTGGCCAACATGGCAAAACCCCTTCTTTACTAAAAATACAAAAATTAGCCAGGCATGGTGGTGCGCACCTGTACTCCAAGCTACTCAGGAGGCTGAGGCATGAGAATTGCTTGAACCTAAGAGGCGGAGGTTGCAGTGAGCCAACACTGTGCCACTGCACTCCAGCCTGAGAGAGCAGGAGTCTGTCTCAAAAAAAAAAAAGAAAGAAAGAAAGAAAGGAAGTTATGGGATCCACAAAACAGAGAATGTGAAATGGAATAAAGGCAAGAAGAATTCCTAAGATAATGGGATGGGAGATCCCAGGATGAGAGCCGTAAAACAGGCCCACAGGACAACTAGTCCAGACTGCAGAGGGAAGGCGGGCAGCTTATGGGAACATCTCAAGGGAGAAAGAGAAACTAATTGACCAGATGTATTAACCAGGTTACAAGAATTTGTGTTGCTCTGACAACACAAATTGTGTTGTGGGGGAAGAATCAGTGATAGTACACAGAAAATTAATGAAGGATAGGTATACAGAAAACTAAGCAATTTTTTTTTTTTGGAGATGGAGTCTTGCTCTGTTGCCAGGCTAGAGTACAGTGGCATGATTTTGGCTCACTGCAACCTCGCCTCCCAGCTTGGGAGGCTTGAACCCACCTCCCGGGTTCAAGCAATTCTCTGCCTCAGCCTCCCAAGTAGCTGGGATTACAGGCACCTGCCACCATGCCCAGCTAATTTTTGTATTTTTAGTAGAGATGGGGTTTCACCATCTTGGCCAGGCTGGTCTTGAACTCCTGACCTCACGTGATCCACCTGCCTCAGCCTCCCAAAGTGCTGGGATTACAGGCATGAGACACTGCACCTGGCCACTTTTTAACTCTAGGGAAAACAAATGATAAAAAAAAAAAGGTGATCATAGTACACTACATGGCTTGGCTCTGAACGATAGTTACATAGTCATCCTAATGCCAACAAGAAATCTGATACAAAGAAAAACTGTGATTTAACTAAACAGGAGGATGAAGCAGACAGGTGCATGTGTGTACTTGCAAGGGCAGAGGGCAATGAAACTAAATCCTTATCTTTCAAAGTAGGAACACAATAGATAATTCCAGTAATGTAATTAGGAAATAGCAGAATAAGCACATAGTTTAGAATATGAAGATACAGACCAAAAAAAAAAGAAGTCTAAAAGAGATGAATATGTTTGCCTCAAAATCTAAAAGTCTGACCATGTGTTATATTGGACAAGGTAGGGTGACACAGGCACTCTGACATATTGCCAGAGGAAGTACAAGTTGACATACCCTCAACTAGCAAAATGTTAAATGCACATACCCCTAGAGCCAGCAATTCCCTTATACTACTTTAATTTATGATGTGTTTGCAGCATAGGGAAGAAGAATAGGGATTGCACTGCAGCATCATTTGAACAGCAAGAGAGCCACCTAAATGCTCATCACTGGGGATTGGTTAAGTACATTATGGTAGATTCCTATCCTTATAATGAAGGACTATGAGCTGGGGGATGGGGGATGGGGAGAGGGAGGAAATGCAAGAGATCTCCAAGGTACAGAAAAATCTGTGTTAAAAGAAAATGGGGTCAATGATGTAATGGCATGTATTAGCTGAATCCAGAGTTGATATGAGTTCTAAAATTACACTGAAGCTGGGTGTGGCAGTTCATGCCTGTAATCCCAGCACTTTGGGAGACCAAGGCGGGAGGACTGCTGGAGCCCAGGAGTTCAAGAGATCAGCCTGGGGCATATAGTGAGACCCTGTCTCTACAAAAAGTAAAAAATTAGGTAGGTGTGGTGGCACATGCTTGTAGTCTCAGCTACTTGGAAGGCTGAGGTGGGAGGATCACCTGAGCCTGGGGGATCAGGGCTGCAGTGAGCCGTGACTGCACTGCTGCATTCCAGCCTGGGCGACAGAGCGAGCCCTGTCTCAAAAATAAACAAACAAACAAACATTAAACATCAAATAAAATTACACTGAGACCTTGAAGGAAAAAAAAAAGTAAATGGGGAGAATATATATACTTGTTTATGCATAAACTATCTCTGAAGGAAAAGGTAGGAGGGAAACATTTCAGTCTACAGTTTTAGATTTTTAAATAACATTAAATATATTTTTTGGAATATATAGTTTTTTTCAAAATTACTTTTTAAAAGAGGAAAAAGAAAAGCAGTTGCTTTCCGAGAATGGGACTTGGGGTAGGGAAGGATGAAGCAGAGGACTGCTGCTTTTTGTTAAAAGTCTTGTGGTTTTACTTCACTCTCAAAACTGTCCATGTATAACTTTGATAATTTTTTTTAATTACAATTAAAAAAAGCAGAGCCTAAGAAAGGGAGCAGAGCCTATGGTGACAAGGAGTGGAAAAGGTACATGGGAAGCATATGTATTTACAGCCTTTGGGAGCAGGGCTGGAAGGCAGGCATGAACCTTTGGAACAGATTCTCGAAAAGGGAAGAAATAATAAAAGCTGTCCCCTGTCAACTGAGCTTACGGCAGTGACGGCGGTGCCCTCTCCAAGTTGCGTGGCACTGAGACGTGACGGGTATTAAAGGCCTTGAGTGAGCATGGAGACTTGCCTGAAGATCCCTCTGACAGTTCTTTATGAGTGAGCCTCTTGAGCTGACCCCACAGCTGCCCACTGTCCCTCCAAGCATGCTGCTCTTATTGTCTGGCGCATTGTAGTGATGGGCCAAGGACCACATTCATCTCTTTAATCATATCTAAAGATGATCTATGGACTGGGGATATGAGAGAGAGAGCATTTTCCAGAACACTGGGTGAGGTGGGAATTACTGTTTAACAGCCCTTAAGCTGGGCCTGCATGTCTGTCCCCGCTAGGTCCCCAAAGGCAGAGCTAGAGAGGGTGTCCTATGTGGCAGAGACTCAAAATCAGCCCGGATCCTGTTTATTCCCTTCTGAAGAGCTTCCTTGGCCCCAGATCTCTGATACCAGTCTAAAGTGGAGACTCAGTGTGCAGGCCTCTGTCTAATCTGGCACCCCAGGAGTATGTTCTTTTGTTCTGCAGGATGCTTAACTGGATTTTATAGCTGTCTCGCTGTCCAGACTTACAGGGAATTCTGGGTTCGTTCCATTCACCCTGTTTGTCCATTCAACAACTATTTATTGAGACCCTCTATGTGTCAGGCTTAGGAAAAATGGGGCCAAGTTGATCTAACCTGACTGCAGACCTGAGGCAGCAAAAAACCGTGTTAGGAGCTATGGGAATTAGTGATTGTTTTGGCCACACGCTGACTAGCCAAAGGCTCACTAAGATCAAAAGTCGCACATGGGAGCCTCACAGACATACCTTGCTGGTTTCCTGAGTATTTTTTAAAAAGTTGAGTTAGCTGCCACTTAAACATTGGGAAATTTCACAGCAAAACAGAGATGCCTCCCTTCTCTTGAAAACCAGAAGATCTGGCATGCATGAGTCCTCTTCCCTGCCTGACAACAGCTGGAGATGAGGAGAGCTTTTGGTGGTCTCTCTTACTGCCTGCGCCTGCCCTGGCCTGCTTTGCTCCCTCACATCACCCATCTGGTCCAAGGAGGTGGCCGAGTGTCTACCCCAGCCTTAGATAGAGCTCGGTGTTAAAATGGACTCTTGTACAGTAATCTCACCAGGTTCAAAATTCTTTGCGGATTTAGCACCAGAACTGACATAAAAATCATGTTTCAGGATTAAGAAAAGTAAATCCTTATACTGTTTTGTTCTTGGCCTCGAGACAGGTACAGCTGAGGACATAAGAACTAACTACAGTCCTCACTTCCTGCTGCCTGCCTTCCCTTGGCTGTGGTTAGCAGAAGTCTGGTTATAGCTGGACCGGTGGGTCTTAACCTTGGCTGCACATCAGAAACACCCGTGGAGCTAAACTTTTGAACTCCCAGACCACAGCCCACACCAATTAACGCTCAAAACCTCTGGGGGGGTGGGCCCTGCTTGAGTCCTTTTTAAATTCCTCAGGTGATTTCAATGTATGGCCAAGGCGGGCCCCTTGCCCAGGTTGGGGATTGAGTGTTAGGAGCAGCTTGCTAGCATGGACATGTGGCATCTTCTGTCCCGACTACAGTCCGCTTCCACCTCCCTGCCTGACTTCCTTCCTGGGATTCCTTGATCTAGGTAGGTGAGCATTTGATGCTTTCTGGCAGAGGAGGAGCTTCAGACTTCTGTCTGGTAAATGCACTTGCATCTACTGCTCTAACGTAAGCCAATCTTGAGTTTTGCCTTCTGTGCTCATAGCATAATTTTCCCTTTTAGAGGGGTTGCCTCTCACAGAGAGCGGCAGGACCCTCCCGCCAGCTCCTCATATTCTAACGCTGTGGCAGCTACAGAAAGGGATGTGTCCCAGGGGCGTCCATGGCGGTTTGAATGACTACGTGGGGAGACAGGGGAAGGGGGTGTTTTAATGCTCGACGTCTCACTCAGTACCCCAGCCCCAACCTTGCTCCCACTCTGCCATACAGCCTCCTTGATTCCCCTAAGGGGATGCAGTAATTGATGATTAGCATTCCAAAGCTTGGCTTACATCCTGCTAGCCCGTCATATTTAATTACATTTTAACTATATTCGTCTTCGATAATAGCACGAACATAATTTAGATAATTATCTCTCTCTCTCTCTCTTATTCTCTGACTCTGTCTCACTTAGAACTTCCTGCAACAAAAATCACTTTCTCGGCTCAAACACATAAACAGACTCTGGGGCCAAGTGCTTTTCTCTCTCCTGCAGCAGCAGCTGTGCTAGAAACGCAATGATTTTGAGTATCATGCAGAAAAAAGCAAATTCGTGTTTCTTCCTGTCTCTGTATTCATGTTTGTACACAAGTGGTGGTGGGAGAGTGCGTGTGTTTGTGTGTGTGTGTGTGTGTGTGTGTGTGTGTGTGTGTGTGTCTGCATCTGGGCAAGAGTTTTTGTGTAGTACAGAAAGAGGAGACGCCTAGTCAATCAAATTAGTCTATGAAGCACCCTCTTGGTCTGGCATTTCTTTCTTACAAGGTTTAATGGTTTCGCTCCCAAATTTAAACTCTGTTGAAACAGTTCTAAATGTCTAGTAAGTCTTTTGAAGAGATGTGTTCTTTCCAATAGGGTTTCTGTCACACTTGGATCTTATAATTAATTACCTTTACCCTTGTCTATTATCCGCCTTCTCCAAGAGACCATCAGGTATGAGAGAGAAACTGGGACTCTTCAGGGAGAGTGTGTCTTGAACACACTGCTACACATTACCAGGCGTCCCAGTCCCTCCTGAACACCAAGTGGGTCACACACATCTGAGTTCCTCGGCCTAACAGCTCCCCTCCCCTTCCCCATTCTGGGCAAAAGGTATCAGAGCCTTTGTTGGTTTTCCTAGAGAAGCTGGCCATTGTAGCTGAGCTCTTTAGGTACAAAGATTTTTATGTTGCAAAGTTCAAGTCTCTGAGAAGATTCTGAACAAATAAGGAATAAGAAATGGGTTCATAAGGCCAGGCACGGTGGCTCACGCCTGTAATCCCAGCACTTTGGGAGGCCGAGGCGGGTGGATCACGAGGTCAGGAGATCGAGACCATCCTGGCTAACACGGTGAAACCCCGTCTCTTCTAAAAATACAAAAAATTAGCCGGGCATGGTGGCGGGCGCCTGCAGTCCCAGCTACTCAGGAGGCTGAGGCAGGAGAATGGCGTGAACCTGGGAGGCAGAGCTTGCAGTGAGCTGAGATAGCACCACTGCACTCCAGCCTGGGCAAAAGAGCGAGACTCCGTCTCACAAAAGAAAAAAAAAAAAAAAATTCACTCTAGGCTATGTGCAGTGGCTCACACCTATAATCCCAGCACTGTGAGAGGCCTAGGTAGATGGATCACTTGAACCCAGGAGTTCAAGACCAGCCTGGCCAACATGGCGAAAGCCCATCTCTACTAAAAAATACAAAAATTAGGGGGGTGTGGTGGTGCATGCCTATAATCCTAGCTACTCAGGAGGCGGAGGCACGAGACTCGCTTGAACCCAGGAGGTGGAGGTTGCAGTGAGCTGAGATTAAGCCACTGCCCTCCAGCCTGGGCAACAGAGCAAGATTCTGCCTTAAAAAAAAAATCACTCTGGCTCAACCTTGTCTGATGTTGAACAGGAATATGGGGCTATATTTGTGTAGTTAACAAACTCTTGCTGTCACTTGCTTGAGGCCAAAATTCCTAGCTGTTCTTGGCAATAAACACTCAGACCAGATTTCAGGAGCTAGGCAGAGTGTCTAGACCAACATTTTGCCACCACTGTGTTGAGTCCACCAATTGACTCTTCTCGTGTGACTGACCCATGGCTGGGTGATGTGGGGAAGGGAAATCAGCAATTTGCTGATTCTGGCAACTGCGTAGTAACCTGTTGACCCACCAGAAAAATTATTATAGAAACCATTTAACGTGGTCCCAGGAGAGGCTGTGGGGTCCTGTCCTTGGTGATGTTAAAGAGGGGCACAGGAGTGGCCCTCCCTTGGTGGCCAGGAGAATGTTAAAGCCTGGAGCTCTTTCTGAGCAGGGGCTCTCCACCCATGGTGCAGGCTCTGGGCTAATCACTCCCATTCCTCAGCGATGGCTGCTGGGTAGAGTGAGGTGGACGCAACACTGGGCAACACTGGTCTGTGCTGAGGGGCCTGCCTGGGGCTGTGGTTTCATGTGTGTGAAATTCCTATACAGAACAAGCTGGGCTACTCTGGGCCAGCCTGCGCTGGGGGACAGGAAGGTTGAGAGGGGGTGACACAGGACTATGGGGCATGACCCTGCACAGGCTTCACAAACTTTGATTTGCTCCCTGTTGCTCAGAAAGTTGTTCCTACTTTTGACCTCTCAGTACCTAGCTTAGAGGCTTGGGAATTTTGCTGAAATTTGCCTGAAAAATAACAAAAACCAGGGTGTAGGTCTCCACTAAATGGCAATGGCAGAGCCAGCCGCTTGGCCACACCCCTTGCCAGCAGGCATCTCTGGAGGCTGGTGAGGGGAGGGAGAAAATTCAGTCTGCTGTTCCCCAGAGGATTTCCTGCCCCCAGAAAACACAATGCTAAACAAAGTTATTGATTTAATGACGTCAGCAGCTCCTTTCAGCCTGTGAGGAGGGCAGGTGAGCTCTGAAAAGCCTGCTACCTCCAAGGAGACGGCCTCCTCCTCCTGGCTCCGTGTGGCTGTCCAATACCACCCCCTTCTCCCCCAGCAGCGCATTCCCTCCCAGAAGCACCCTGGAAATGTGAAGACTAGGCATGGGCAGGAGCCAATTTTCAAATGTTAAGAATTTGGCAATTTCATTTCCTAATGTTTTAAATACCAAAGGGATTTAGAATACAAAGAGGACTAACTGGCCCCTGAATTTCAGGTGTTTTTTTTTTTTTAAGGCTGCTTTTGTGGAAATTAATGTCAAAAGCCCATGCAAAACAAAGCCCAGCCCTGACCTATGATCTCACACACAGCTAAGCAAGCAAGTGGCCTTCCAGAAGGATCACCAGACGGTCTCAGAATCAAACCTGATCAATTTCATACCTAAAAGTTACACTAAACCCCTGTGGGTATTTTAGATCTAATGACAAGCCAAATTCGTTCAGCACCTGACAGTGGGGAGATATTCAGTAAAAACTTTAAAAATAGACTCTCCCTCTCCAGCCATTAAGGGCCTGATATTTGCAGCTGAACAGACAGGAAGTTGGGAGCACTTGGGAGAGCTTAAAAAAATCTCTGGAGTAAAAAAAAAAATGTTTTCCTATGATGAAAACCATTGCCCTTAGCACAGAGCGGCCCAAGATTAGCCTAGAGCTATTTAACACACTGGAATCTCTGAATATGAGTTCTGTAATAAAAAGGTGACAAGTCTTTGAGGCAGGCCCCATAAAGGCCCTTTCCGGGATCTGCATTAACTGTCACATTCAACACAAAGCACTGCATTCAAGACAGTGAATGATCTGCAAGCCAATGTGAGGCAGTATGTGGCATGTAACAATCTTTCTTCTGGGACAGTTTCTGTCAATAAAAAAGTTGAATTAAAAAAAATAAAAAAATCATGGCTGGGCGTGGTGGCTCACGCCTGTAATCCCAGCACTTTGGGAGGCTGAGGCGGGCGGATCATGAGGTGAGGAGATCGAGACCCTCCTGGCTAACATGGTGAAACCCCATCTCTACTAAAAATACAAAAAAAATTAGCCAGGTGTGGTGGCAGGCGCCTGTAGTCCCAGCTACAGGCTGGGACTGAGCTGGAGGCTGAGGCAGGAAAATGGCATGAACCCAGGAGGCGGAGCTTGCAGTGAGCTGAGATTGCGCCACTGCACTCCAGCCTGGGTGACAGAGCGAGACTCCATCTCAAATAAACAAACAAAAATAATAATAATAATAATAATAATTTCTCCCTCTTTTCAAACATTTTCTTGATTTAAAAAAAGTCACCATTAGCACTCTCTGGTGTTGATGACTTTTCGGGTCTGTCTGTGTTGGCCTAGATTTCTCTCAGGCTTATAAAAGGTGCATGTTCTCTCCAAGGCCCCTCACTCCCCACTGGCTGGCTCCAAGTCACTCTCTGGCCCCTCCCTCAGATTCCTGCCATACACTGGCCTAGATGCAGGCAAGGATGGGCTTTCTCTGCAACCCTGCTTTTTCCTGCACATCTCAGCGCCCTCAGCCAGGCTGCCATGTGGCATTATGCCAGTGCCAGAGTGTAGCAAGGACTGACCTAGCCCGCTGGCTCCCTGTGAGTTCACAAAGAAGGTGGACAATGAGACAGGAC
The DNA here is from genome assembly GCF_000001405.40 of Homo sapiens. Lineage (NCBI taxonomy): Eukaryota > Metazoa > Chordata > Mammalia > Primates > Hominidae > Homo > Homo sapiens. Next base: position 38,214,415 of record NC_000006.12, read on the forward strand.
AGGTGACAAGGGCATATGTTAAGTACATACATTAAGTTAAATAATTTAAATCATTTGACACAAAAACCAGATGCCAAGACAGGCAGGGGGATCAGCTGGGCACTGAGAGAGGCTAAAGGTGTGACAGGGCAGGGAGAGTCTGCAGGTCACTTTAGTTGGCCAGAAGAGCGAAAACAGGGAGGAGGAGGCTGCAAGGGAGGTCGCGTGCTTTTTGTGAGGAATCCTAATTCCCCTCAAACCAGCAACCCCAGAGATTCCCAACCCATATTTTGCCAGCCTGGGCTTCCTGTGTGCCCAAGGTTTGATGCCATGTATTTCATTACACCTGCTTTGAATTTTGTTCATGCCGTCAGGGCTAAGATATCAAGCAATGACTTCTTTACTACTTCATAGTAAACAAGCAGCCATAAGACACAAGAAAATATGGCTTCCTTTCAGACTGTGTTTCAGTCTACCCCTAGCTATTCACCGTACCAGTCCCCTGCCCTGAGGGTTTTGCAGAGCTGAAGGCAGATGCCAAAAAGTCAAAAATTGCATTCAACAAGGTTAAAAGTTATCCTTGGCACACGGAAATCTCTCGCAATAAAATAACATAAGGCACTTGCTGAAGCTACATCAGCTGATTTTTCTGTATTATTTCTTGAGGAGGAAGGTTGCTGGGTGAAGGGGATGGGTGAAAAAACTGACCAGTAACTCTTTCTGATTCTATTGTCAGGCTTTAAAATCAGATGGATCAGCTATTAATCTCAGAAAGCCAGCAGTGAACGTGTGCAATAAATTTGTCATCATTTTATGAATAAGCTCTCGGTCATGAGGGCTTACTGTCTGGCAATTCACCTTTTCCATGATATTTTCTATCACTTGTATTTTGGAGCAGCTTAGAAAGAATATTATTTGTGTTCCTGCAGATCTGAACATAAAAAGCCCTTAGAGTGATGGAGACGAACAGGCAAGCTTCAATGTCGGCCTCCGGGCTCGCTAAGCAAATAGTTTACCCACGCGCGAGTGAACAGCACCAGGGGACAGGAATCACTCTTCCCAGGCCAGGAGAGCACTCATCCCCTCAAGAGCTGCTAATGAAGGCCCTGTTAGCGCTGGATGACGTCGCACATACCCATTGGCTTTCTGTCAAAGATTGTCAAATAGAGCTGTTGGTAATCACAGCTGGCAAGTTATTTAGTCAATATTTTTGAAAAGTTCAACGGAGTGTGTGAAAGCATAAAGTAGATTTTCCTAAAGTTATCAGATGATTTACTCATCTCCCCACTTTGTGATGGCTCAGCTGCCATCAGAATCACACTGGTGTCCTGCTGGGCAGCCCTGGAGGGGTGTGGGGCAGGAGATGTAGAGACAGATGAAATTTCAGCTGTTTTATCATTCAGCTGTTTTTTCCCATCAAGTCAGCAGAACTCTAGATCTGAAACTCCATACTGCGGAGGCTTTAGAGATTAACAATAACAACAAAAAAATCAGACCAATCCCTCCCCACCTGCGCCCCCCACACCACTGCCACTAATCCTTCCATTGTTCCATTCCATCCCTTGCCTAAATACTGCCCCAGGGGGAAGGCCCTCAATATCAATTTTCGGGTTCTGAGGAGGACATCTCTATTTTCACCTTTCACTTCTTGTGAAGAAGCACGGCTCTGTTCTATAATTAGAGATGACAAGTATTCTTTTGGGGCCATTTCTTCTGGATGTAACAAAACATCACAAAGGGGAAACACACTCAATTAAGAATGCAACTCTGACATTGTACAGTTTGTTGACTCAGAGCACGTGATTGGGCCTCTACTCTGAGTGATGGCTGTACCCTTGGGGTATCCATCTTTGTTTTTATGATTTTCATTTTCTTATCTTCAGTTTTATAACCTTCATGAGAAAGAAAAACCATGACTCCCAACTTTGGGTCAAAATGCCCCAATTAGCAGACAGACCTGTGGACCAGCAGACTGGTACAGGATCTGTGGAGCACTCCTCACAGTCCTTGGCTAGGACTATGGTGGCCAAGCAAGTCTATCAAGCCTTCTGCAGAAATGGAAGCATTTGGGAAACACAGGCTCCCTCTTAAGATCTTAGACGTTAGAATTCCCAAGTCTGAGTCCCTGGAGAAGTGGATTTTCTGCATGTATAATGGCAGGTTTATGTCCCATCTCCTAAACTCTATTATTTCCCTGTGGACCACAGTGGTTGGCAGCTGGTAAAAGCATCTGAAGGATTTGTCATGGTAGTGAAATTCTCACTGGTCCTCATAACAGAACCACTATACAATGAACTGTGTTGCAGCTGTCACTAACACCTTCATAGTCAGTGAGGAATACAGCAACCACCTTCTGGGCAACCCCAGTGATGCTCTAGTCCAGGGCTTCCCATCGGTGGGGGAGGGGTGTGCATCCACAAGTGATTCTGATGCACATTCTGATGCGCTATTCCAAGGTTCTCAAACATGAAGTTCAGCATCACCTGTTGGGGATGCTAAACACAGACTGCTGGTCCACCTTGGGGTTTCAGATTCAGTAGGTAGGAGAGGTGGGGCCTGAGAAGTTGCATTTCTAATATGTTCCCAGGTGATGCTGATGGCCTGGGAGCCACACTTTAAGAATCCCTGTTCTGGGCCAGGCGCAGTAGCTCATGCCTGTAATCCCAGCACTTTGGGAGGCCGAGGTGGGTGGATCATGAGGTCAGGAGATCAAGACCATCCTGGCCAACATGGTGAAACCCTTTCTCTACTAAGGATACAAAAAAAAAAAAAAAAATTAGCCAGGCCTGGTGGCGGGTGCCTGTAGTCCTAGCTACTCAGGAAGCTGAGGCAGGAGAATCGCTTGAACCCGGGAGGCAGAGGTTGCAGTGAGCCGAGATAATGCCACTGCACTCCAGCCTGGGTGACAGAGCAAGACTCCATCTCAAAAAAAAAAAAAAAAAAAAAAAAGAATCCCCATCCTACAACAAAGTGGTCAAACCTATGCTCCATCAGGTAGAAGGTGGCAAAGTGGAAAAATCAAGGGAGGCTTTAAGAATAAGAAAGTAAGGAAGACTTAGGAAGATAATTTTAGTGACAGTGAGGATGAGGGACTGACATGGAGATACCGTGGGCAAGAAGGTTCCAAATGCAGCTCTCAAAAGTATTCCACAGGTATCCTGGTCAGGCGGAGAGGTTTGTGAATCCAGGATTACTAGGGTGGGAGAGGGGCTGTGATGGAACAGAATGTCTAACAGACTAGGAATCACAACATCTGGGTTTGGGCCCAGTTTGGTTTTTTAAACATTATTATTTTTTTCTTTTTTCTTTTTTTTTTTTTAACTGAGAGAGACAGCCAACACGTGGGCCCAGGTTTTGCCCTTCACTGGCCGCATGGCCTTGGGCAAATCACTTGATCACTTGAGTCTCTGCTGTCACACCTGGAAAACCCTATGCTGCAGGGAGCTGCGCAAGTCAAACGAGGCAGAGGCTGGCAGAGGCTGCTGTAAACTATCCCTATGAAGGTAAGGCCTTACCCTGCTGCTGCTCCATTGTACCCAAGGGATGTCCTACCTGTTGCAGGACCAACTGACCCTCCCTTACATGCTAAGTCTACCCTGGGCTCTGCCTTCAATCTACTCCTTAGGAAGGAGGAATATGGGAACTAGCTCAGCAGTCACGTGAGCCTTGTTCTGGATCCCGTTCTGGTTGTGTAGTTGGGTCCTAGGAACTGGCTCTCACTGGTTCCTGATAATTCACCAGTATGTCATACCTCTGGTTCCAGTAATTATTCTATATTCAAGTCTATGCCTACCCCCAGGGGCAACAAATGTTTTCTGTAAAGAGCCAGATAGTAAATATTTTAGGCCACACAGATCTCTGTCACACATTCATTTTTAAAATGTAAAAACCATTCTTAGCTTTGTACTAAAGCAGATTGCGGACAACTTTGGCCCTAATTCCTGTTCTACCCAATCCTCTGAACTTCTGAAAGGCCTAAGTTCCTGTTGTAACCTTTCCAACCCTCTTTGTGCTGCAGTCTGTTTTCTGAACCTGCTACCACTTGCCTGGAACACTCCCTAACTGCCAGATTCTATGCTGTGCTAATTTACCTGTTGTCCTGAACAACCCAACCCCTTGGACCTGCCAGATGTCCCCTGGGATTTCTTATCCTGACTTTCACTCATTTCTACTTTAGATCCCTTCCCAAATATTCTGTGCCATTCCAGTAGGTGTGGCCCATGTCCAGGCCCTGACTTTCCTGGTCTGGAATGTCTACCACTAGTTGCCTAGCCTCTAAATCCTGAAGTTGAATGTGTGTGTGGCACGGACAGAAGCTCACAAGAAGGACAGCCATACTGAGGCTATGATGGGGCAACTTCATGAAGGAAATGCTGGTCAGCTTGACTTAATTTTTTTTATTCTCAAATCCCAACTGATCAACTGACTATATATTTCTCAGGCATAAAAATTGAATGACAATTTCTAGTTCTACATGGCATTTTATCTGATATGGGAAGAACAATCCATTTATGAGGGTGACTTTTAGAAAGACCATCTCCAGTATACTTTTTTGGAGTACCCGCCCAGGCTGTGTACCAGGTTTGGTGATACTGACAGTTACTAATGACTGACTAGCTCTTTGTATAGGGTCTAGCAAGGAGCAATACAGCCCAAGTGCTGCCCAGTCTATTTCTTCAGAAGGAGGATGAGGAGAGGGACAGATAGTATTAAGTCATTACTATCACTTTCTTTTCTTTTTTTTTTTTTTTTTTTTTTTTGAGACCGAGTCTTGCTCTGTTGCCAGGCTGGAGTGTAGTAGCACAAGCTTGGCTCACTGCCAGCTCCGCCTCCTGGGTTCAAACAATTCCCCCACCTCAGCCTCCTGAGTAGCTGGAACTACAGGTGTGCGCCACCACACCCAGCTAATTTTTTTTTTTTTTTGTATTTTAGTAGAGACAGGGTTTCAGCATGTTGGCCAGGATGGTCTCAATCTCTTGACCTAATGATCCACCCACCTCAGCCTCCCAAAGTGCTGGGATTACAGTTGTGAGCCACCATGCCCGGCCTCACTTTTTCTTTTTTAGACTAAATACTCTCTCTTTACTGAATCACCCACCTAGGTTCACTTCTCCACTTTCAACTTTCTGAGTCTCTGACTTAAAACTGTTCCATTACGTCATATCACCTAGATGCTGGGTTGTCATGCATCTTACCTGAGCTATTATGAAACAACACAATAGCAGAATTTGGTTATTCACTAAGAATAAATAAAGCCAGATGGTCTCAAGATGAGTGTGTGTTCTTACAGTAAAATGAACTCAGCAGTCACTAAAAAGATGAAAAAGCAGATACTGTTGGCTGGTTTTGCCATATAAGCCACCAATAAACATTTGTTATACTTTTCTGCAACATGATGACCTAAAATACATATACAATTATAAATCGTTTCAAACACTAAGGAGGGCATTTGGCTATCTCTGCCATCTTTCCTCTCCAAAGAGCTGGATAATTAGACCCTCTTTGAAGGATACATTTTTAATATGGTATATCAGTAATATTTCATGTTATTTAATATGGTAATATGGTATATCAGAGTCATGTGTTGATGTGGCTTTCTGTGCTTAAAATACCTAACCAACCACGGAAGTAAATTTGTTAACTATCAAGATAATGAAAAAGTGCGTCTACCTCTTGGGCTGATGTGTTTTGCGTCTCTGGGCTGGTGGCAATGGAGGTGGGTACAGGGAACATGAGGCTGAGAACATGGCAGTGGGTGATGGTGTTGGGGGACATGCCCTAGATGGTGAGCGTGCCCTCTCAGGGCACGGCCCCACCTTCCTCAGCACTGTGGGTCTGCAATACTGACGTTCACTAGTCCCACTGCAAAGCAGGCTGTGTTCTCACAGCTCCAAACTGAATACAAAGGTTCTTTGAATGGGAGTTTACTCTTGGCTTTCTTTGAATAAGCTACTGATTCACTTTGGCAGTGAAAAAAGCTCCATCCCACCCCAAAGTAGCTTGTACTTGAAATACAGCTTCTAAGAAACAGGTATAACCCTATCAGTGTTTTCACTAGGACTTGAATCCTTTCTGCATGGTTTGAAAATATACATTTGTACTGGCCAACAGGGATCTTTTACTCAACTCTCATAAAGTTTTACAATGTATGATTCATTTTAGAAATGAGACTTGATAATGCAGATTTATCACAATGAGAAGGCTGCCTTTAAAATGTGATTTAATGATGCCTATACTTATTTGCTGACATCTTTATAAAACTGTTAGTGTGGAAATATATTTGTCTTTTCAAAAATAATTCTTCCTTTTACAATGTTGTGCAACACAAGAGCCATACACTAAAAATGCAGCCGAAAGAATAGCAGTGGTTTAATTATGCGAAGACAATGTCACACCAAGCACCATCGCTGCCTTCTTGAGATTCTTGGGACACTACCAGGCCTGGCAAATATATTCTCCTTTCCAGCTCCCTCCACCCATGCATGTGAGTCTAGGCTTGGGGATGCTACTGTAACCAGAGGGTAGAGAAAGGCTCTCCAAGGTCATACAGATGCAAGAATGCAGTAAATAAACAGGCCACTGATTATGATTTAGCACTGCTTTTCTTTCTACTCAACCAGGGTTACGAGCAGATCTTGATGATTTAACCTTTCAGCCAATTAGAACAGAAGGTTTGATTGACAGCCAATGAATAAATAACATTTTAGTGCAGGAGACAGAATCATCCTCCCCTATTAATCAGTCCCTCTGCCCATGTGCAGGTAACACAATATTTATCTCGCCACTCTGTTACAGTCCCTTGGGGTATCATTTCATGGCCTACCAGTAAAAACTTCACATCTACAGCAACTGCCCCTCTATTACTGTCGATAACATCTAATTGATATGTCAAACCTCCAAGGAATGCAGTCAATCGAAACACTGCCTCCCAAAAGAAACAGGCAAAAAGGTAAATCAGCACCTGCTTTCCTGTAATCACCCAGCCACCTCCTGTCCAAAAGCCTCCCCCCAGGGAGCCACCACCACCATCTGCCCTTCAGTCTGAGACATCCCAGCATCCCAGATGAAGGGACACATGGGCCAAGAGTACCACTAAATTCCTGCCCACAAAATGTCACAGTGATGCCTGAGGAGTGCCGCCCGTCAATGAACCATTGCATTGAAATAATTTTGCCAGGGGAAACCCAGCTAGACTGTGAATGCCACAAGCATTATGTGGGGTATAGTTTGGAAAAGAACAGTAATAACAACCCAATAACAATATTACAGACTTCCCTCTGAAGAATAAGCAATGCTGTAAGAGATATGATCTCAAAAGGCCGGGTGCGGTGGCTCACGCCTGTAATCCCAGCACTTTGGTAGGCCGAGGCAGGCGAATCACAAGGTTAGGAGTTCAAGACCAGCCTGGCCAATATGGTGAAACCCCACCTCTACTAAAAATACAGGAATTAGCCAGGCCTGGTGGTGCATGCCTGTAGTCCCAGCTACTTGGGAGGCTGAGGCAGGAGAATCGCTTGAACCTGGGAGGCGGAGGTTGCAGTGAGCTGAGAGTGCACCACTGTACTCCAGCCTGGTGACAGAGAGAGACTCTGTCTCGAAGAAAAAAAATAAAAAATAAAAAATAAAGAAAGATGATCTCATTTATCTTCCAAATATCCCTACAGGGTAGGGAGGAGCTGGAATAATTATTCATTGAAGTCCAGCCAAGGAAGAGACTGGTCTAAGTACTTATCATGAATTGGGTATGTTTGACACTGGAATATAAGATTTGTCTTAAATCACAGGGCTCTTAGCTACTCAAATATAAAAATCATATAGCTGAAGAGAGAAAGGACTAAATTAGCCTTAATAATTCATTCAGTTGTTTTTTTTTTTTTTTTTTTTTTTGAGACAGTCTTGCTCTGTCACCCAGGCTGGAATGCAGTGGTGCGATCTCGGCTTACTGCAAGCTCTGCCTCCCGGGTTCACGCCATTCTCCTGCCTCAGCCTCCCGAGTAGCTGGGACTACAGGTGCCCGCCACCATGCCCATCTAATTTTTGTATTTTTAGTAGAGACGGGGTTTCACCGTGTTAGCCAGGATGGTCTCGATCTCCTGACCTCGTGATCCGCCCGCCTTGGCCTCCCAAAGTGCTAGGATTACAGGCATGAACCACTGCGCCAGACCTTGATTTTAATAATAGACAACATGAGATATATTATATATCATTGTGAGGGGAGGGCACCAGGGATGGTAAAGCTTCCAGTTGAAGAATATGTAACACTCATCTCTGTCTCTCAAAAACAGAAATACTCACATTTGTATTCTTACACCTAAGGGTAAAAGGTAGCCAGGGCATGGGAACTATTTAGCAAAAATAAAAAGTAAATGTAAAGATAGACAGACAAACAGGCAAAACATATTTAGAGCTAAACATGTTATACACACGAAAGGAGGTTTGTAGCCTCACATGTTCTTTCTGGCATCCTATTCCAGAAGTTTCGAACCTGAGTTTAGGGGAAGGTTTTATTTTATTTATTTATTTATTTTTTAAGATGGAGTTTTGTTCTTGTTGCCCATGCTGGAGTGCAATGGTGCAATCTTGGCTCATTGCAACCTCCACCTCCCGGGTTCAAGCAATTCTCCTGCCTCGCCTCTCAAGTAGCTGGGATTACAGGTTCCTGCCACCACGCCTGGCTAATTTTTTGCATTTTTAGTAGAGACAAGGTTTCACCATGTTGGCCAGGCTGGTCTTGAACTCCTGACCTCAGGTGATCCACCTGCCTCGGCTTCCCAAAGTGCTAGGATTACAGGCATGAGCCACTACGCCCGGCCTAGAGGAAGATTTTAGATTATCACGACAAACAAGTGAACAGCATCTTAATAGTCAATCCCATGAAACTAGAGCATTAAATAATCACCCTTCTAAATATGGAAAGGTTTTCCTGTGCAGGAATTCTGAAGTTATTTGTATTTTTTTAGAGACAGGATCTCACTCTGTGTCCCAGGCTAGAGTACAGCAGAGCAATCATAGTTCACTGCAGCCTCAAACTCCTGGGCTCAAGCAATCCTCCCACCTCAGTATTCAAGTAGGTGGGACTACAGGCACGAGCCACCATGTCTGGGTAATTTTTATTTATTGTTTTTGTAGAGATGAGGTCTCCCTATGTTGTCCAGGCTGGATTCGAATTCCCGGCCTCGAGTGATCCTCCCACCTTGGCCATCCAGAGTGCTAGATTATAGGTGTGAACCACTGCACTCAGCCAGAGTTCTGAATTTAACATCAGTCCTCTTCCTCTCTGCTCAATTCTGCACCCATTCACGGCTCTGCCCTCACGCTGTCATACTCAGTTTTACCATTTCTGCCAAACATTTTCTTCCATTTCCTTTTTGGATTCTCCTTTTTTTTTTTTTAAACGAAAAATTGGTTATATCCAGCCTTAACATCTTCCCTAAACTTTTCCAATTTCTCATCTTGCTTTAGAAATCCCTGTTCTAGGTTTACTTCTTTCTATAGTTTTTTTGGAGTGACTAGAAATTCCTTAAAATAATGAGGTATGGCCTGGCGCAGTGGCTCACATCTGTAATCCCAGAATTTTTGGAGGCCAAAGCAGGCTGACTGCTTGAGGCCAGGAGTTCAAGACCAGCCTGGGCAACATGGTAAAAACCCACTTCTACTAAAAATACAAAAATTAGCAAGGTGAGGTGGTAAGCACCTGTAGTCCCAGCTACTTTGGGGGCTGAGGTGGGAGGATCACTTGAGCCTGGGAGGCAAAGGTTGCAGTGAGCTGAGATTGTGCCGCTGCACTCCAGCCTGGGTGACAGAGCAAGACTCTGTCTCAAAAGAAAAAAAAAACTTATGAGGTATGGACAATTCAGTAATAAGATTTGAGTCTCATAGTCTGCACGACCTCTTTTTCTATGTTTTCATTCCTCTTGGATTTGTCTATTTTCCTGGCTCAGTTGGCAAGCGCCTGGCCTGAGCAAAATTCCTAATCTCAGATATGGCCATGAGCGTATTTCTGGATGAGGGCCATCTCATTATGATGAGAAAGGAAAGGACTGTCCAAATCCAATGCTACTGCTTCAGGGAAGAGGACCCTTGGGGTAAAACCAATGTTGGATGAAAAATACTTAAGAACCTCACACAAAGGCTTTTTAGAGATTACCATCCAAAATACACACAATGGAGAAGCTCTATCAACTGAAAGGTCTGAACAAGAGTAAGGAAACCACACATGAAGAGTAAAAAATACAAAAGAAAAAACTTGTGTAAGACCAAGATCTATAAGAGAGAGAATGATCCATTATTGAGTCAAAGATCAATATGTAGCTGGTTCAAGTACAAAGGTAACTTTTTTTCCACTTCTAATTTTCATAATTTACATATTTAATCAGAGCTATCCAAATATCACCCATTACAAACCAACGCTTAACGTGGAGCTTGTTTCAGAATATGTGTGTTAGGTAGTACTTACATTGTTTACAAGGCTTGGTCATTCAGAACAAAAATGTAATTTCAAGGTAATAAGTATGATGTTGCAGTTCTATAATCTAACTGGGTATATTCATAAATGTGAGTCAGAAAGTCACACTTAGTTTAAGGTAACTAACTTCTGATGGAATTCTTGCTGGTAGATGGTGAATGTGGGTCTTAATGAGCTCTCCTATGAAAGGGGCACTTACCATGGACAGGAAGATATGAAAAAGCATGCTGGCTCTGTGAGTGCCCCTCAAGGCAGCCTTTGCATTTGTACCAAAATTCAAAGGACGGAAATGTTCAGTCAGAAGTTCTCTTACCTACCTCACTCCAGCTAGGGAACCAAGGCCATCTATCTCTTTTCCCACAATGCCATGGACAAATGGAATAGAAACAAATCAGCAAAGGTAGCTGCCACATCTTGCCCAATGATGTGTCCTAGAGGCTCTGAGATTCACTTGAATGAAGTCACCAGCAGTGAAATTCACAGTTAATGGGAAGATGCAAAATGCTCAGGAGACATTAGAAAGCTAGCCCCATAGACCCTGAAGGTGAAGACCAAAAGCTTCCCCAGTGGTAAGATATAGGAGAGAAGGGGCATTCCCTGGCCCTAAACTTACTAATGTCCTCCTGTGGAACCATTCCTTTAGTAACTATTAATAAAAAACTGTTAATATGTGCCAGGCATTTTATAGGTGCTAAGAATGTAGATATGAACAAAGCAGACATGGTCTCCACTTTTAAGGAACTTAATGCCTAATGGAAAAACTTAAGTTATAAATAACTTAAAATTATAAATTGTGACAGGTGCTATGAAGGAATAACAGGGGAGGCCAACTCTAGCTTGGCTGGAAAGGGTCACTTAACCAGCCAGGCAAGGGCAGGGGTACGAGGGACTACCTATGAGAGGAAAAAGAAGCATCAGGGGCAACCCAGGACTTCAAGGTGCTTACAATCTAGTCAGAACGACCTAATGACATCTGATGTTTGTATAGAGTTTTACCACTTACAGATTACTTTCATTGCATCAATTTATTTAAGGCAGATATGACACACACATAGAGAAGACTAACAATACTGGTACTTGATGACTGAGCACGTTTCATTGGCAAGGCTTAACTATGAGGCCAAAGGCCAAAGGTGGATTAGCTTCTCTACTTTCCAGGGTTCCCAAATCCTAAGGCACACTAGTCTTTTTTGCTCCAAAGTACTTAGCTCTTCCTGTGCCTTGCTTATTTTCTTATAATAACACTTGCTCTCACCTGCCCTCTCTGTTTCTTTGCTCCATCCATAGGAATGTTAGTTAGGCTTGTTCAGGTTACTAGGATAGGTCACCTTAGGTTTCAAAGGGGGGTGGGAGTGTGAAACCACCTCTTTTGTGGAGAACTGATAAGATACTGATCCCCGCGCCTGCACAGTTCAAAGCATGGCAACATATGTATAAGCAACTGTCTGTGGCCACCCTTCTCAAGACAGAACAGGGAACCAGGCAGGACTCAGCAGCTCTTACAGTAACTGAACAGAGCACTACAGTGATGACAGAGTGGGGGCAGGGGTTCCTTGCTGCTGCTCCAACTCTGCAAAAGGAGTCAGGAAATGGGGCTTGGATGGCGTGCAGCAGCCAGCAAGATGGCAGAGGTTCACAGAGAATCTCTAGCTCTGTGACTGCAGATGAGACACAGGCTGAGATGAGTCTGGCTGTTCTGCCCCAACTGCCCCCAAAACAACACACACAACTGAAGAGTAGGCAAGGAGAAAGGTTAAGAATCTAGGGGTGATGGCAAGGTTTTTGACTCTGGAAAAACAAGTATTAAAAATGCTCAAACCTGAGATTTGGGCATAAGAACACTTAAATCTCAAGGTGCTTGCTCAGGGGTGAGGACAGGTGTGTACACACACAAACATGCACACACACACACGCACTCACAGAGTTACCTCCACTGACATAAGAGGCTTCTAAAGTCATTTGTGGTACCATGGGGATCCAATTAACTACAGTCTCTCACAAACATTAAAATCCTAGTTAGACATGAAAACCACTGCTGCGGCCTATCAAAGGCAAGCCTACAGCTGACAGAGCAGCCTTGAATAAAACAAAGATCCAAAGACAGCAGGTTTACTCTGGAAGCAATTGACTTTATAACCACAATTTGACCCAGCATTTTACAGTGGCGACTAGCAGAGGCTGGGGCAATGTGAGGGTTACACTTAACAAGTATGTCCTGGAGAGGCTTGCTCACCCACTGTGTGCCTCAAGTCCCCTTAGTGCGAAGTCACTAGAGAGAGAAACCAAATGCTATACTGAAAGGAGATGCAGAACACTGTTTAGAGGAAGGTCATAAATTTTCTCTGGAGTTTTCTGAGGATTCTGGGATTCTGATTTGCTTCCAAATGAGACCACTTTTAGGGTTTGTACTTTGAGGTCCTGGCTGTCGGCATTAGTGCTGCCACTTGGTTTTGTTTTAGGAGCACATATTTAGTAGGCGGTTACATTCTTCTATATGCTGGTTTTTAATTCCTTGGATCTCTAATCCAAAGATGCTTGAAGGCCTAAACAATGAACCTCTCAAAAATAGGAGAATAAAGAGGCACACAATGAGGTCTGGCAAAGTGCTACAGAGCCCCAGACAAACATGTCAGTTACTGTCCCTATCCCTTCCGCCTGATGAGGCTGGGAAGGAAGGTGATCAGAAAGTGGCTGGGACGGCAGGGCTGGCTGGCCACAGTGGCAGGCTGAGGAATAGGTTCAAGAGTGCTTCAGAGAGGCCATAAAGACTCCTGCAGAAGGTCACGGCTGCATATCTAGAAAGAAACAAGGGATCACTTTCCTTTATGTATGCAGCTCTGCTGCTGACAGAGCTCTGAGAGTATAATGGAGAAGGGGGCCTGGGACTGGCATTCTCTCCTTGCCAAGAACTCAGGGATCTTGTGCTCTGATTAGCAGCCAGACTGGAGAACAGTGAGTTCTGCGGCAATGGGCACTTCTGGAATGCTGTGTGGTCTTTTCTTCTGAAGAAATTCAAAAGTGAATCCTAACTTACATGACATTCTGGAAAATGAGAAACTACGGAGGTAGTAAAAAGATCAGTGGTTGCCAGAGGTTGGTACTGGAGAGTTGGGGAGTAGGGATGAGTAAGTGGAGCACACACTCTGTATGATACTATAACAATAGATGTCATTATACATTTGTCCAAACCCATAAAATGTATAACACCAGGAGTCAACCCTGGCCAGGCACAGTGGCTCAAACCTGTAATCCCAGCACTTTGGGAGGCAGAGGTGGGCGGACTGCTTGAGTCCAGAAGTTTGAGACCAGCCTGGGCAAAATGAGGAAACCTTGTCTTTACAAAAAGTACAAAACTTAGCTGGGCATGGTGGCCATGCCTATAGTCCCAGTTACTCGGGAGGCAGAGGTAGGAGGACTGTTTGAGGCTACAGTGGGCTATGATAACACCACTGCACTCAGCCTGGTGACAGGGCAAGACCCTGTCCCCCCCCCCAAAAAAAAAAAAAAAAAAAGAGAGAGAGTAAACCTATGGACTTTCGGTATTATGGACTTTGGGTACTATGATGTGTCAGTGTAGGTTCATCAAATGCAACAAATGTACCACTCTGGTGGAGGATGTTGATACTTGGGGAGGCTGTGCATGTAGAGGGGCAGAAGGGATACGGAAAATCTCTGTACCTTCCTCCCAACTTTTCTGTGAACCTAAAACGGCTCTTAAAAAAAAAACAGTCTCTAGGCTGGGCACGGTGGCTCATGCCTGTAATCCCAGCACTTTGGGAGGCCGAGGTGGGTAGATCGTGAGGTCAGGAGATCGAGACCACCCTGGCTAACATGGTGAAACCCCGTCTCTACTAGAAATACAAAAATTAGCCAGGCGTGGTGGCATGCGCCTGTAGTCCCAGCTACTCAGGAGGCTGAGGCAGGAGAATCGCTTGAACCCAGGAGGTGGAGGTTGTAGTGAGCTGAGATCGTGCCACTGTACTCCAGCCCAGCGGCAGAGCGAGGCTCCGTCTCAAAAAACAAAAACAAAAACAAAAACAAAACAAAAACAGTCTCTAGGCTGGGCATGGTGGCTTACGCCTGTAATCCCAGCACTTTGGGAGGCTGAGGTGGGCGGATCATGAGGTCAGGAGTTCAAGACCAGCCTGGCCAACATAGTGAAACCCCGTCTCTACTAAAAATACAAAAAATTATCTGGGCATGATGATGGGTGCCTGTAATCCCAGCTACATGGGAGGCTGAGGCAGGAGAATCACTTGAACTTGGGAGGTGGAGGTTGCAGTGAGTGGAGATCACACCACTGCACTCCAGCCTGGTGACAGAGCAAGACTCTGTCAAAAAAAAAAAAAAAGTCTCTAAAAATCCTGAAAACATATTAATTAGGTACTTCATCTGATACACACAGAAAATAGTAACTGGCAAAGAGTAGACAGATGCTCATTACATGTGTGTTGAAGGTATGAAGTAAAATTTTGTTAAGTGCAAACCTCTGGGTTAACAGAATGTAGGTTCTCACAAGACAGCTCTTTAAATTATATTTAAAGATAATTATCATGACCCTACAGCCCCTTTGATGGTTTACCTGGATCTTGTTTTATCCCTAGTTCCTTTAATTGGTCCCCCCATGAAACAGTTTCCTGAACTCCCATCATCTACTTTTGCACAGGTGCCCAGGCGTGTCTTGACCAACACAGAGCACAATAGGAAGGTCATATGGATATATGAACACCTGGCAGACAGTGTAGACTAAGACTGCTCAAGGTTTGTAGCAGCCCCACCTAACTATTAGCTCTTATTGAATTTGTGGCCAATCAAAACCACAGTTCTTTTTCCCATAAACTTCTCTCAAGCTTGACTGCTCCCATCCTGTACTTGTAGAATTGATTTTCTGAACCTAAATGGAGAGCATCACATTTATCCCCATTAAATTCCATCCTGTTGGTTTGGTCTCACATTAGGGCCTGGAGAGATCGTTTTGAATTTCATGTCTGTCATTTATCACATTAGTCATCCCTCCTAGCTTTGTCTCATCCAGAAACCCGAGAAGCATGCCTTTCAGGGCATTGATAAAAAGAGTGAAATGTTCAGGACCAAGGACAGAGTCAGAAACACTAACAAGACCTTTCTCTCCTCTCCCTCATCCCCATCCTGACCGCCAGTCCATTCTACCAGCAATACATTTTCCATAGCCAGCTGCTTCTCATCATCTCCACTGTAAGTGCCCTAGTTCAAGTCATCTCTCATCTGTGTTAGAGCAACAGCTTCCTTACTAATCTCACAGTTCCATATTTAGCCCCCTTCTGATTTGTTCTCCACACAGCAACCAGAATGAACTTTAAAAAGCAGACATAAGGAGCTGGGCGCGGTGGCTCATGCCTGTAATCCCAGCACTTTGGGAGGCCAAGGCAGACAGATCACCTGAGGTCAGGAGTTCAAGACCAGCCTGAACCAACATGGAGAAACCCTGTCTCTACTAAAAATAGAAAATTAGCTGGGCATGGTGGCAGGTTCCTATAGTCCCAGCTACTCAGGATGCGGAGGCAGGAGAATTGCTTGAACCTGGGAGATGGAGGTTGTGGTGAGCCGAGATCGTGACATTGCACTCTAACCTGGGCAACAAGAGCAAAACTCCATCTCAAAAAAAAAAAAAAAAAAAAAAAAAAGACATAAGTTCTTACTACTCCCTTGCCTAAAACCCTCCAATAACTCCCCCACCTTGTTCCTAGAATAAAATTCACACTACTTACCAAACCTAAAGGTCATATATGATCGGAGATCTACTGGCCTCATCCCATCTCATCCCAACCTCTGCTTCCTTCACCGGCTTGGGAAGCACAAGCCATCCTTCTGTTCTGCACACATACCATGTTAATTCCCTCTTCAGGGCCTTAACTATTCCTTAGATCCTCTTTTCCCAAGGCTTTGGAAGGCTGGCTTCTATCTATCACTTATTTCAGTTCAAATGTCACTTTCTCAGAAAGGCCTTTCTGGCCTAAAGTAGCTGCTTCTTGCCTACCACAGCCTAGTCACTCTCTAATTACCTCTCCATTTCATTTTCTTCATGGCATTTATCAGTAGTTGAAACTTCCTTATTTATCTGTTATTTCCCCCTACTAGGATGTAAACTGATGAAAGTAGGGATCCTGTCTGCCTTGTTCAATGCCTAAGACTTCATAAGTGCTCAATTATTATTTGTTGAATGGTGAGAATTATAGAATTGGGAGAAATTCTCATAATGGTGAGAATTATAGAATTGGGAGAAATCAAATACATTTGCTATGACCTAACTTGCATTACTAAAAATGGCTCTTGGTTTCATTTTTATACCACCATTATTATCTACTTTGTTATCAATATTTTATGATGCCATCAAAGAATCAAATTGAATTACCAGCATTGAGTTAGGTCAGACAATAATTGGTAGTAGAAATGCATTATGTGGGATAACACAGACATGCTACTTAAAAACCATGCACTATGAGAGACCTCCACATTGCTGGTGCAGAATTAACATCTCACCTGCAGCTGTGTGGCTACAGGATTAGACTGTTTTCATATGAAAAGTACCACTTAAGAGAGTTGCTGCTTAATCAGATAAAGTTCATGGCAATGTCTCTAACTCCTTCATTTATATATAATTTTGCCCAATATAACATTAAGGGCAAGGATAATTCTGATTTCAAAAATCTGAATTTTATTTACTTAGAATTCCATCACAATGCCAGTAGAAGACTCTATTTACAGTAGGAACTCATACTGTTGACCTAGTAGTCAACACATAAAGTGGGCCATAAAAGAGGCTAGAATGGCCCATCAAGAGCCTGGCAGCTCATCAACCCCAAGCCATCAGGCCCACTCACCTGAACCTGCACTGGCACCCAGCAGTGCTGTGGCCTAGCCGCATGGGAGAAAGACAGGACCAAATTTCCTACTATGACAGCAGGGCATTCTGGTCTGTGTTTTGCCCTTCTCTCACCCATAAAATGAAATCTTTCCATTTGAACACATAAATTAAAATGCATTTCAGATGTAATCCCTGATCCAGCCACATATTTGTGAAGAGAGAACCATGAGAAATAAGGAAGGGGTGGGCAGGGACAGGAAATAGGAGAGAAGGGAAAAGGGAATCTGTTTACCACACCTCTCTTCCTCCTTCTCAAAGGAATTGTAAGGAAAAAGCAGAGAAGAGTTATGTTTCTCTGCTATAGTTTCAGTTTAGCCCCATGAAAAGCATGTGGCCCTTTTGCCAGCCAAAAGCTGTAGGGGTTCTATAATCTGGAGTATTCATGGTCACAAAACAGGACAAAGTGAGGGCCTTCCGACTGCACAGAGCTGCCCTGCTCCCTGGCATGGACAGTCCTTCTTGTAAGGGTAGTTTCAGCCCTGGTCTGGAAATGTCCCATAGTCTCTGTTTTCTTTTTTTTTTTTTTTAGACGGAGTCTCGCTCTGTTGCCCAGGCTGGAGTGCAGTGGCACAATCTCAGCTCACTGCAAGCTCTGCCTCCCGGGTTCACGCCATTCTCCTGCCTCAGCTTCCTGAGTAGCTGGGACTATAGGCGGCTGCCACCACGCCCGGCTAATTTTTTGTATTTTTAGTAGAGATGGGGTTTCACTGTGTTAGCCAGGATGGTCTCGATCTCCTGACCTCGTGATCTGCCTGCCTCAGCAGAAAAGAGATTAAAAGATACAAGAGAGATGTAGTATAGCACAAAGATCTTCCCAAAAGATTTGTTATTGGACTTTCTAGCTACAGTTCACTTTTATTTATTTTATTTTATTATTATTTTTTCACATAAACCTTTCGCAACTTTTTTTTTTTTTTTTGAAGATAAGGTCTCGCTATGTTACCCAGGCTGGTTTCAGACTCCTGGGCTCAAGCGATCTTCCCACCTCAGCCTCCCAAGTAGCTAAGATTACAGGCGTGCATCACTGCGCCTGGCTGAGGCCTTTTTAAATGAGTCTCTCTGGATCACGGATTAGTAACACATAAGAGGCCAGGCTTCCTCCTATAGCCCAGGCTAAACCTGGCTGATTCCAACAAGCCCTTCCCAGAGGATGCTGTGTTCACCCTGGGTAACCATCCCTTTCCAGAATCCACCCACTGAGGAGCTGGGCCAACTGGATTTTTAATTCAAATTTTAGGCAGGATGGTCATGCTTCCTTGGTGGGAGGCCTTTTCTTTCCAGATCTGTGGGAGGGCTCAAGTGTTTGATCTTCAGGATAGTGAGCAAGAATTTGATTTGGATTAGTTTAAATCTCATTTTCTGCCCTTCCCTAGTGATAACCTTTATCTAATTCACTATAAGATGGACAAAATCTGTGTTGTAATTCAATTTTTTAAAAAAGACAAGTTGTTCCCAAAATATAACTACTTACTCCTTCATTCCTAAATTCATTCACTATTTTTTTAAAAAAATAACGAAACCATTTTTAAGCTCCTACTACATGTCAGGCTCTGTGCCAAGTTGTGGTGATTCAAAGATGAATAAGACATGGTCCCTGACCCTTGAAGAGATATCAGATAAACCCATAATATATCAGAGCAGTTCTTTGCGGCACATATTTAACTTCTGTGACCATAGCCTCCAAATTCTCTAACAGTGCGGTATTCTGGAAAGAGCACACACCCCTTATGCCCATTCTACTGCATCCAGCACACAAGGCTGGGCAGAAAGCAAGGTTCTCTGCAGCAGCCTACCCTGGAAGTTTCAACACAGCCACTGCACTATGACTGTGGCCTTACTTGGCCTGCCAGCGCCTTTCAGTGCTTACCTTTTGGCAGGTAGAGTTTAACAGGAAGCAATAGCCCTGCTACCAAATGACAGAAGAACACAATCTGAGGGTTGATGACCTTTGTATTAATTTAAACATCTCAACCTTTCTCAACCAGGACAGGCAGCCACCTCCACTTGTGAACCTGAATTCGGCTGCCACAATTTGCATGCATAATGTACTGAAAAGCCTTCTTTATAATGTTTACTTCTCTGTTTCTTCCAAATGAAATCACTGAAGGGCAAATTTGATTTTCAAATCAGTTTTAAAACATCTGCCTTCTAAAAAAGTAAGAGTAAAGAGATAAGGCTTTTATATTACAGGCAAGGGCTAATTATTTTAACTGATACCACTGTGTCCATGCTAAAAATACAAATGTGGAGACATTTTTAATGCAAACCCAACATCTAATGGATGTTAATATTTCATTAGGAAAAGGATTCCAGTCACGAGGTATGTACCTTGTGATTTTAGAAGGAAAAGACTAACTTCCTGACCTTTCTTTAAATATAAACTCATCTGACCTTGTGCTTCAGCACCTCTATTTGTTGTTCTATATGACTCTATTTCTTTCAAATATATAACTATGTCTGTCACAGCCTTCGTCTCCAGGAAGCTCAAGGTGTTTAATATATTTCAGTTTGTTATTTTATTTTCTCACTTTCTGCAAAGAATATCTGAGGGTGCAGGCTTTGCTCTAAAGGTGGAGCTATCACCCTGCAGCTGCTTGGGCCCAGGTATGTGACAGTTAAGGACAGTTTCAAAGGGCTAAGGAGGTGGGGAGAAGCAGTTACAAGGGTTGGCTCGACCCCACATGGAAGAGTTGAATGCTCACACATGTATTTTATATATACAGCATTCATGCATGTGGGTGTCTGTACATCTGTCAAGGCAACACACATTAGAAGAAACTTTAGAAGTAAATCCATTATATTTTATGTCTTACATAACTATTATATACTTTTACTGATAAAATAACAATAAACGGTATTATTTTAATAAAAACAGCCCTTGGAGCCCAGCACCAAGCCTTGTTTTAGGAATGGCATCTTACAGACGTGGAGACAGAGGCACAGAGAGAGTAAACGTCTTGCCCAAGGATGCTCGGCTAATCGGCGGCAGAACCATGGCTAAGAGCCAGGCCTCCTGATTTTCAGCCCAGGGATTTTTATTTTGCCTTTTTTACTTCACTCATGTACAGATAATGCTGCCATATTTCACACTTTTCTTGCTGGTGGCAAATACTAGTAAAGAGTCTAATAACACAATCCCTAGTATAAAGGCTAAGATTGAAATAATTTTACATTAAACAGAAACAATTCCAACACAGATTTTCACTTTCATACATGCACCCCTTATTCCAGCAATTACACTGTACTTCTCCTGGGGACAGGCTCTGAGCCCTCCACCAGTTAAGTTCTAGTACATAGTGGGTACACAGTAACTGCTAAACCACAGGAGGTTTGCAGCTCTTGTTCCACAGCGAGCCTGCACTTTACACTCTGACAATCACCAATCACCGTGGGCTCTTTAATTTTGTGGTCAGGCAGATTTTTGCCTGCCACAGTACTGAACTCATAGTAGGTACTTGATAAAAAGGGGTTGAATGAGTGAAGAAAGGTCTGCATACGTTTCCTGCAGGTAGACACTGCATTTTCTTATCAGTAAAATGGGAGTCTTGAGAGAAGGTAGTCAAGACTGGAGGGTCAGAGCAAGGACTAAAGGAAAGCCAAGGGCTGGTCACATTTCCCAGACTCAATCTTTTAGAACCAACCTTCAGGGCTGACATGCAAACAGAGCTACAAAGAGGGAAATGATTCTGAAACCTGAGCTAGTGAGGAGGGCTCAGGTTTTGCTGCAAACTCCATCTGGCTCCCAGTACCACTGGCTGAAGTTTAACAAATGAGATCACCATATTTCAAGGTTTAAGATAGGGAGGGGTCAGTGACAAAGATGAGCTTGACGTGCTCATCTTAGCAGCTCATGGCCCCAAATGTAGGGTGCACACCAGATGGAAAAGGTCACAGGAGACCAACAGAAATCAGGTAAAGGAATGACACAATAACACAGTAACAGAGATATCTGTAACTGACACTTCCTATTTTCATTGAAATGTCTGCTTTACTCAAAGGTTTTCATATGTGAGTATTCAGCTGACCCTTGGATCTTCCCTTTTTTGTGCCAGGGATCTCTCTGGCACTCTGTGAAGCATATGAATCCCTTCTCAGAATGTTTTCAAATGTATAAAATAGAACACACAAGAAACCAATGTTACTGAAGTACAGTTGTGTGCACAGACCCCTTGGGCATAGTGACAATGAAAGACCCCTGGCCCGAGGTAGAAAGGGTAGGCTTTATCAGCTGGGAAAACAGGGCTGCGTATGGGACAGGACATCAGAGTCGGGAAACTGAGACTCTGGATCTCTTTACAGCCAGAACTCTTATTTTTCAAGAAAACATAAGTTAGATGTTCTTATGTAGGAAAGGAATGCCTCACTTAAGAAATAATAAAAACAGCAACAGCTTTGACACTACTTTTCCATACCCTCTTTTAGATGCGTTTCTCCTCTTCATCCCCTTTTCCAAATACAATGGAGACCAGGAACTAGCAACACTACTATAGATTTTAGGTCCTCTCTGAAACCACAATTCTCAGTTCTCCAGAGCTCCCATTTCCCACTTTACTTTTCATTTGTAGTAAAATTAACAAATCATATGACCTAGACATTTCTAAAGACTACTGGTCTGTGACATCATTTCAAACCATCCCCAAACCTGAAATCCAAATAGCCAACATCCTAACAGAGGCTAAAGAACAAAGCACAAACCCAGTGAAGGGGAAACCACTTCTGTTTTGAAGGAAAGACTCATTTGGATTACGACAGTTAGCCAACACACGCAGGTCTGTAATGGGGGATATCTCCATATAAAATTCCTAAGTAAAAGGGTCACAAGAACTATAAATCCTAATTTAATTCAGCCAATCTAAGTAAATCCCAAAGAAACATGCTGGGCTAGAAATCAAATCCCAGTAAACAACTGGAAAATGTGGGCACAGTAATATGAGGACTCCAGAGATTTCTGCAGCAAATGGATTGTTCTAATGACATTTGATTAAAAATCTGCTTCCACCTGGGTCAGTGCATTTCATGTGCAGAGTGGATTCAGTTCCGCATGCAGAATAAAAATTTCAATGGAAGGCACAGTGGGAGGAAGAAAACAATAGCTCCCCAAACCCACAGTCATTGAATGTTGTGTCCAGGTTCAGATCTGGGAAACAAAGAACTGTGAGATGAGAGATGGCTGTGCCAAATGAACAGGATGCATTTTCCCTGAGCATCACTGCAAAAGGGGCCCAGGGGAAGCCTGATCTCAGGCCAAACACACACTTTTCCTACACCTCACTGCTCAGTAGCTGAACTCTGTAAAGGTGCAACTCACTTGCTTTTTAGTTTTGTCTTCATAAATTGCACACTTGTCTGTGATTTGGACAAATTTTTAAGCAGACACGGAAAGCAAACAATCATTCAACTTCAGTTTGCTTTGTAGGTGACACTTAGGAAGAGTCAGTGTATTGGAGAGTCTTTTTGAGGTGTATGTTGTTTTCAAATCAGACTACAGGCAAGTAGTCTATCTTTTCTTTTCTCCCTAACTCCACACAGAGCTCCACATAGAGAGGGGATCTATCATTCTGATCAACAAATCCAACTTTTTGTGCCAAAAGGGCAAAATAATTTCTTAAATGTAAGGTCAGTTCAAACAACTCCTGCATGTTAGTTGCCACCATTCACTAATATCCTGGTTTTAGCAAGTCAGATGCACCAAAGTACCAGGAAGGCCACCTGTGTGGAGATAAATGGCAGTCCCCGGTGATCATGGAAGTACCAGGGCTCCCATCAACATGATTCATAAAATCACATGATATCACAAAATCAACAGTTTCTGGTCTTGCTTAAGCCATCTGATAGGAGTAAATGGTTACCAAGATGCCTACAGAAACTAATGAATGAATAGATAATGCCAGCTATATCTCAGAAAGAAGAAAAGATAATCTGATGAAAAAACAATCTTAATTCCTTACAAAAAAGTGCTGAATCTTATGGTATTTCAAGTGTCAAGAAAAAATAAACAGATGACTTTAAAGAGAGGTGGGGAGGGTTACAATGTAAAGCATTTGTCTGTTTCCTTTTCAATGGTATTTTCCAATGTTTTAAAAAAAAAAAATCAGCCAGATATGGTAGCTCATGCCTCTACTCCCAGCACTTTGGGAGGCTGAGGCAAAAAGACTGCTTGAGGCCAGGAGTTCGAGACCAGCCTGGGCAATAAAGAGAGTCCCTGTCTCTATTTAAAAAAAATAGAAAAATTAGTTGGGCATGGTGGTGGCATGTGCCTATAGTCCCAGCTACCTGGGAGATGGAAGCAGGAGGATTGCCGGAGGCTAGGTTTAGAAGCCTAGGTGACAGAGCAGGACTTTGTCTCTTAAAAAACAAAACAAAATCAGCAAGCACCTCATTCAATCTTTTTTAAACAAAAAATTTGAAGAAATTGATTCTGAGCCAAATATGAGTGACCAATGGCCTGTGATACAACCCTCAGGAGGTCCTGAGAACAAGTGCTCAAGGTGGTCATTTGGGGCACAGCCTAGTTTTATACATTTTAGGGAGACGTGAGACGTCAATCAAATACATGTAAGATTTACATTGGTTCCACCTGGAAGGGTAGGGCAACTCAAGGACGGGTGCTTCCAGGTCATTAAAAATTTTCTGATTGGCAATTGGTTGAGAGTTATTATCAACAGAAAGGAATGTATGCTTTACAGTAAGCTGTTGCGGAGACCAAGGTTTTTTGTTTTTTTTTTTTTGAGACGGAGTCTCGCTCTGTCGCCCAGGCTGGAGTGCAGTGGCACGATCTCGGCTCACTGCAAGCTCCACCTCCCGGGTTCACACCATTGTCCTGCCTCAGCCTCCCGAGTAGCTGGGACTACAGGCGCCCACCACCACGCCCAGCTAATTTTTTTGTATTTTTAGTAGAGACGGGGTTTCACCGTGTTATCCAGGATGGTCTCGATTTCCTGACCTGTTGATCCGCCCACCTCGGCCTCCCAAAGTGCCAGGATTACAGGCGTGAGCCACCGCGCCTGGCCGAGACCAATGTTTTATCATGCAGGTGAAGCCTCCAAGTAGTAGGTTTCAGACAGAATAGACTGTAAATGTTTCTTATCAGACTTGAGATCTGTGTTGATGTTAATGCTGGTCAGCTTTCCCTGAATTCTAAAAGGGAAGAGGGTATAATGAGACATGTCCGACCCCTGCTTCCATCATGGCCTGAACAAGTTTTTCAGGCTAACTTTCTAATGCCCTTGGCTGAAAGAAGGGGTCCATTTGGATGGTTACTCCATTCAATCTTAATGGGGTGGGACTCGGGAGAAGAGTACAGAACATAAAAGGCCCTCTTCCTCTCTCAGGAAAGGACACCAAGTCATCTAGTGCAAGTTCACTTTACACTTCAGATATAATCTCTTGGCCAGGAGCGGTGGCTCATGCCCATAATCCCTGTAATCCCAGCACTTTGGGAGGCCGAGGTGGACAGATCACGAGGTCAAGAGATCGAGACCATCCTGGCCAACATGGTGAAACCCTGTCTCTACTAAAAACACAAAAATTAGCTGGGCGTGGTGGCGCACGTCTGCAGTCCCAGCTACTTGGGAGGCTGAGGCAGGAGAACTGCTTGAACCTGGGATGTGGAGGTTGCAGTGAGCCAAGATCGTGCCACTGCATTGTAGCCTGGCGACAGAGCAAGACTCTGTCTCAAAAAAAAAAAAAAAAAAAAAAGATATAATCTCTTATAGGAAATTTAAAACAATAACCTGAGACATGGCAGTTTTATCACCCAAGCTACTGGGCTAAGCTTCAGGATACCAAACCCTTGAGTAAAAAGCACAGCCAGGAGACAGCTAAAAGGAGCTTAAGAATGTATATAGTCATTTTATTATAAATGGCTACTCTGGAGCCAATATACTTGACTTTGACTTTTTTAAGGCAAGATTAACCATGACACATTTTGGTCAAGCTTAGGAAACAACTTGCTAATAATCTATCTTGTGAAAAAAGATGCCTCTGGAAATTCATCATATTGGTGGAGGGAGAAAACACCTACATTTTGGCTGTCACTAAAAGCCAAACAGAAACTTCCTGTTTTCAAGGGTCAGTGGAAAATTACTGCTTATTATATAGTATTACATTTACAGAAACTGCAAGTGCTCATCACAAACTGAACGTCACACTTACCTTATCAGAAAGAGCAGCCTGGCACTGGCACAGGAGTGCAACAAAACACGGTCAATTTACTAAGCCTCCCGATAGCCAAGGTTATTGTTGGCAATACAAAAGGTAACAAAGGAGTGGACTGGCTGAGCGTGCAAGGCTGCTATCCTGCCATCTCTGGGAAGATCTGAGCTCAAGGCACACCTGAACTTCCCTCCAGCAGGCTGAAGAGAGAACGAGTGATTTTCTTGTATCCACCAAGGCCAGGCCCATTCCATCTAGGTAGTAAGTACTTCCAGATTTAGCATGCTGCCTACTCCCATAAATGTTATCCCTACTGAGTCACTCAGAGAAGATTTGGTCTAACTCCATGTGTCAGAATCCACAAATGCCTCTATTTGCATTGGGATCAAGGCCCCTCAGTCTCAGCTGGTCCTGAGCCAATTGGGAAGGCTTAATTAGTGAGCCCATGAGAGGAGGGAAGTGCCCAGCACAGAGCCTGACCTAAAGCAGTGGCTCAAAATATGTCCACTAAATTAATGCCTAGATAAATATCAGACTTTTGAGTTAACATAAGCCCATGCCCTACAGTTTAGGGTTCCTGGCAGGGAAATGATTCAATAGTATTTGAATGATAATTTTAATTAAGGAAATGGCAAAAGAAGAAAATACTGCCTGAAAATATCAGTGGTTCTATCCCCCAAAATGAAAAGCTTAGAAAATTGTGCCCTGTGTTCCCTTCTCATCTCCTCAGAAATTCATAAAGTTAATTAATATTAATGTAAGAACACCATATTAAAGCAATGTGAAGGCATAAATTTGAAAATCAGACTAGAAATTCAAAAATGAAGGCATTTGGAATTGTAGATTCACAGTACGTGCCATGTCTAACTAAAAACTTGATTACTTCTTAATGTTATTGTGGCTCTGTCTTCACAGGGCAATTGAGGCTTTCAATTAGCCTACCAGATCCACGCTCAAACGGGCAGAGGCTGTGATAGGAGGGGCTCAGTGGTGCTCCGAGAACACCAACTCTGAAGTCCTGTTGGTTTAAATCTGTGACCCTGACACTAGATTAATGTAGATTTGGGTTTTGATCTTAATTAGGAAAAATGAATTCTGAAGATTCAGAAATGTGAAACAAACAAACAAGCTTCCAGGAGCCCCTCCTTCTCCCACCCTCAGCATACCCTAAAGAAAAGACTATACATTTCAAAGCTCCAGCATCAGAATTTCTATTAAGCTTATATGTCCACTGCTAAATCCTACAGAGAATTCAGTAACTCTCCAGAGAATCAGGAAGGAAAAAAGAACGATATAAACAAGTTCTCTCCTCTAATAGAGCAGTACCAACATATGCTATCTTCCTTTGCCTAAGAATCACCTCACAGCAGAAATTTACACTAAGGCTCTGAGAACCGCAGATGAGGAAGCAAGCAGTATTATCCAGTCTTCCTCATCTGAGGAAAACCACGAACTCTCTGGGACAAATTTAATGTGCAACATTGCCTCAAGGTAGAAGGCCGAACAAGATGACCACTCATCAGGTCAAGATTGCTAAGCCACATTACTAGGAATACAAACATTCTTTTGCTCCATTTAGGTTTATTACATGGGCTCCATACTGTTGTATAAATTTGGATAAAGAAGTGAAAAGTGTATGAGCAGAAAGCACTCGCAAACTCCCTCCAAAGCAGCTGGTAAATGTGTGCAATTCCAGATGATCACCACTCTGAAACTATACTTTAGAACTTTGTAAGAAATGTTTATTACTGATACTCAGTACATAATTTATAACACCACGGTGAAATTCACTTACATTCCATTTCAAGGGATGGTGAAAAGAAAATGTCAACTGTGGGGAAAATATGCTTTATAGAGCTTGGCTTAAAACAGAGGGAAAAAAACCACACATGCAAGTCTCTT